>NC_000007.14:42361454-42664484 GCF_000001405.40 Homo sapiens | reverse complement strand
AGACCAACCCATAGGTTTACTCTTATATTACAAGATTTCCATACTCTGAAGAAAGGAGCTGCTAGATTATTTGTTGTCTCAGGCAGGGTTGAGATGTGCTGTCGGGAGATGGTGGCTGTACTTGGGCAATGTCTTCCATCTTCAGAGGGAAGAGCATCTGAACTCTCGGGACTGCCAGCCCAGCCCTTTCATAATTAGTGAATTCACTTAGTTGTCCACCCAACTCCAACCCCTCACCCCAGCTTAAAGTAACGTTGGAGAGAAAGGGTTCTAAGTCAGCTTTTCTGAAGGCAGTGGTAGCAGACTGATTTTTACAAGCCTTTCTCTTAGTAGGAAGCCATCGTAGCATCAAAGCACACTTAATCACCAATTAATAAATTAAAGTGGCAGGTGCATGCTGGGAGGAGTCATACGTGTTTAAGGATCACTTAAACTTGCAGTGAGGCAATTTGCTCTGGGTGAAGGCAGAAACACAATGTAGATATACCTGAATGTCCTCAGAGATTTCATTCTACTTAGAGTTGTTAATTGGGTTTGGAGGTTTTGGTGTGTGGGTAGGTGTGGTGGGACATGAATATGGAAAGGAAAGGAAAACTGGGACAAGATTCAAAAAAGACTTGTGTACACATCATTTGGGAAATTAGTTTAAAGGTTAACAAGGAGCCATTGGGACTTTTTGATTTGTAAACATGTATATTAAAAAATCACTTCGTATTTTCATATTATATTATAACCTTTCTGAAATCTTTTAGAAGACAATATTTCTTGAGGTTGAAGAAATATTTTCTTCAAATTCAGTGAGTCCTTCAAGTTTCTTTTTGGTGTTTTTATTTTCTGTGAAATTCAGTTAAAATGAAAGTAATTACTTTGAAAGTAACATATATAATATAATGCCATTTAAAATAAGTTTGCATATTTATATATCCTTTCCTTATACATGCAAATATACATTACATAATGGAATGCTGTCAACAAGGCTATTATATGTGGGCAATGGAGTTTAGCCAATTTGTACTTATTCTTTGAATTCTTTATAATAGTCAAAACAGTAAATAAGGATTCCTTAGATGATCCTGTTGTATGATAAATTCCCTTCTTATTCAATGCACTCATGGCAGATGAATTTAATTCATACCTATGAAGATCCTGGATAACTTCCCAGTCTTTTTCTCCAGACTGTCACATATCCAAAAAAACAAAACAAAACAAAACAAAACAAACACAGATCTGTTTAGACAGTTCCAACTGGATAATCTTAGGCATTCAAATTCTCTCTGCAAGGACACTGAACTCATCATTTACTCTCCACTCAAATCAGTTTCTTCTGTATTGTCCAGAAACTGAGGAGTCATTCTTGATTCCTGTCTTTGTTCACTAAAACATTCAGTTCCAAATCCCTTTAATTCCACCTCCTCATTAGTTCTTTCCATTCCCCTTGCCCCTTGGTACAGGCTCTCAGCCCTTACTTCTTGAATTACAAAAGCTTAAATCCTCTTGATCTGAACTTTGCCAGATGGATCTTCCTAAAATACAAATCTGGTCTTATCACTCCTCTACTTAAAAGCCTTCAGGACCCACCACTTCCTCAGGATTAAGTTCAGACTAGTGAGTTTCGGCAACCATTAAGCTATTTTCCCATTGTCATCTGGGCTCTGTTGTTGCAGATGATAACGTTTGCATTTAGAAATGTGTATGTTTGTAAATCTTGCTCTGTTTTTGTTTTGTGTTTTAAAGATTTAATCTTTATTGTTGGTTTTCTGCTGTTACACTTATGCCTAGGTGTTAATAATTTTTCTGTTGTTATTATTCTGCTCGAACTAAATATGCTTGCTAAATTTGTAGACTCACATTTTTGTTTTTATTCTTCCCAATTCTCAAAAATATTTAGCCATTTTGATGCAAATATTACCTTTGACTCACTGTATTTACTCTTTCTAAAATTCTTGTTAAATATAAGTTGAACCTGTTTCTATGTCTTTTGTTACTTTTTAGAAAGCTTTACTGAGGTTTATTTGATACACAATGATCGTATCATTATGGCTACAAGAAAAGTAATCAACAAAGTATACACTTGGATAAATGTTGACATAAGTATATACCTGTAAAACTATCACTACAATCAAGATAATGAACATGTCCACGTGCTCCCAAAGTTTCTGCACAATCCTTCCCATCCTTCCTTGTTCTTGGAACTGCTAATCAACTATAGGTTAGTTTGCATTTTCTGGAATTTTATATTAATAGAATCATATAGTGTGGACTCTCTTTGGAGTTTAGTTTCCTTCACTTGGCATAATTATTTTGAGATTCACCCTTGTTGTGGCATGTATCAATAGTTTATTCTTATTTATTGCTGACTAGTATTTCATTGTATGGGCATACCACAGTATGTTTATTCCTTCAGCTCGTGGTGGATATTTATATTGTTTCCAGCTTTTTGCCTATTGTTTTTAAAAGCTGCTATAAAAATTGTATTCATGTCTTTGCATGAACATATGCTTTTATTTATCTTGAGTAAATGCCTAGGAGTAGAGTGGCTGTATCATAAGGTAGATGTATATTTAACTGTTTACGAAACTTGCTGACCATTTTCCAATGTGGTTGTATACTTTACATTCCCACCAGCAATGTATGGGAGTCTATTCCTCCACATTCACACCAATGCTCGATATGGTCAGTCTTTAATTTTAGCCATTCTAAAATGTTTGTAGAGTATCTCATTGTGTTTTTAATTTTAATTAAATTTCTGAAATAACAAATTATATTGAGCATCTTTGTATGTGCCTATTTGCTATACAATAGTTCCCACCTCATTTGTAGTCTTACTTTCCAGTTTCAGCTACCTTTGGTCAACTGCAATCCAAAAATATTAAATGGAAAATTCCGTAAATAAACAATTCATAAGTTTTAAATTACAAGCCCTTCTGAGTAGCATGATGAAATTTTGTGCCATTCAATCCCGGATGTGACTCATCCCTTTGTCCAGCATATCCACAATGCCTATGCTACCCACTTGTTAGTCACTTAGCTGCCCTGGCTATAAGATTAACTTTCTTGGTACTGCAGTGCTTGTGTTCTGGAAACCCTCATTTTACTTAATAAAGGTTCCAAAGCACAAGAGTAGTGATGCTGGCATATTTTTATAATTGTTCTAATTGCACCATAAGTTATTACTGTGAATCTCTTACTGTGTCTAATTTATAAATTAAACTTTATTGTAGGTATGTATACATAGGAAAAAATATCTATCCTATTGTATATTATCTATCTATCTATTTATAAGGTTTGGTACTATCTATGATTTCAGACATCCACTCGGGTTCTTGGAACATATCCTCTGTGAATAAGGGATAGCTTCTGCATGTAGATTTTATTCGGTGGAGCATCTGTTCTTTTGCACATTACAAAAATTGATTGTTTTCTTATTATTATTGTTGGGTTTTAAGAGTTCCTTATATATTCTGGATACAAGTCCACTATCAGATCTGTGATGTTTTCCTGCAGTACGTGATTTGACTTTTTCTTGTCTTAACAGTGCCTTTTGTAGAACAAAAGTTTCATAATTTTGATAATGTACAATGTTCCATTTTTTTCTTTCATAAATCATGTTTTTGGTGTCTTACCGAAAGGATTTTTATCTAACTCAAATTTGCAAAGGTTTTATATTTTCTGCTGTAAGTCTTATAATTGTAGGTTTTGCATTTAAGGTCAAAATGATGATTTTGAAATTTCGACTTAATTTTTTACTTGGTATGAAGAGTGAATTGAAGTTCTCCTTTTTTGGCATTCAGACATCCAATTGCTTCAGCATCTAAATTTTGTTTGTGTCTTTATAAAAATTCAGTTGACCATCTCTGTTTGGGTTTATTTATTAACTCTTTATTCTCTTCAATTGACCCATTTTTTGACATTGATACACTAAACTGACTTGTTTATAAGTCTTAAAATCAGGTAGTGTTATTACTCCAACTTTCTTTTTCTTCTTTGAAGTTGTTTTGGATATTCTAGGTCCTGTTCTTTTCCATACATATTTTAGAATTAGTTTGTCAACATCTACCCCAACACTTCCCCCCAAAAAAAGCCTGGTGGGATTTTGATTGGGTTTGAGGTTTGAATCTATAGATCAATAGATCAAAAACAATATTTTTTTAAGAGTCAGGATCTCACTCTAGGCTGGCGTGTAGTGGCATGATCACAGCTCAATGCAGCCTCGAATTCCTGGACTCAAGGGATCTTATTGCCTCAGCTTTCTGAGTAACTGGGGCTACAGGCACATACTACCATGCCCGGATAATTTTTAAATTATTTTTTGTAGAGACAGGGTCTTACCATGCTGGTCTCGAACCTCTGGGCTCAAAGGATTGGCCTGCCTCGGCCTCCAAAGTGCTGGGATTACAGATATAAGCCACCATGCCCAACCTAGATCAATTTGAGGAGAATTGATATCTTAATATTTAGTCTTCTGAGCCATGAATATCTCCATTTACATAGGATCCATGTAAAATTTTCTCAGCCATATTTTGTAGTCTTTATGCATCTATCACAAGTTTTGTCATCTATATCTCTCAATACTTATTTTAACGCTATTATAAGATGTGTTGGGTTTTAGTTTGAGTTTTTCAATTATTTTCTGCCAGTGTATAGAAAAACAAAGTATTTTTATATTGATCTTATAACTTTGCTTATTGATTCATTAGATCTGATAGATTTTTGTAGATTCCATAGTATTTTCTATGTAAATAACATGTCATCTACAAATAAAAATGGTTCAATTTCTTCCTTTCTACTCTGGATGCAATTTTTGTCCAAACTGTCTACAAGATTGTCCAACCTGCAACCTGAAGGCTGAATGTGGCCTGGGATGGCTTTGAATGTGACCCAACACAAATTGGTAAACTTTCTTAAAACACTATGAGACTTTTTTGTGATTTTTTTTTAAGCTCATCAGCTATCACTATTGTTAGTGTATTTTACGTGCGGCCCATGACAATTCTTCAGTGTGGCCCAGGGAAGCCAAAAGATTGGTCACCCCAATAGAACCTCCAGTGCAGTGTTGATTATAGTGATGGGAGTAGATATCCTTTTGTTCCTCAATTTATAAGAAAAGCATTCAGTCTTTCACCATTATAGGGATTTCAGAGATGTCTTCTTAACACTGAGAGAGTTCCTTCCGTTTTTTGATTGCTGCATTTCTATCAGGAATAAATGTTTGATATTGTGAAATGCCTTTTCTATGCCTATTGAGGTGATCATACATTTAAAAAGATTTTTTTTAATACATAGATTGCTTTTTGAATGTTCAGTCACCTCGCATTCCTAGAATGAACCTCACTTAGGATGTATTATACTTTTTATATTTGTTGAATTTGATTTGCTAAAACTTCGTTTAAAATATTCATCTATGTTCATGAGGAAAATTGGTCTAGTAGTTTCCTTTTCTTGTAAATACTTATTTGGTTTTGATATCAAGGTAATTCTGGCGTCACAGGATGCATTTGGAAGTATTCATATTTCTTCCTTTTATGGGAGAGTTTGTGTATAAAAGGGATTATTTCTTCCCTAAAAGTTTGGTAGAATCCACCTAAAAAACCATCTGGTACTGGTGTTTCAATTGTGGCAAGACTTAAAGTACAAATTCAATTTAAAAATAGATATAGCACTATTCATGTAATCTATTTCTTCTTCAATGAATTTTGGTAGTTTTGTGTTTTTCAAGGAATTTGTCCCTTTCATCTAAGTTGGCAAATTTATTAGAACAAAATTGTTCATAATATTTGCTTGTTATACTTTTAATATCCGTAAAATCTGTAAATGTCACTGTTCTTATACCTGATATTGGTAATTTGTGTATTCTCTTTGATCCTCATCAGTCTAGCTAAAGGTTTGTTAATTTTATTTATTCTCTCAAATAACCAGCTTTTGGTTTCACTGATTTTCCCTGTTTTGTTTTGCTTTCTGTTTTATTGATTGCTTTAGCAGCATCCCGCAAAGCACACCTAACATGGTGTGCTTCCATTTTCACCCAGTTCGAAATGCTAAGTTCTCCTTTGATTCATCTTTGACCCATGTGTTATTTAGAAGTGACATTTTTAGTTTCCAAGTATTTAGAGATTTTTTTCAAGAGATCTTTCTGTTATTGATTTCTGATTTAATTCCACTGTAGTAAGAGGGCATAATTTGCATGAGCTTCAATCCTTTCGTATTTATTGAAACTTATATTATGGCCCAGAACATAGTCTTTCTGTATGCTCTTGGAAAGACTGTATATTCTGTTGATGTGTAGAGTAGTCTATCATTCTGCAAATCCTCTATATTCTTACTGAATTTTTGCCTACTTGTTCTATTTTTACTGAGAGAAAATCACTGAAATCTCCAACTATATGTGAATATTTTTCTCCCTTGAAGTTCTATCAAGTTTTGCTTCATGTGCTTTGAAGTTCTGTTATTAGGTAAGTAAACACAGCATTGATTGACTTCCTGCAGGATTTCCTCATTTTTCTTTATCTTTATATTTATCTTTTTCTTTATCTTTGCCAATATTATTTTCTCTGAAATTTACTTTGAAATTAACATAGAAAATTTATCACCTTTTGATTAGTGTTAGCATATAATATCTTTTTCTAACTTAATTATGTCTTTCTATTAATGTGTGTAACATATAGTTGGGTCTTGCTTTGGGGTGTTTAAACCATTTATATTTAATGTGATTATTGATAAGGTTACGTTTAAGTCTATCATCTTGCTATTTGTTTTCTATTTGTCCCATGGCTTCTTTGTTACATTTTCCTCATTTGTATCTTGTTGTGCATAGAGTGGATATTTTCTATGATTCTATTTTATCTCCTTTGTTAGCTTATTAGCTATAACTCTTTGCTTTGTTATTTTAATGTTTGCTTTAGAGGTTATAATACACATTGTTAGTGTATCAAAGGCCACCTCCAAATATTATATGCCTTCATATATAGTGTAAGAACCTGACAGTAGTATCCTTTCATTTCACCCTTCCCAAACTTTGTGCTATTGTTATAAAATGTTTTACTTTTTCTGTATGCTATAAACACCTCACCACATTGCTAATATTTTTGTTTTTTTTTAACGTCAGTCATCTTTTAAAGATATTAAAATAAGAAAATATCTTATATACTTATGCATTTTGTTTCCATTTCTCCCATTTGCTTAGATCCAGATTTCTATCTGCTCATTTTTTCGACTCTCCTTTTCTCTGTATTTAAATTTTCTCTGTATTTAAGTTTGAATAGCTTTTATTGTTATGCTTTCAGGTTTACTAATCTTTGTTTTTTCTGCAATGTCTAGTTGCCATTAATCTCATCCATATATTTTTCTACTGCTAGAAAAAATTGACTTAACAGTTTTTATAGTGTCAGTCTGCTGGCGATTAATTATTTTAATATTTATTTAGCCTTCATCTTTGAAAGGCTAATATAGGATTCACAGCTGACAGCTTTTGTTGTTGTTGTTCAGTACTTTAAAGATGTTTATTCAATGTTTACTTGTTTGAGTTCTGAAAAAATTAACTGTAATCTTTATTTGTTCTTTGTATATAATATGTCATTTTTTTTTCTCTTGCTGCTTCAAAGATTTTTCTCCTTATCAGTGCTTTGGCCAATTTAAATATGATGTACCTTGGTGTGGTTTTCTTCATTTTTCTTGATCTTGGGGTTTGTTACGCTTCTAGGATCCGTGGGTTTATAGTTTTTGTCATTTTTGAAAAATTTTGGCCAAATACATTTTTTTGGCCCACATTTCCTTTTTCTTCCACCCGGACTCTAATTACATGCTTGAAGTTTTTTGAGTTTTGCTGCTCACTTCCACTACTTACTTCTGTCATTTTTTTTAATTCTTCTTTTGTTCATATTTAAATTTGAAAAGATTTTACTGTCATACTTTCAAGTTGACTAATTTTTTTTTTTTTTTTTTTGAGATGGGGTCTCACTCTGTCACCCAGGCTGGAATGCAGTGGGGCAATCTTGGTTCACTGCAACCTCTGCCTCCCAGGTTCAAGTGATTCTTCCACCTCAGCCTTCTTGAGTAGCTGGGACCACAGGCACATGCCACCATGTCTGACTAATTTTTTGTATTTTTTGTAGAGATGGGGTTTTGCTATGTTGCCCAGGCTGGTTTCGAACTTCTGAGCTCAAGTGATTCACCCACCTCAGCCTCCCAAAGTGCTGGGATTATAGGTTTGAGCCACTGTGCCTGGCTACCATTTCTTTTCTTTCTTTTCTTTTTTTTTGTTTTTAACTGCAATGTCTAGTTGCTATTAATCTCGTTCATATGTTTTCCTTCCTGTTTTCATCTCTAGAAGTAGGTTTGTGGGGTTTTTTTTGTATTTTCCATCTCTCCATTTAACTTTTTGAGCATATGAATTATAGTTACTTTAATGTCCTTGTATTCTAATTCTGATATCTGTGTCAGTTTGTGCACTTAAATTCTAATATCTATGTCAGTTGGTTTCATTTATTTTCTCATCAGATATTATGTTTTCCCATTAATTGCATGTCTGGTAATTTTTTATTGGATTCTAGACATTGTGCATTTTATCATGTTGGATGCAGGTTATCTTTGTATTCCTATCAATGTTCTTGAGGATTTTCTTTCAATTTTTGTTTGCTGGTGTGTGTGTGTGTGTGTGTGTGTGTGTGTGTGTGTGTGTGTTTGGTCTGGGAAACATGTAACTTACTGGAAAACCTTGATTCTTTTGGGTATTGTTTTAAAGATTTGTTAGATAGTTTTTGACCAGGGCTAATATTTTTCTACTAGTGACACAAGATTCTTCAGGCATTCTACCCAATGTACCATGATTCTTGAAGTTAGCAATTCACACTGGTTAGAATAGGCATTAATCCTGGTCAGAGTACTATTACTTCTATTCCTTTCAGGTGGTTCTTTTCCTAGTCTTGGGTATTTTCCTCACATCCATGAATTAGTTCACACTCAGCTGAATACTGGAGGGGGGTTCACTTTGCATATCCCTATAATTTTCTCTGTGTGCTTCTCTCTTTTCCCAGCACTCTGCCTTGTATATTTTAGCTGCCTTTGTCTCCTCACCTAAGGGATTCCACTGGGTTTTGCCTAGGAATTTGTGCCATTCCCTTCTTTGTGCCATTACCTGGAAACTCTCAAGACAGTTAGGACAAAGGTAGAGCTCATTTCATTTGTTTTCTTAATTTCAGAAATTACTGTTCTTCATTGCCCATGTCAAGAGTGAAATCTGTTGTTTGGTATATTTAATGTTTCCTATATTTCCTCTTTCTTAAAAAAAAATTGTTTCAGATGGGAAAGTAAATCTAGTTCCTGTTATTCCATCTTAGAAAACAGGAGTAACTTCATGTCTTTTAACCTCTTTCGTATTTTCCACATCCTTATCACTCCATTTTTCATTCTGCTTGTATTTTTCAAATCAATCTTCCAGCTTTAAATTCTTTTTTTGGCTCTGTCTAACCCATTTTACTCTTCAATAAATTTTGAATTTTGATGGCTATTTTTGTTTTAGCAATCCTTTATTATTTGTGATGTTATCTACTACTACTGTTTTTTTGTTACTCATTTTTAAAAGACCTATTTTAGGCTGGGCATAGTGGCTCAAGCCTGTAATCCCAGCACTTTGGGAGGCCAAGGCAGGAGGATCACAAGGTCAGGAGATCGAGACCATCCTGGCTAACATGGTGAAACCCCGTCTCTACTAAAAATACAAAAAATTAGCTGGGCGTGGTGGTGGGCGCCTGTAGTCCCAGCTACTCGGGAGGCTGAGGCAGGAGAATGGCGTGAACCTGGGAGGCGGAGCTTGCAGTGAGCCAAGATCGCACCACTGCACTCCAGCCTGGGTGACAGAGCAAGACTCTGTCTCAAAAAAAAAAAAATCTATTTTATTTAAATTAAAGGGATTTGTCTCTTGTTTCTAGTTTGTATAACATCAGTTCTGCCTTTCGTTATGTCTATAAACTCTCTTTTGTAGTAATTTTCTCTGTATGATTTGATGTTTTTTATTGTTATAGTTAATCTTATTCTGTGTTTTTTGTTTATTTTGCTTAATTTTGTTATTTATTACTTGGAAGAATTGCAGTCTATGGACCATGAATTGTATAAGTGATCTTATAGAATAATTTTATATCTCCTTCTGCAGAATCCTTTGATTCTTGATTCTTAGATGAAATTTTGTTTTAATGACCTGGCTAGTGTTAACCACACCACACAGGTGCTATAAGTTCTGACCCTATACTTGCCCCATTGTGCAAACTTATGTTTAATTTCTCATAGGACAGTTTTTTATTCATTTCATAACTGGTTTATCCATTGGAGTCTACATATTCCTGTTTTTTCTGTCTTAAAACAATAAAATGTACTTGAATATTTTGTCCTTTTCTTTTCATCCTCAAATTTCTTAAAATTGTAGTTTCTACCCACCCTTACCCATTTCTCAACACTGTACTAAAATAGCTTATTAAAGAAATTCTCAGTAACCCATTGAAAAGGTCTGGCATAGTCTTCATCCTCTTTGGTCTCTGCAACATTTGATGGTGTTGACCCCTTCATTCTTCTAATGCTCTTCTCACTCTTGTTGACAACACACATTCTCCTTCAAACACAGGGCTGTTTCTTTGTGGAAAGCATCTACAATGAAACACAGTCTGCAAAAAACTCTTATCACAACATTTTTTTTAAAAAAAGACCACTTACTCATCTAAAACTGAAGTGATAATCCAATCATTTTCAATAACATTAAAAACATAAATGGCATTCCCCCTCCCCACCGGCAAGGTTTATTTTCCTATCTGAAACAATTTTTTTTTAAAGAAAGAGGAAATATTGGAAACATTAAATATACCAAACAACAGATTTCACTCTTGACATGAGGCAAGGGGGGTGAATGCCATTTACACAAAAACTCTGCACTTGACCTTCTAATGTATATAATACTAAATATGTATATGTTTATAAATGCTAAATTTTGATACTATTCTTTTCCATTTATAGTTATGGGTGGGAAAATGCAGAAAGATGCTTTTCTGCTTCAGGGGTTTTGCCAATTCTTCCATATTGCTAAAGGATAATTAAGTAGATGATACTTTGTTTAGCAGAATATATTTATGAGTTTTTAAATATGTAAATACAAGCCAAAAGTCACAAAAAAGGTGAAGAACAAAATTCTGAAAAACAAAGTGAAGGGAATTGCATTTTAGCGGGAAAGGCAGAAGGCAGAGAAACTCAAGAAACTGAGAGATGTAGAGAGGCTGGCAGAAACTTGAAGAGGAGAGAAGGCAAGCCAAAATAACTCAAGACTGGGAATCTTCCTGTAAACTACTAGCTAGTCTCAGGAGCTGTCTGGGTCTGGTGGTATGGTGGGGTCAGTCAAGATACAGTTTCTGGGAGCTGCAGAAGACCAAGGTACAAGTGAGGGCTTCAGATGGTAAACATACTCAGATGGAAATTCATCAGAAATCTGTCAGGACTCTATTGCAAGACTAATATCCATGCTGCTTAAATAAAATGCCTTCAACACAGCAACAACGGGAGAGAACCACAGACAGTGTTACCCTAAACCTCAACAGAAAGTTTTATTTAGACCAGCATAATGTAGCAGAACTTTCTGCAGTGTTGAGAACGTCTGCATTTTCCAGTATGATAGTTATTAGCCACATGTAGCTGCTGATCAGTTGAAATATGGCCACTGTGACCTAGTAACTGAATTTTTAATTTTTCTTAATTTTCGATTAATTTAAGTTTAAATAACACATGTGGCTAATAGCTATGCAAAATTTTTCTATAGAGGGCTTTTTGTGGGCTACATATGGTCTCCATGGCATATTTGATTTTTTGTTTGTTTTGTTTTCACAACTCTTTAAAAACATAAAAACATTCTCAGCTTGAGGGTTTTACAAAAAAAAAGGCAATAGGCCAGGTTTGGCTGGTGGGCCACAGTTTGCCACCCCCTGGCCTAATCTCTGAATGCTTTTGAAAATGTTTATGTTTTTAATATTATTTAAAATGCTTGGCATTATCACTTCAGTTTTAGATGAATAAGTGATCTTTAAAAAAAAAATGTTGTGACAGAGTTTTTTGCAGACTGTGTTTCATTGTAGATGCTTTCCACAAAGAAGCAGCCCTGTGTTTGAATAGGTTGGGAAACACTGCTTCAAATCCTGCTTTTGAAGATTTACAATACACATCAGTATATTAAAGGCTCTGAAAGCAGATGCAAAATATTGGTTTTACATTAAGTTTGCATTTCTCTACTTATTTGACCATGGTGTATGTGGCATGTAGTGTATATGTGTGTGCAGGGAGGAGTGTATGTATGTATGGCATGCAGTGTGCGTAGGTGCATGGTGTGTGCATAAGTGCCTGCAGTTTGTGTGTGTGGCAGGTGACACCTGTTAATATTCTGCAGAATGCATGCTCTGCAGAACCAACCTACTCTGAGAAACACTTGCTGAACAAGCCTGACAATGTCTTTCTCTCAGGGGCTCCAAGGAGAGGCACATATAGTAATTAAATGCTAGTCAGAAGGAGTGGGAGGATTTATTCCTGTTGAACTAGTTCAGAGAAGCTGTCATTAAGACTTTTCAAGAAGGGCTGTGGAGATCAATTCACCCTGGGATATTATGGGAGGAATCTGCAGGGCCCCTCAGTCTGCCAGAATTAGCCTTGGTCCATGCAACATGGCAGAGCAGGCTTGTGGGAGCTGGAGAGACAGGCTGTGGGGGTGGCTCTAAGGGGACTTCAGGGACCCTTGGAAGAGCAATTAAAAGTCACAGTCCTTCTGTGAGGAAAGGGAAGTTCTCGGCCCACTTTAATTGAGGAAACGAAGAATGACTGGCCTGAATTCAGTGGAGAATGAACAGCAGGTTTTGAAGACAGCACTCAGGAACACGAACTGTTTAATAAGGAGGAAATACTTCCCCAAGGACAGGAACATTAGATTCCTCTGTTGTTCTGCTCAACTTAGGAAAAGGCAGCTCGGGAATAGCAATGGCACGCAATTCAATGGCCTTCAAGAAACACTTTTAGCTTCTCTGAGAGAAACAGTTCCTAGATCCTGTTCAGATGTGGTTTGTTTTTACTTTCCAAGATGCTGAAGAGACAGGGTGCTGAAGAGACAGTGGCATTAACTCATAGAAAATGCCTGGGTTTGTCTTATGGCAACAGGAGGCACAAAGTGAAGTGTCTATCTGCAAAGCTCCTCCTTCCTATAGAGTAACTGGTAGGCAGATTCGGTCACTTTCTGAGGATGTGACTTCATATTATTTACCTCCTGTTAAAGCCATTTTCATGTCTGTGTTTTACCTAGAGAGACTGGTATTTTAGTTCTGTTCTGCAGATTTTTACAGCAACATTCTGTCTCTACAGTGGCCCAGTTATGTTACATTTATTTCCACTCTTGATTATTTTTAATAACACTTGAGGCAAATGGAGGGTGAGTGAACCATTTTCTAGTCCTCATCAAGGACAGATGGAGTATCGCTGAGGTTTGTGCAGGGCTCTGCTAGACTCTCAGTGGAGCTGCCTGTGCATCCCCTGCTGGCTCTTGGCCTAAGAGTGCCCAGGACCTCAGAGGTGTGGGCCTTGCATACTTGGCCCATGGTTGGGCTGGGGCCAGTGGGGTAGGGATAGAGCCAGCTACTAGAGAAGAAATTGGGCCATGTTGTACCATCACAAGTTCCTTCTCCCCCACAGAGAGCTGACAGGCCTTTTCCTGGAGAATTTTGATTTTTTAAGTCCAACAAAGCCAGAAATGCCCTTGATATCTAAAGAGCCAAATTTCTGGTGGTGAAATTTCATGTTTGCATTTCTTAGACACCCATCGAAGGCCCTCATAGACATGGCTACTTGAGTTACTAATCCTAAAGGCTTGAGAACAGGAGAATGCTGGGGGTCAAAGGTCAGGGACAAGCTGTGTTTCTTAGCTGGACATAGCAATCAAAAATTAGCAGGCCTGCACGTTAGTTACTGCCCATAACTGGATAAGGCCAACCCAGCCTGAACATTGAGCTTGAACAAAGAACACAGGATGGCGTGGTGTTGGCCACGGCAGAATTCCCACTTCGACACCAAGACAATCTTCCTGCTGTTGCTGAGTTTTATGACTATGATGTCATCGAATGCTGCCAACAACAGTGCTGTTATATCACAAATGAAAAGGTCTTCAAACGAACTGAGGGACCCCATTATGCCAAGACTGGAGCTTGTCATAAAAATCATCAGTCATTGATGTCTGTGAGCTTCTGAGTTGGGCCTTGAGGGAAAAGAACTGTGAAATTTGGGTTCAATTTAGTTGTTTTGATCTGGACTTCTTTATGAGTAGGGAGAATTAAATTGGCCACATGTGACCTTGTATTTAGAGGAAATCAAATCACTCAAACAAGATAATTTAGCTCCTTGCTCAACAATTCCTCCTTTTCTCTTCAACTCCAGGGTTATTGATTGAGGTCCTGCCTGAATACATTTTACTAGAGTTTAGAGAATTGTAATAGTTGCATTGTTTCTCTGGTTACAACCTCAAAATGCACTGCAGATTTCTTCAACTGAAATTGCTCCAATGTTAATATGTTGTGGGAATGAAAGACTGATTTCAGCACTTAAGCTACACCACCAGAGGAAACAGCAGTGAGGAGAAACCAAGCGCGATCATGGGACAAGAGGTCTTTTCTTCCTGTCTTCATCTGCTGATCTGCTCACCTGATATTCACTGAGCACCAAGTTTATGCCAGGTAATTGCACTAGGTGCTGAAAACAGAATAGAACCCTGGCTAAGAGGCCCATTTCAGCCCTCATGGAGCTTTGAATTAATTGTTGATGTATACTTTTTTTTTTAACCTCTAAATTACATCATTTTATTGTCATAATGACTAGCCATTTGGTGGCAGAAATGATTATCCTGCAAAATGACAAGTAAATAACAGAAGCTAGCCTAGAATTAAAAAATGGCTAATGGAATTTTACATAGTCGTTTAAATAAATATGCAAACATACAAAACAAACAAAACAATATAGAGATACATGTGCGGATATATCTGAACACCTAGTCACAGATAATGCTCTCTACTGTGTGTGATGGGGGAGGATGAGATCAGGGAGAGATATGGGGACTTCAGTGAATTTTCAAATTTTAATTTTTTAGCTGGGCACAAGGTTTGGTGTGTGTGTGTGTGTGTGTGTGTGTGTGTGTGTGTGTGTGTGTGTGTAGTACATGCAGTAT
Source organism: Homo sapiens (assembly GCF_000001405.40). Taxonomy (NCBI): domain Eukaryota; kingdom Metazoa; phylum Chordata; class Mammalia; order Primates; family Hominidae; genus Homo; species Homo sapiens. Next base: position 42,649,267 of record NC_000007.14, on the reverse strand, counting down.
ATTTGAAATACACCATAAGTTAAAAGCTATCTTTGAACAGTCATGCCACAGAAAACCAGGTGTGGGCACTGAGAACTGGCAGGGCTTGCCTGTATTTGCTCTCCCCCCACCCTCATCCCCAAGTACAATCCTCTAAAATACTATCTATTTTCTTCAAAAATTCAATGTTTATTATTGGTCCCTGCTCCCTTTCTTTCCCACGTCTACATCTGTACATATGACCCTTAGTTTAAAATCACCCCAGAGAGTAAAAGAAGCTTTAGGAGAAGAAGGAAAGCAGCAATAGGTAAGTTTATACTGTCTTTGGTCACTTGCCCACCTTAAATTGAGGGTAATGTGGAGTCTGATTGTACCGTAAAGTACTCAGTTCAAAAAGCTAGTATTTATTTGGTACATTTTGTAAATTGCTGAGAATAGTATAGAAGCTGAGATCCAATGGAGAACTAACACTTACTATATGAGGGCCAGAATGAACTTTAACTCTTCAGGATTTCTGAACTACTTCCCATGAAAGTGTAGGTTAGATTCCCCTGAGGCGGAATTCAGCTGTTTTAATTACTGCTTCCAGCCTGCGTTTTATGCATTTTAATTAATGTGTTAATATTTGTTTTGTTTTTTTTTTGCCCTGAGTCAGTTATACCAAAGACACAATTTTGAAAATAAAAATAATGAAAACGTCAAATTTTCCTGTAAGTATAGATTATGTGCTCATCACAACCGAGAAATCTGATAGGACCAGACCATAATATTTGTTCTGTGTGTTTATAGCCCCGTGGCTTCAGAAAGACTCAGCTATCCAAGACAACCATCAAATCTGTCTGGACTTTAAACCTGTCTTGACTTTTAGGGACTTTCGCATAGCCAACGTGTCAATGAGCAATGCACTCTAGGACATTAGGCATATAAATTGGTAATTCATAGATTGATCTGAAATGCCAGTTGGGTGAACTGGTAGGGAGTGGAGGGCAGAAGTGTGACATCCATAAATGGATTTCATCTGATAGGCTGGGGCTCACAGTGGAAATGTAGTCATCCAAGGATAGGTTTTGCTCAGAAGCCTTTCAGAAGTGCATGTCACTACACTGACAACCACATGAGTTAGCCCTCCTGTGCTCATTGTCTGAACAATTTCTTTGCCCCGCATGCCAAAATAACAACATACAATGTTTATGTATCTGAGGAATTAGAAACATGTGGTCTGATTTGGTTTACTTATGGGAAAGAATATCTAAAGTCTATATTCTTCCAGAAATCTAATCACTGTAATTATGCTTTGAACAGATTATTTGAAATTGAAAAAAAATATTAGCATAGTATTAGGGAAAGTTTTTCATATTTAGGACTTGAAAAATCAATAAGACATGGGTTCACAAATGCTTATTATTTTTGACAGTGAATGAGACATGTGGGAGCTGCCAGGGCCCCAGATCAGGGGATGGATCACAAGACAATAATGAGAAACAACACATTTCTGTTGTGCTCATCCTGTCCCAGCACTTTACTGTGAAGTAAGCTCTGCTGTTATTCCCATTTAACAGATGAGGAAAACTGAGTAAAGTGACTTACCCAAGATCACACAGCAAGTAAGGAGCAGAGTTGGTATATCATCCTAGGCCATTAGTCCCCAATGTCCATTTTCCTAATCATTATACTGTAGTTTCTCTTACATTAAGCTTTCCTTTCACTATTCCTCCTCTCCTCCACTCCTCACCTTCCCTTGCTCACTGTCCTCTCTGTTTCTTCTTTTCCTACTTCTACCAGGCTCTCATTTTTCTCTTCTCCCACCTTGCTTCTTTATTCTCTGTTTTCCACTTCTCCTGTTTGTCCTTTCTGTCTTGATCTTTGTTCATCCTCCAGGCTCTGTTGATGTTTCACTTTCCTTTAATGGGCTTTGCCACTACAAGTTCCTGGGTATGCCCCTTTTCTCTGTGTTCCTAGTATTCTTTTTCTGTAAATAAGGAGGCCATGGCAACATAATCAGTAATGTTGCTCACTGATCTAGCATTATATGTTTACATGCAGTACACACACAGAATACTATATTATGTAGATTTAGTATACATTGAATGATTTAATTTAAAAAGAGGTAAGTCAAATATCTTCCACTTTCCAAAATAACACAACTAATGCTTACTACAATACTTGATAGTTATATCACCCTCCTGTCTTAGTCAAATTTGTGCTGCTGTAACAGAATATCGCAGACTGGGCAATTTACAATGAGCGGAACTTTACTGGCTCATGGTTCTGGAGGCCAGGAAGTCCAAGGTTGAGGGGGCGGGGGGCAGTGGCATCTAGCAAAGGCCTTCTTGCCATGTCTTCCCATGGCAGAAGGGCAAAGAGAGGGCAACAGAGAGCAAGAGAGAGGGGACTAAACTCACTTTTTTATGACAAACCCCCTCTTGCCATATCAGCATTAATCCATTCATGAGGGCAGAGCCCTCATGGCCTAATCATCTCTCACTAGGCTCCACTTCCCAGCACTGTTGCATTAGGGATTAAGTTCCCAACACATGCTCACACCATAGCACCCTTGTGTTTTTTCCTTGACAAAAAAAGAGTAATTCTCATCTATGAATAGAATTGATTTGTAAATCTGAGTATAGATTTTATTGGACATCCTTATGAGATGGTGGTAGAATATGTACTGTTCAGAAGAGTTCAGAAGCCACTGCTTCCCAGGAGAAGCATAAATGTATACAGAGGACCTGTAAGACCAGGTAACCCCCAACAGGTTGTTTAAGTCTGAGGCTCTATGACTCTAGGCAAAACAACTTAGTGAAGAGACATTGACATAAGTGTTGACTTTCCATCAATACTCTAAAAATAAACCTGCCTACTTATGTCCTGAAAGACAACTAGAGAAATTAGCATCCTCATTCATTGCCTTGGATTCAAATTCATTTCAACAAATATTCACAAGTGCCTGCTGCAGGAAGGAAGTGGGGTAAGCATTGTGGCTCCAAGAAAAATGAGGCCAGATCCTTGCCGCAGGGCTCAAGGGTCATATTAGAGATGGGTCCCTGCAGTCCCCCTGCCGAACAAACAGTGAAGCTACATCACCTGCTGGGCTGTCCACCCAGCAATTAGAGGTGGATGAGGAGGCTGCATGTTGACAACCACAAGGAAGTCATCACCATGAGTCATTTGTAAATATGTCCAACTTTATGTCAGCTCCTTGCTTCAGCAGGTGGATCATTTATATTTTCCCTGGAAGCCATCTGCTGGTTAAATGTCGAGGCTGATGTGTTTTCTGTTGCAGGGGAGAAGGTGGCTTTCCCAGAAGTAACTAGAATATGTCTGGATTTTGGCAGAGGTTCAGGAACTAGGAGAAGGATGGAGAGCTTTTGAAGTTCTTCCTTTCCTACTGTGTGCAAACTTTTCTGAACAGCTAAAAATCTGCTTATCTTTCAAACATTCAATCCCTGAGAGAAAACACACAGTTCACAGTTGGGGGTTACAATACAGGGTCTTTGCTGGCTTTCTGATCTCTTGGTCTTTAGCTGCTGACAGTTAAAAATCAAGACATAGCTAGAAAAGGTGGATTGACAACTAGTCTCACCTTTTCTGCACACTGTTCATTCTTTTCAAATCTCATGTTTAATTGAAAAACATTTTGATGGTTATTGAAAGTGAAGAGCAGAAGCTACTGACTCTTTCCATGCCTGTCTTTGCTTAGGAAAGAGAGATTCTGATATGGCAAATTAAAGGAAATAAAAGTTTGAAAATGTGACCATAAAGGTGGGAGGTGTAACGGCAGATGTTCTTTATTCATTTGAGCACAAGCATTCCAACACTACCTTGAAATGAAATTTCCTGTGTATGCATTAGTTTTCTCTTAGAGTTGAAGTTATATTTTCTTTGAGAATTCTGTAAAAAATGAGTGTAATGAAATAATAATTACGATTATAGTGGGCTTTAAAATAATAAATCCAGAAGAAAAGTTATTTTCTAGTTAATGATTACAATGATTGGATTATCAATATTATCAATAATACTATATTATTTTAACTGATGGCAAAGTAAATATAGAAGAGGGAAAACAATCTTGGCGAAGTGATCACCTACCTTGTTTTATATCTTACTCTTGGGTTGCAATCTCAATGCTTGGAAGAGTCAGACTTTCACTATCTGGTAATGGTTTTCACTGAGGCAAGAGGGGGAAACAGCTGGTTATAAATCCAGCCTAACCAAATTCTGCATCCTGGAGTTACACAAAATAAGCCTAACCCTCTTCCTTCTGGTAGTCCTTAAGACATCTGTAGACAGCCATGTCATGTGTCTTCAACTCTTTTTTCTGCAGTTGAAACTTACTTGCGTACTAAAGCAACTCAGTGTGTGGTAGAATCCCCTCTCCAGTTCAGTCTTAACATTGGTTATTTTTTTGACATTGTCCAACCCAAGCTGCCAGGAAAACCAAAACTCATAGCTGCTTCAGGATGTGTGTGAGCAGCAATGTCTGGAGTACAGGAGTAGGAAACGGAGTGAGAGAGGGAGCATCCCTCAGAGTGGCCAAAGAAGAGACTCGTGGGCCATTTGTTCCTCTTGTGAGGGGCATAATAGCTTTTTCTCTGGCCAACAGCAGGAGGAACTGCAGTTTACTCTTGGCCAGCCTGGATTTACAATCACCCTTTTCTGCCTTTTGCCTCAGTGAAAGTAGTTCCCAAATCAGGAATCTGTGACTCTTGTTTAGTTTTTCAGAGCAAGACCCACAGTCAAAACTTCCACTCAGTCTTGGCACAGTTCTATGTAGGTGACTTTACACTGCTGATTAATTTATCTTACACAGTTGTTTGTTAAATAAAAAATGACAGACAGGTATAGAAAAGGGACCATCAAATATTGGCTAATATGATATTTAAGAATAAATCTCTGGTCTGCCTGTGATGTTGAGCAACATGCACTGACCAGATGTGTGAGATGGCCATTTTCTCCCCAAAATCTTAACTTTGCTTGTTAACCCTTAATGTGACTGACCATTAAATAAACACATACAAAGCCCTCCATCCACTGGGCTAATGTCAGCCAATAAATACCTAACCCGGTTAAATTCCTTCATGGGCCTGGTTATGAATGCTTCTATTACTTGCCAGATACAGATGCTGCAATATAGGAAAATGTCTCTCTTTTCCAGGGCTAAGAAAGTTGTAACTAGTGTCCAAAGTTCTCTCATAGCCAGCTAAGCTGGGATTAGGAGCGATCCAAGCCACAAAATCCCTCTCACTGATGGTGTCCAGTATCCAAATGGCATTTGAATAAGTGTATTCACATATGTCAAGCTGATTGTAAAAGTGAAGCTCTTAATAGTGTTTTGTTTTATGAAAAAGGAAAACCAAAGTTTCCTCTATCAGTATGCTCAATGTGGATGGAATTGATAAAGGGAAAAGGAGAAGATTTAGCATAAAAATGAGAGAGCAATACTCTTTTAAAAGTTACTCAGATAAATACGACTTTACATATAGGTAGGGAGTCCAAGGAACATTCTAGAATGGATTTAGTCCCACCTCTTAGTTTTTGGAAAGTCTTAAAAGTTGGAGATAATCTATACCAGGACAGTAGTTTTAAAGAACTACTGATGCAGGATTTTTCTTGGTCATTTTGCCATCTAGGGACCTCCGTGGCCAGCGACATCCCTGCCCTGGCCTCGCTCAGCCCAGGACCTGAGCTTGTGCCCTGGCCCAGATCCCATGCACACAGTGAGATCCATGCTCAGCCCGCAGCTGGGCCAGGTGCATCCCAGCCCACCTATGTTACAGCTCATACCCATATTTGGTGGTTCTTGAGTTCTTGTCCCACATCCAAGAAAAATGAGGTTATGCTAAAATCAAAGGGCGAGGAGGGCAAAGAAGAATTTTATTGAGTGACAGAACAGCTCTCGGTGGAGAGGTAATGTGAGGATGGTCCCCCGCCTGAAGTTGGGTGGTCTCCCTCCTAGTGTGGCTGGGTCCAGGGCTTTTATGGACTCAGAATGGGAGAGTACATGCTGATTGGTCCGTGAGTATGCAAAAAAGGCCAAAACAAACAGACCACTCAAAGTTGGGCACAACAGTGTAAAAAACTAATTAGGGAAGGGTAAGTATATGTAAAATAGATGAAGGGTGGGGATCAATCAGAAGAAAGTGCCAAATGGGAAGAGAGGCTCTCAATCTGGTCTGTGGATTTACCCAGGACTTGTAGCTTGGTTTTCAGGCTTTAAAATGTCTTTGGTTTGAAGGTGGGGTTTCACTGGGGACCCAGCCCCATCTGTCTAGGCATTTGACTGCCTCCTGCCACTATCACTACCAGAGTAACTTGGCTGTATGTAGGAAGATGAGGACAAAGAGACCTTATGTCTCCAGCCAGTGTGAGCTGAATTAGGGAAGTGGGAAACAGCTGGTTTAAAAAGAAGTCAGGGTCAACACTTCTGCTTTTTCCTTTTTCATGGCAAACATGAGAGATTTCCAGGCTCTGTCCTAGCTCTGCTGCTACTAACTTGTATTATTATTTTGGACTCATCTGTAATTCCTCTGGACCTCATAATTTTGCATCACACACCTTTATGAGGGTATCATGTTAGAAAAACTACAAAGAAACTTCTCAAACTCGAGAGTTGATAGTCTGCAGGCCCTGGGTGGCGTCCAGTGATACGAGGAAAGAGTAGGAAGAGGGGAAGTGGTCTAGGAAATACTTAATGGATCTTCTCAGGCCTCCAAAACTCCTGTATTTACTCTTCAGAAGTAGTGGGGCACATTTTCCTGGGCCCGCTTCCTCTCAGAAACAAACCCCAAAGCAAACGGGATAATCTTGTGGAGAAATACATAACTAGTGTTTGTCAGGCATCACTCCTGACAGGGCCTTACCAAGGCGCAATACATACCTCACCCAACCAACTCGGGCCTCTGTTCTGCTCCTACCAGCACCAACCTTCTTTTCCTTGAGGAAAGCTCTTTCCTGCCTTAAAATCTACAGCCCATGGGTTATATCTGCCAAAAATTCTCCTTCCCTCCCCTCTTCAACCAGGAAACTCCTACTTACCTTCACATCTTAACTTAAATGCCACTCCTTTGGGAAGATTTCCATGGCCTGCCCTGCCGGATTATAGTCCTAGGTTGGAAACTTTATGGCATACTCTTTATTTCCTTCATGGTGCTTATTGTAAGAATAATGATATAGTTTTGGGTGTGTTATCACTTATTGAAATCTGTTACCACTCTAGACTCTTCCATGATGGAAGGGACTGTGTTTATTTTGTCAATGTGGTATCCCAGCACTTAGCAAACAGTCTAACACAAAGTAGGTGCTTCACTGATATTAATTATATGGATTAAAAAATTGTCTATCAAACTTCTAGACCAGCACTATACAATGAAAATATAAAGAAAGGAAAGCCACAAATGTGAGTCACATATATTACCTGAAATTTTCTAGTAGTCACTTTGTATTTCCCTTATTAGGTGAACAAAGCAGGTGAGAAGTCCTGATTGTGGGTGAGATGTACACACTCACACTTTATCTCCCTCTGATTACAACCATAAAACTTGGGCAGAATGCATGGGGAAGCTATGCAAATAACCTGAAAAGAAAACAGCAGCAATAAAATTGAAAAAGAGCACAAAAGTTTGAAGTACTATTGATCTGGCAATGAGCTTTTTTTTTCCCCTCAGTGTCCCCTGGCCTGTACTCCTCATATTCCAAAACCTAGAAGGGGACATCAGGGCACAGACAGACAGCTCTAAGAGCTCCTCTAGTGCCAGCTCAAGGAGCTGGAAAGTGAATTCCTAATGCACCCAGTGAGGGACTCACTCATTTTTAAAACAATTATTTTTCTTATCTCTTTTCTCTCTTCACTGAGACCCCAAGTGATCCAGAGGCAGCAGGGAGAGTAGCTGTTAACAGGAAGCTAATGGAGTCAAAGCTCTTAGAGAGATGCAGTTGTCATGGGTATTGCTTTGTATTTTGTTATGTGTGTGTGTGTGTGATGTATGATGTGTGTGTGTATCAAGCAAATATCTTTGTTTTCTTCCCTCTCTTATCTCCTTATCATATAACATAAGATGTATTGGCTCTACTTTATGGTATTTAAGTATATTGTTAACTTTACATCATATTACTCAGGATATCGAAAAGTGTAAACATCACCCAAGGACTCTGCATCCTATTCTGGGGGAAGGAATAGTGTGTGTTCAGTTTTGTGCAGGATGGTTGTATCTTGTTAGGTGGGAATATTGCCTTTATTTGGAGATTAAGTGTAGTTTAAGGAGATGTGCGTGAGTGCCAAGTTGAGAAGGGATGGCCTTGTAATGGTTAACTTTATGTGTCAACTTGGCTAGGCCACAAGACCCAGGTATTTGGCCAAGCATCAGTTTAGATGTTGCTGTGAAGATAGTTTTCCAGATGAGATTAACATTTAAATCAGTAGAACCTGAGATCGGCAGATTATCCTCCATCATATGGGTGGCCCTCATCCAATTAGTTGAAAGCCTTAAGAGAAAAAGACTTAGGACTCCCAAGGAAGAGGGAGTTTTCCTTCTAGGGAGAATACTGTCTTCAAGCTGTAACTTCAACTCCTTCCTGGGTTTCCATCCTGCCAGATTACCTTGCAGATTTTGGACTTGCAGGCCCCTCACTAGCACATGATCCAATTCCTTAAAACAAATCAGTCTCTCTCTCTCTCTCTCTCTCTCCCCTATCTCTCTCTCTCTCTCACACACACACACACACACAGACACGTAAACACACGCACAAACACACTTATTCATAACAAAATACAAAGTAATATTGTTCTGTTTTTTTTACAGAACCCTGACTAGTACAGTAGGGGAACCTACCTCTCAATTTAGTGTAGACTCAATGAGAGAGACAAATCCCCATTGCTTTTTCTCCTCCCTTTTTCTGTCCTCCTATTGCTTGGCCTCTACCATGGAAGTATACAGAAGAGAGGGGGAACTAGAACCCCAGGTTTCTGGCTAGAGGAGTGAAAAACAGAGCCTCTAGAAACCTAAAACTACTGAGGAGATCACAGTGAGGAAGGAGATCAGGAAAGGTACCCCATAAACTTGTTTATGAATCCCTGAGCTGCACACATGTGAATCTGGTCCTAATTAGCAACCAAATATTTTGGGAACGACACTCAAAAATAGTTCACTGCCCATGCCCCAGACAGGCCGCTGGGTGGCACACACCCGTGACACATCTGAAGAACTCTATAAGGGCTCTGAAAACTAACTGGTATCTGAACCATAGCCCCCCGAATGTGGGTTGAAACTTTCTGCTTGAACCTAACCAGTTCAGTTACTTTCCGTAGCAAAAATATCAAAGTGTTCCATGGCATTTAAGTGAGATCTAGAGTCTCAGAACTTAGTATCTAAAATGTCCAGGACACAATGCAAAATTACTTGGCCTAAGAAGAATGAGGACAATTATAACTCACATGGTAAAAGACCACAAAAGCAAACACTGAGATGACAAAGGTGTTGGAATTATCTGGCAGACTTTTAAAAGCTAGCATAACAATGTTCAAATTGGCCATTGCAGACTATTGGAAAAAACATTAAAACTGAAAATCTCAACAAAAAATTCAAGATGTAAATAAGAACCAAATTGAGATTCTAGCACTGAAAAATATAATAAATAAAAATCCTAGTGGATGGGCTCAATAGCAGTATAGACATGACATGAAGACAGTTCATGAATTTGAAGAGTAGCTAACAGCTACTATTCTGTCTGAACAACAAAGACCAAAAAGGATGAAGACAAATGAAGGGAACCTCAGGGAGACGATAACAAAAGGTCTAGCATTCTTCTTTTCAAAGTTTCAGGGGAAAAGGAGAAAGAGTATGATCTGGACAAAATATATAAAGAAATGATGGCTGAAAGCTTAAGTTTGGTGAGAGACCCAAACCTACAAGTATTAGAAGCTAAGCAAACCACAAATAGGAAAACCCAAATAAATCCATACCCAAACATTTAATAAAACTCCTGAAACCTAAAAAAAAGAAAAAAATCTTGAGAGCAGCCAGAGAAAAATGACATTTTATTTATAGGGGAACAACTATTCTGTGGATTTCTCATCAAAAAGAATAATAACAACTGTATACACATAAACTCAATATCTTAAATGAAAGGTCCAATTTCTAAAAAACCACAAGCAACCAAAACTCACATAAGATGATGAAACGGACAACCTAAATAGTCCTATAACTATAAAGAAATAGAATTCATTGCCAAGCACTCCAAAATTAGACCTCTACATCAAGATACTTTCATTGGCAAATTCTACTAAACATTCAAAGTAAAAATAACACAAATTTACCCAACTTATTCCAGAAAACAGAAGTGGAAGGAATATTTTCCAGCTCATTTCATGAAGCCAACATTACCAGAATGGAACACAGTTTCCAAAATACCCGCAATATTCCTCATGATTATAGACACAAAAATCCTCAAGAAAAATATTAGCACATTGAATCTATCAACATATTAATAATAATACATCATGATCAGGTAGGGTTTATCCTGGGAATGTAAGGCTTTCTCAGTATTTGGAAGTCAACCTATGCAATCCACCATATTGATAGTCTAAAGAAGAAAATCCACATGATCATATCAGTTGATGCAGAAAAAGCATTTGACAAAATACAACATTCATTCACGTTAGTAACTCTCAGAGAAAATGTGTAATAGAAGAGACCCTCCTGAATCCTATAAAGGCCATTTATAAAAAGCCTGCAACTAACATCATATTTGATCATGGAAAATTGAATGCTTTACCTTTAAGACTGAGAATGAGGCAAAAATGTCCATATTCACATCTGCTACTCAATGTTGTATTGGAAGTGTTAGCCAGAATAATAAGGTAAAAAAAGACAAAAACATATAAAAGGTATATACATGGAAAAGGGAAAATAAACCTATTCCTATTCACAGATAACATGATTATTTATGTAGAAAATTCCAAAGAATCAGCAATAACAAAAACTTCTAGAACTAATAAATGAGTTTAGCAAGATTGCAAGATACAGGTTCACATAAAAATCAATATACTGAAATATATACAAATATGTATTACTAGCAATAGAAATAGATATACAAATGTATATTAGAAGCAATAGAAATATTATTTTTAAAAAATCTAATTTACAATAGGTGCAAAAATGAAATACTTAGAGATAAATCTAACAAAACATAGAGTCTGTAATCTGAAAAATACAAAACACCAATGAAAGAAATTAAGAAAGAACTAAATATTAATAATTAGAGACAGCAAATGATCATGAATTGAAAGATTCAACATAGTAAAGAGGCCAGTTTTTCTAAAATTGATCTAAAGATGCAACACAGTCCCAGTGAAAACCCCAGCAGGATTTTTTTGTAGATGTAGACAAATTAATACTAACATTTATATGTAAAAGCAAAGGAGCTTAGAGCAGCTAAACACTTTGTAAAAGAATATAAAATTCAAGGACTCATATTATGAGATTTAATGATTTACTATAAAGCTGTAGCAATCAAGATATGATGATATTGGTGAATAAACAGACAAGTGGAGGAGTGGAACAGAATAACACAAACATGTCTCACTGATTTTTGACAGAGGTACAAAAATAATGCCACAAATGATGTTGGATTATTTGGAATTTTGTGTACGAAAAATTAGCTTAACCTAAACGTAACAGCTTTCCCAAAAATGAACCCAAAAGGGGTTATAGATAAAAATAAAACTACAAACCTACTAGAAGAAAACACAGGAGAAAATTCTTGTGACCTTGTGTCATGCAAAGCATTCTTAGACATGACACCAAAAGCACTACTCATAAAAGAAAGTATTGATAAAGTGGATCTTATCAAAATTAAACACTTCACCCTGTGAAAGATATTGAGAGAATGAAAATACAAGCTACAGATGAAGATAAAAATATTTACAAATCACATACCTAATAAAGGATTTGTATACAGACTATTAAGAAAGCTCTCAAAACTCAACAATAAGAAAACAAAAAAAAAAGAATTTAAAAAATGGGCTGAAGACATAAACAGACATATCATCAAAGGGAAAGTAAGAATGAAAAAAAGTACATGAAAAGATGTTCAGTGTCATTAGCCATTAGGGAAATGCAAATTAAAACCACAACTAGGCATCACTCTACACCTATCAGAACAGCTTTAGCTGGCAAATATACCTGCTTTACCAACTCCAACTATGTTAAATTGAGCGGGTTGAATTGGCCACGGGGGTGGCCAGTGCTGTAGAGAAATGATGGAAATGTCCGCTCCTGTATCTACCAAACCTTTAAATTTCTTTCCCTGAATAGTTATTTCACAGGTAGGACGTTTATCAGTGATTTGATTTACCCAATAACCTGCTTTGCCTTGTTTATTTGTGCTTCCATATCCTCCTGTTCGTTTAATTTCACTTTCCCCATTCCCACATATGGCACAATCAGGAGCTGTGCTATGCGCTCTCCTGGCTCTGCTTTCCAGGGAACAGAAGCAGATATAATAATTTGAATTTCTCCATTGTAATCTGAATCAATGATTCCTGTATGTATTTGTACCCCTTTTAAACTTAAACTAGAACTTCCTAAAAGTAATCCTATTGTCCCCGCTGGCAAGGGTCCACAGACTCCTGTTGGGACCTTTTTGCGGGGGTTCCCCAGGCAGAAGACTCACAGCTTATGTGCAGCATAAATCTACTGCGGCACTACGGGTTGTGGCGGGGGACAGACATTGTACGGGGGTGAGGGAATGGCCTGAGCTGGAAACGCCCCAGTTTGGAACGGGGCCCAGGACGGGCCCCTCATGGTGTTTCCCAAAATCGGGTTCCCATCTTTATCAAACTTAGAGTGACACTGATTAGCCCAGTGTTTTTCTTTTTTACATTTTGGACATATTTCGGGCTCAGCAGTTTTCTTTTTTCCCCATCTGGTGGCCTGACTCGCTGATTTTTTCTACATTCTTTTTTAGTATCAATAGCTTGTTTTAATTCTTTGAGTAATTTAAAAGGAAAAGGCTCAAATGTAGCTGTAATATTTCCCTGTTGATCTGGGGGGTGTATTCTAACAGGGAACTGCCAAGCCTCTAAGTCACCCCCTCGTCTAGCTTGCTGAATTCCTGCCTGAATAGACCTAAGAGCGGTCGCTCGAGGCGCTGCTGGAACAGTCACTGGGGCAACTACTTTTTGTCCAGTATCCTCTGGAAAAGAAAGATCTGGAGGGTCTTTTTCTTCAAAATAATAAGGAGGGGGTGCAGAAGCAGGTCATAGGCTCCTCATTTGTGAGGTGCTTTCCCTGTACCTCAGGGGAAAGGAGCCAGAGGTACAGAGATGCAAAGAAGAATCTGAACAAACAGGTCTTGCTATGTTGCCCCCAGTTTGTTACATTAGATCACACCTTCTTTGTCCAATTCTATCTCTCCATGACTATCCATTCTTCATCTAAGCATAGAAATACACAAGTTTACCTGTTTATTTGGTCTTCATTTCTTCATGAGGCTCTCCGTTACATAAAACATATTAAATAAACGTGTACATTTTTCTCTTGTTAGTCTGTCTTTTGTTATAGGTGCCTTAACCATGAACCTAAGATGGGAAGGAAAGATGTTTCCTTTTCGTTACTGCCTTCGTGAATGAACGTTCTCCTGCAAAATCATTTTCTCAGGTGCATTTTGGCTTTCCCAGGACCCAGTTCAAGTTTCAGCTGAGTCTAGAAACTCAGAGAGGAGATGAGTAATAAGTGGGCCAGCTTAAAAGTTGGCTCTGGGGCACCCAGATTCTGGAGGTGGAGAGACTAATAGTCTAAGTCCCAACAAGTGGAGTCCTGAGCTGTCTGATGTGTATCCTGCAGCAGTCAGGATTTTCTCAGGAATTGGAGTAAGGCTGAGCATAGTGTAGTGGCTGTTAAACTCAAGCATGCATCAGAGTCACCTGGAGGGCTTGTTAAAACACAGATCCCTGGGCCCAATCCCTGAGTTTCTGATTCAGTGGGTCTGGGGAGGGTGGGGATGCTTGAGAATGGGCATTTCTAGCAAGTACCCAAGTGATGTTGATCTTGCTGGTCCAGAGACCACACTTGGGGAACGACTGGAGTAGTTAATACTGGTAGACACATTTGTGCAAACTCACAGAAGATGAAGATAAAGAAAACGGAGGACATTAACAGTAAAATGGGAATGCCTGTGACACCCACTTCATAGGACTGTTGTAAAGCTCATAGGCATAGCTAATACATGTGCACTTAGGTACATGTTTGTATATCAAATGTTACACAAATATAAAGTATTTTTATAATTATCTTCAAAACCTGGGGTTGTCTTGAATTCCTCCATACCACAGTCCCTTAATTTTAAAAGATCAAGTAATATTTCCCTATTGAGTTCAGGAAATGCCAGCTAGGTGAGGAGCAGTTGGCATTTAGGATTAATAAAAGGTATATTTCATGGTGGAAGAGTTGAAGTACATGATCCTCTTGCAGTTTCTGGACTACATTATTGAGTCTTAAGACACTTCTCTGACTGGCATTTAGAGATATAAGCCATCTTTGAGATTCCCAGATTTATTACTCTAGTGTTCAGTATTGAATACGTTGAGTTTTATGTTCATGCTGAATGGCAGCAATTCATCACTGTCCTCCTTGGAATACCTTACATTCTAAGAGTCCTGCGGTTACAGTGATCACACCACTGCACTCCAGCCTGGGTGAGAGAGCAAGACCCTGTCTCTAAAATAATAAATAAATAAATAAAATAAAAATACTTTTCAAATTTTACTCTGAAGATGTGGCTGCTGATGTACTTTAATTCCAGTCTTGGCATCTCCTCCCAGCTCCCACTGCCAGTTCGAGCATCTTTGGGATAAAGGCCTTCCCAACAGCTTTTCTTTAACTTCTGCGCAAAGGAGACATTGTCTGTGTCTTTTGGATACAACTACTTGAGAAACCAGTTCTTCTTTCCTTTTCCTCTGGCTCCCCTCCCCAGTATAAATAACCAGACCATAGCTGCCCATTTATTTATTAGGGGTCAAATCGTATTAAGCCCATTTGAAAATTGAAAACAATCTAAATACTGAAAAACTCCAAAGAAAGATAGCCAGTGCCATTACTTTTGAAGCCGCTATCTAATGTGGGTGTTAATTCCCCATGTTACTAGCCAGGTTCCAAGCACTCTGCTTCCTCAGAGCCTCTTCCTAAAAGTTTTAGGTTCTCTTTATATAGACTTCCCGTTGTACAGTAATGGGAATTTTCTCCTTCTTAATAATACCTGGATCAGAGTGGCCCTCCAATGAGGTTGGTCGTGTTATTTCAATCTCATTGTTATTCCTATAAGACCAAGAAGGGTTTATTCAATCAGCTGGGGGGCTTAGGATTTTATTTTTACTCAGTATGAAAGTTCAACCTGTGGTAACACCGATACTTTTTGTTTTGTTTTATTTCAGAAGTCACACCACTAAGCACAAAAAATTAGGAACGGACCAAACATTTCAATAGCACTGGGCTCAGTGTTTTGTCTCATTAACCACTTGTTTCTCCCTCTCCTTAGGTCTCCACAGGACGTATGTGCACTAGTAGACATACACGGCAGCCTCCCAGCCAGCCAGCTCAAATAAACTGTAGCTTGTTTGGCTTCCTTCCCTTTTGCCAGAAGGATTTGTTTTGAGATTTTGCTATAATCTAAAAAAAAGGAAAGGAGGGGTCATCACATGGCATGTGTTGTAATAAATGCCCAACAGAACCCAGAGAGGATATAAGGTGTCAAAGCCTAGCGGAGCCCATGGTTTTGGATGTTGGAAAGGATACGCTGTGTTTTGCAGGGATTCCTATTGCAGCCATTCCTCAGCTACAGGATATTAAGGAATGTCTCATTGATTTATTGGTATCTCAACCTTATTGTCATTTCAAGAGGAACTGTGTGACATCCTTGCAGTGTTTCATTCAGAAATCTCAAGTATGATTTTGCTCAAGTGTATTGTAAATGGAAAAAGGATGGAATTTTGGAAGTAATCCCCCTAATACCGGTTTCTTATTCATTTCTGCCACATCTTATGTACTTTTTGGTTTCTGGACTGGTTCTTATTGAAAGGGTTGATTTTAAACAATAATTATTTCCCTAGACAACTAAAAAGAATTACATTGGAGAATAAATTCAGCTGAAACTGTGTGTAGCAAAACATAGAAGACTCAGAGAGAGCTAGGAGCATCTGGGAGGAAGTCGCTGTGAAAATAGGATCACCTGAGAGGTGAGCTCACAACCTTGGGGCCTGAGCTACTGCCAGAGCTCCTCAGCTGGCTTCACACCTCCAATGTCCAGTCCCATACAGCACCCAGCAACCGCTCTGCAAATCTTCTCCAGGTGCCAATGTTTTCTTGCTATTCTACAGCTTAAAGAATTATTCTATTTTTCCTTTCCACGTGGGAAAAAGCACCAATTTCTCTCCTGGAGATAAACATTCCTGTGGACTTAAAAAAAATTTTTTTTTGCCAGCTTTGGCTCCCATCAGCCCCAGGCTCATTCGAGACTCCAAATCATCCATTCAGCTCCACTTCCTACAGAGAATATTTTATTCACTGAGGTGCCATCTCCAAATACCCATTTAAATTCTGTGTATTCGACATTTCTCCTGGTGTGGAGAATGGACAGCATCCAGTCTGGACTGGAATGCAGGTCATGCTTTTGCATGCTAGTATCCAAAAACCAACTAAGCCACTTGCTGATTAAGAGTCTGAAACAAGCTGGGCAGAGTGGCTTGCACCCACAGTCCCAGCTACTCAAAAGGCTGAGGCAGGTGGATTTCTTGAGCCTCGAAATTCAAGGCCAGGTTGGACAGCCTAGTGAGACCTCTGTCTCCAAAAAACCCTAAACAAACAAACAAAACCCTAAGAATCTGAAACTCATGGATCTCTCTGTTTAGAGATTAACACCCACTTCAGGCACATTCTGGAACTTAACTTCTAAATTCCCCTTACAAAAAATATCGCTGACACTATTATTATTTAGTAGAAATTATTTAAGGCTTGTACTCCCCAATCATTTTTGTAGGTTCTTCATTCATTGATAAGTTAGGTTACAAAACCAGTGCACCTGCTTAGCTCTCCCAAGGCAGGCTTGCTCAGAGAAACATTATTGTACCCCCGCCTTCAATGGAGGAGCCCTGTGATAACAATAATTGAAGAACGTGCCTGTGAATCTTCCAAAAGAGCAGCTAAAGGGAGTGTTTGCTGTCCCTCCACATCTGTTACATAGCAAGTGTATTGGCCAACCTTCTGGCATGTTATTTTTTTGTATTAGGAGTATTGCAGACTCCAGGTTGGCTTTTTCTCCTTGTTTTTATTCATTTATCCTTCACCTGCTCCTCACCTAGGTTACCTTGCTATATTTTAAGTCTTTCTGTGAAACACCAGAAATTCTTTCTGAAAGCAGGTAGGTTACCAGTAAGTACTACAGATGGACTCAGCTCTGGACACTCCAAGGAACAGAAAGTCAAGGCCCCAAATGTAAAAAAACATCAGAGTTGATACCTCCCCCAACCACATTACTGAGCCCTTGACAGTCTGAGCTTTCTTTCCTAATTCTCAGTTATGCATCCTATTTTTCCATTTGTCCCCACACAGTTCTCATACTGCCCCTAGTTCTTTGCTTATTTGGTCCCAGTGGCTAACTTCATTTTCAACTGGGATGCCAATATGGTTTGGCTATGTCCCTACCCAAATCTCACCTTGAATTGTAATAATCTCCAGGTATCAGGGGTGAGGCCAGGTGGAGAAAATTGAATCATGGGGGCAGTTTCCCCCATACTGTTCTCATGGTAGTGAATAAGCCTTATGAGATCTGATGGTTTTATAAATGGGAGTTCCCCTGCACAAGCTCTCTCCCTCTCTTGGCTGTTGCCATGTAAGAAGTGTCTTGCTTCCCCTTCGCTTTCCACCATGATTGTGAGGACTACCCAGCCATGTGGAACTGTGAGTCAATTAAACTTCTTTCCTTTATAAGTTACCCGGTTCCAGGTATGTCTTTATTAGCAGCATGAGAACCAACTAATACAAGTGCTTTCCCAATTTCCCTAGACCTGACTCCCAAGCTCCAGTCTATTGGGACTATCTAAACCACTCTTCCTGGGAAAGACCTTTCCCTATTGCAGTATTTTTAAAATTTTAGTCAGTTGCATACTCCTTCCCACATGTGCCATTATTTTGCCTACTATCTTTTTAAAAAATTACCTCTCTAGTTTTTCTTATTGGACCTCAAATGTACAGAATTGAGTAAATCATAATTGTTGGTTCATGATAGACTCTCATTATTGGCACACTCAAGGCTTAGTTTTCCTTATTTTGTTAGTGGCTGAATTACTTTGAATAATATAATGAGTATCTGTGAACCACCTTGAAAAACAAAAGCCAACCATATAATAGCCTAAATCCAACCATATGACAACTCTCAACAACTTTGCCCTTACCTTCTGCTGCCTCAAAATCACCTTGAGTCTTGTGTTCATCATTCTGTTGCTTCCTTTTCTATAGTCTTTTTTTTATCAATATGTCTCATTTTATTCATTTTCACTTTTAATTTTAGTTGTTTTTATTCTTAGAAAAAGAATCTGACCACATGTAATCTTTTTGGTCTTGCTTTTTTCACTTTATATTACTTAGATGTATCCATAGGGTTCTGCATGGCAAAGGTTCACTCATTTTGACCATGGTATAATACTCTATGATATGAAGTTTCCATAATTTATTAATTGTTTGTCATTTCACTCTTCTGTTGCCATTGGGCATTGGGTGGTTTCCATGTTTTTGGTCTGTTGAAAGGGCTGCTGGGAAGGTTCTCTGCAGGTCTCCCACCGTTTAAGCACAAAAACCTATCTTGGATTGAGACAAACAGGTGGAACTGGCAGGTTATTAGGGCAGGCAAATGTTCAAGTTAAGGGGATAATGCCAAATTGTTTTCCCAAGTGCTCATACCAATTGATTCTGCCAGCAGCCATGTACAGGGATCTCATAAATCTACACCCTCCTCAACACAGACGTCTAAGCTTCTCCCAATAAGATAGGTGAAAAGACACACATTCTAAAAAAAAAAAACATAAATTCACTTTCTAAAAAACCATAAATTCATTAAAGGGAAATTTTATGTTTTGACCATAAATTGAAAACTGCCATCACTTGTTATAAGTATAAGGAAGTCATGAAGATAAATAAAACAAAAACAAAATAATGTTAAAAATTATTACTGGATAATCTTACCTACTAAAAGCAATTAGCCAGAGGTTGCCATTTTCTTTATTAAGATGGAAGGCTACCAAGTATTGGAGGTAGTGAGTTAGCAGGCCAAACTGAGACAGTCTAATTGAAAGAACATTGGAAGAAGGTGACGTTCTCACTCTGTGATTTACTGTATTTAATGCTGGATCCTCTTATTTCTTAAAATCATCTGCATTGCCACCCAAGACTTCACCCTAATGATGTTCTCTGCATTACTTCCTCAAATAATCTCTGTTGATCACATTCAATTCCTGGGCCATTTCCTGAGGTTCTGATGTGTTTGATCATATCAACTTGTATATGGATCTATTTGAATTAATTTTGTTTACATTTTGTATCAGAGCTCATTCCTTAGGTGGACTGAAGGAGAACAGCAAAGCTCATTTGGATTTTACATTTTGCTTCAGTTGTGAAGAGGTTCTTGCTGCACATGGAGGCTCTTGGTTGATTGTTCTCTTTTCTGTCTCCTGGTTGACTATTCTCTTTTCTGTCTGAACTGCTTCTGATCTTTCAGTCTCATTTTAAATATTTTGTATTACGTGTATTTTTAACATGATAAGCTACTGTAAATGTTTGTGAAGTGTGTATTAAAAAATTATACTTTAGAAAAATTAGCTTTCATTGACTGTGACTGAAGGAATGAATAAATGAATGAAGGTAGTGACAAATATTACTTTTTTATCAAACTGTTTATTGGATGTGGTTGCCTCATGGTCTTTCCACTTAGATTACAAGCTTCTAGAAGACAGGAATTACCTTATGTTTCATCAGTATATTCCTTGGTCTTTAGCCCAAGGTTGGAGTGTAGGACTTGTGTGAACACTTGTAAGAAAGTATATTTAAGAAGGAAAGCCCTCTAAAGTTAAAGAAAGGGCAGGAAAGTTGGAAATGGCAGTGGTATCAGATGGAGTTGGCCAAATGTTGTTGAAGTCTCAAAATGTCAACTCATAGCTTTATATCAGTTTAAGGAGGCAGCTGTGGAGTGGGAAGGACACACTGTGTAATAGTCAGAGAAACCCGGGTATGCTACTTCTTTTTCCTGTTTTGAGTGGTTAATCTGTAAAATGGGATTTATGAGTCCTTCTGTATTTACTTACCTTTCATAGAGGCAAGGCATAGGCCACATAGCAGATGCTCAACTGTTCCTAATTCCCCTCCCCCAACTTCTCTGAAGGTTTTATTTCCTATGTGGAATTGAACTTCACTCAGAATACCTGCTCATGCATAATAATTAGCATTAAATTTAGCTCAAGCTAGATTATATACAATGATTTGAGTGCTGAGTTTTCATTGCCTTGATAGGTGACTTTAGGCATGTATTGTCTTATGTCAGCTGTCCTTAAATGACATCTGGGATATCTGTCATTCTCCTGAGATCATTTTTTTTGAAACAGAGTGAAGGAGCCTCTCTAAAATCATTTTAGCCTTCTCATGTGACACACTGCCTAATACTATTTTTCTTCCGAAAACCCAGTCTATTGGTTTGATGAGCAATAATGCAGCATCAGTTCTGAACACTAAGCATTCTTTCACCTCATATATAGTCAAGAAGAAAGATATTTATGATGGTGTGGACATTGCATCTCTCCCAAAGAATTTTATTGACCCCGAGAATAAGCCCTGGAGATGAGGGATAACATTTGCGTTGCCATGTGGGATATGGCCTTGCATACTCCCAGACACCCTGAGGGGAGGCTGGAGAATGTTATTCACACAAGGCCAGCATCAGATCCTGGGCTAATCAACAGGGGTGCTTGTAACATATGAATCACGTCCATTATCTGGCCCACACTTAGGATTCTGAGTCTGTCAATGAAGTTGGTCAAATTGGCAAAAATGTCTGTTCTGATCTCTGTGAACACCAGAGAGCTATAAAATTTCTCTGAGTGGAAAATTCAACTCTAGCAGAAATTACAAGTCTGCAGCCAACACCACCAAGCAAACTGAATACCGG
The DNA here is from genome assembly GCF_000001405.40 of Homo sapiens. Lineage (NCBI taxonomy): Eukaryota > Metazoa > Chordata > Mammalia > Primates > Hominidae > Homo > Homo sapiens. The sequence continues at coordinate 42,628,087 of NC_000007.14, read as the reverse complement.
CCAGAATATTAAAAAAACAAATGACCACAAACCATAGAAAATATTCAGATCTGTGGTAAAAAGAAAAATACTCCAAGGACTCCAAAAGTCTGATTTATTAAAGACCTGGGTTCCTGCAAATGTATAAAATCATACAATTACTCATAGAAAATTGGTCCTCAATGCATTTTGCACCAGGTAGAAGATATAAGAAGAAAAGCCCCATTTATAGATCACTATGATTTATTAGGCAATTTGCCCACGTGCAATGCTGTGTGAGGACGAGGCCCAGCATGGAACCCTAACCAGGAGAAGAAATCAAGATGCAGCCAGAGGGCCCTGGAATACCTCTGGCTTAAAGGCATGTTTGTGTGCAACTTGGCAGTGATGAGACCATGTAGGGAGGCTGGAAATCGTAAAGAAAGAAAAAAATTCCCCTTGGACTCCAACAACTAAAGGAGGAAGGTTTTCCCTGGGGAAAGACATTTATTCACAGCCCACTCTGCTCTTCTTTGAGACGTTAAGGCCTAACCAGAGCCCCCACTTTCCTTCCAAGAAGGCAGAGGTGGCTGTCTGATCCACTATGATGGAGCCACTGCTCACAGTGGAAGCTGTGAGTCCTGCTCACACATGGACCTTAGTGAGAGTATCCAGCCCTCTAGCTGAAAGCTCTTACTCTTTTGTGTCCCATTCCCTGAGGGGCAGTTAAGTTGTGCTTGTCCAGAAGATTAAGTTTTGCACCAAGTTGCACAGAATTATTATGCCTTAGGGATGCACAGACAGGGAAGAGGATCCTAGGTGATAATCCTGAAGGCATGTGTGTTGCTGAGAAAAAAATGCCTAAAACTACTGTCTCTGTGATCCTGCTGAATACATCTAAAACAGATTCTGTTTGGATGCTCAGAGTCGGTTAAGAAAAGTTCACTTAAGCAGATGGCTAGGAATGAGACAGAATCTCTTTCACGCTTCCCAATTTACAGGCACCTGCCCAACAGAGCTTACACACATGAGCAACAACATTGTCCATGACGCCAAGTCATGAGTTTCCCCAGGTAATTCCATGGGATGTTGCCACATGGTATATTTTCCTCTCTAGGCATTCACAGAATGTTTACATTACGTGACTGAACTCAACATAAGATTGTATTAAACAGTTTAATTAGAAAATTCAAATATATATCAAATGAAATATATGTGGAATAGATATATAAAATCCATAGACATAGAGAAGTCTAGGGCAACCTTGGTCTGGAAAAGGCATTCTCTTTCTTTCAAGCAAGATAAGGAGGCATACGTAGCCTTGTTTTAGGCTTCACAGTTTGTATGTCATTGTGGAATTCTGTTTAATATGATGACCCCATACTCTTAGTTGGTGGACATCCATGTTCCTTTCTGCCACCTCCAGCCAGTTCTCTAGGTGCTGGCATTGCAACTTGCTACAGCAAGGTGACCACCTTCAGAGAACAAATGGGGTTAACTCAGGCTCCACTCTGTACTTGACTTTTTAACTTGTGGCTCTGGGTCAATAAATCCAGGCTCCTTCTGGGATGTGACGATGGGGGTAAAGGAAAAGAAAACTTCATTTGTTTCACTTGAGGTTGTTTCCATTCTCTCTTTTCTCCAACAATATTTTTTCTGTCTGCAGAATGTCACTCCCTGATTTCTTAGGTTCTTATTTTCCACTATTCACCTATTCAACTCTCCAACCACATTTAAACAGCATATTTAAGGAAAATAAACAGACAAACAGTTAATTCATCAAAGCGCCTAGTTTCAAAGCAACCGTTTAAATTCAGATAGATGCAGTTTCTAATCTCAGCTTCAGAATTTTCCAACATTTAATTAACCTTTCTGCACTGTTTCTTCTCTTACCAAAGGAGCATAACAGTAACCAACTCAAAATATGAGCACATAGCACAGGGTCTGATACGTGCAAAGCGCTTAATAAAAGGAGCTTAACAAAATTGTCATAAATGTTAACAGATGCTTGATGATGAGCTTATTAATAAATAATTAGCAGTTTAAATCCAGCCAGATTTTTTTCCAAGTATATGTGCTTGTGTATATATACTGCCTAACATAACTTTGGACATCCTCAGAAGTAAAATAAAGACAAAGAAAATCCATCCACTAGCGTAACATTTCCCTGACTACTTCTCACTTGTCATTCCATGTCCTTTATACATACAACCAAACAGATCTATGCTTATACACAAAATAAGAGCATTCTTTTTAAATTATTATCTTGCGTAGTATTTTTACAGCTCTCTGACTGCTACAACTCTTTGCAACACAATTTTTTATCTTGCCTCATAAATGAACCCAAAGTCATGATCACATCCTCACATACTCTGTGCAGCCCAGCAGTACCCATAAACGTTGTTGACAATGCTGATGATTGCGAAGCAGCATGCAAAAGGGCTCATCACATTGAAAAAGGATTCCTATAATTTTTGTTGTTCATGCCTCGCATTGCTCCTTCGTTTAAGACTGACTCCAGTTATGAAATCATTGATTTAGCAAACCCTCATCAAACTGTGTGGTTTCAAGGGGGAACTCACAAAAGGGAAATTTTTGCTAATGTTATTTGCATGTGTTGTCTTAGTAGATGACCAAAAATGTGAAGGTAGCAATTTCTCTTTGTATTCTTTAAGCTAGAGCAGATCATCTGTTCTAATGTTAGAAACATGGTCAGGATGATGATGGTAAAGGCATCCTTGGCTGATTTATTGACACAGCTACCAGGAAACAAGAGTCACTTTTTAAGGAAGTTCTTTGATGGAAGCCCAAGTGATGTCAGGGTATTGCTATCACTCGCAAAGCAAAGATGTCTGCCTTCCCAATTTACAAAATGATAAAAATATGCCAGCAATTCCTATTAATAGTCTATAGCAGGTCGTTGTGTTCATCATCAACCTACATTTTTCGAAGCCTTATGAGGCTCGACTGTCCATAAGTAAAGTTATACAGTTTCAAGGTTAAATGTAGAAAATATACATCAGCTTGAAAAATAAAGCTATATTTGGACACTGGTTTCAAGTATGATATTTTAAAGAGACACATTAAATAATTACTGAAACTAATTAAGTAGTCATTGGTTTTAGTGACTAATTGGTTAATAGAAATAATATTTCAGCCATTTTTTTCAGTAAGACTAAATGACATAAAATAAGTATAAATTGTAAGAAATTGATTGGCCTAGTATGAGTGGAATCACACAGAGGTGTTTTGCGTATGTTTTTTTTTTCTTATTTGGGGGCTCATCCTGATTCACTATTAATATGCTTTTAAAAATCAGGGAGGAACACATCCAAACCTCAGTTCATAGGAAAGGAATTAATAATAATATTGCTGTAAAACCAAAGAATGAGGGGAACACACTCTATTACTCTGGCTAGCAGGAACTGTGAGCTAAGCAGCCATGTGGACCTTGTGACTCATTCAGGGAAAGAACTCTCCTCTGCCACTCTCCAAAGGGACCTGACCACTTCCATCAGCCATAAGCCCAGCTCTTTCCTTTAAGCATATTGAGAGTCACCAAAGTTGCCTGGAGAAAGAAATGTGTGATATATCATCAGTGTATGTGATTGTGAGAGATGCTCAGGGATTGTGAGAGATGCTCTGAGTAATTTTCTTTCTTTAGCATTTATCTCAAAGTAAAAGCAAAGTTGGAAAAATGAAGCTTTGTGGAAAAAATTCAGAGTTCTCTTCAAATGAAAAACATTACAAGAATTATTATTTTTTACCTCAATCAGTCTTGTTTTCAGATAAATATGACACATGCCATTTAAAAACCTTAAGATGGGAAAAGTCACATTGCTTCCAATTAAAATAGTCTCCCAGAGAGTATTTAAGTATTCCATGAGAGCCTGAGGAATAAATGCAGTTTGGGTTTTTTTTGTTTGTTTTTGACTTTTCAGAAGGGGTGTGCTACAGTTATCCCCCAAACCCCTGCCTGTGGTTTCGTCTCTTGTAAATTTCCCAATTTGCTTAGAAGAAGAATGCTACTTACTAGCTTGTTGAAACAGATTTCTCTTTCACACATCCTATCAGATCATACTGCAGTGGTTAACCCTCAAATCTCAGTTGCTAAAACCACAATGGCTTCTCATTCACACTACACAACCACACAGCCATTACGGTCATCTGGGGTCTATGGTCACCAGAGTTGGAGAAGCAGTCACCATCTAGATGTTTCTTAGGGTCTGCCAGGTTAAAAGAGAGCTCAGAAAGTTCTCACATTAGCAATTAAATTGCTAGCCTGGAACCAACTCACATCAAATATTGGCCAGAACTAGTCACATGACACCATCCAACCACAAAAAAGCCTGGAAGTGAAATCTTTCCATGTGTTGGAAATACCTGATGAACTGCATTAAACATGACCTCACATATAATTGCATATCTACATTAATTACTCAGAGGTTGCCTTTCAATTATTCCTTTCTGGTATGGAGGTGTCAATGAATTTCAAGTCTCTTACAATTCATGTGATGTAAATTGCTTCATCTCCTCGTAACTCAATTTTTTATCACTAGACATTGTTTTGGGCTAAATATATGGAGTATTTTGAATATGTTTATCATCAAGCTAGAAGTTGACCATACATTCACCTTCAATTCCCATATTTTCATAAGCCAAATAACTTACTAGTTACCACCAAATTGAGAATTTGTTCTCTCTTCTTCATGAATATGATATTTTATATTTTTCAATTACAACACAACAGAAGAGTTCACTAATTGGAAAATGCCTTCCCTCCGCGAACCCATGAAATATGACTCAGCTTTCTGGTTAGAAAAAGAGAGATGTTTTCAGAAATTAATTTTAATAGCTGTCAATTCAATGACTATCTTGAATACAGTTTGAGGATTTTGCAACTATTTTGAAAACACTTCAAAATATACTAATAGTAATTTTAAGATCATGTCTGCATCTATTTTTAGTCTAAGGTGTATAGCATGAAAGTATCTGGCAAATGCTTTAAAATTGTATTGTTTCGAATTAATGTTAAGGCTATTAATCACAAAAACCTGCTATAATGACATACTACTGCTAGAAAACATACTTTAAAAATAATAAATAAGAGTTAATGAAATTTTGTGTTTAGAGGTCAAGTGCAGTCGTCTTCAAACATTTCTCTTTGTCAAATAAAAATGTACTCAGAACTCTAAAACAGGTAAAGGTAAAAGTGGGGCTGCTTCCCTGACAGCTGTAGGAAAGGGTGAAGTTGAGGCAGGGCTGGAAAGCTTTTCACTCTTACCATTTGGCTTTTCCCTTGCCCTCTCTACTTCATGATGGCTTCTGGGGCACTTTCAGAAACCCCCAGGGTTCCATCGAGCACAGGTTCAAATATGCTAATCTACAGCTAGTTAGAGGAAGAAACAAGATACAAAGAGGTCAACCAGTGGGCTAAAGTGATACAGCTAGTTGACTGAAAAGCCAGGCGTCTAGCAGTAAAAGATTGAAGTTTGGGGCTTTTAAAAATTTATTTTATTGATAGACTCCAAGCCTGGAACACATTTTGGCAATATTTGCTACACCTCAGTCAGCGTATATTTATTATCTCTCCTTATTTATTGAGTAGGGTGATATATCCTGGGTGTCATGGGATAAAGAAGTAAGTCACATTTCCCATCTCCAAATAACTTACTGTTTAGTTTAGAGGAGAAAAATTATTTATTTTTCTAAATCTAGCTTCTATCCATCTGCGCATTCCAAGAGCGCTTATTCAATAAATATTTAACAAACATCTTGTCTATTAGGCCTGCTCTTTGCAATTTCCATATGCCTCTTCACCCCTTCCATATTTCCTCCTGCTTTACAGCCAGTCCCCCCTTTTTTGTTTTCTTTATTCCTGGTCTCTTCTTCCTATTCTTTCTCCTCCTTTACCACCACCATCTAAAATCTCACAGTAATTAAGTTAAAGCCTGGAATTTCTTTGAGCATGGAAAATAGTCTTTCATTCCATATTTGAAGATAAAAGGATTAACATGCAAATGAATGGTTGAAAGCACAGGTTATACTTGTGTGACTGGATTTCAGTTAAAGTGCAATTAATCAATCCATCATCAGGTGTAAGTGACTGATAACAGAGTCTTTCCTGTTTTCATAGGTGGAGTGGGTGGGGAAGGGAGAGGCAGTGGGAAGACAGTAAGAGGCCTTTGGGCAAATGAAGGGGATGGAATGGAAGAGGTACCATCTAGAAACGGAAGGCGGTCTAGGACTGCCCATGTCTTGATAGCTTTGCCTGGGACAAATAGAAGCATTCCCCTGAAGTATCTGTGGAGTGCAGCTGCAAAATGAAGGCAGCTCTGTGTGATTTATGAAAGGGCTCACATGATTTATGAAGACTTAAAAAAACATCAGCACACAGCTGACTTTCTATAAAGGAGTTTCTTTCCCTGGGGATTGAAGGAGCTTGGAATTTAATGAGGGAAACCAAATCTACAATGAGAGACGATAAGGAAATGAGACTGTTTCTCACACAGGCATACCAGAATTTATGTATCCTGATACTCTGGCCTTCATAGGCCTCAACCAAGTGCAGCTACTCCTTGGTCCCAAAACACTTGTTGGAACTCTTTCACTCTGCCCTTCACCCTGACAACCTTTCTAATACAGATCGCCTCTGAGATTGTCTCAGACATCTAGCTTGCCAGGACTCCCTGCCCCAGGTACTCTCTTCCCCTCCCCTAGGCTGCCAGTTGAAATCCTATACATTCTTCAAGTCCTAATCTAATGTCACACAAAATTTCTCTTACCTCCAAACTTTTATAGTACTCTGTGCATATCTCAATCATAGTGTGGAATATATTTTACTTTATGTTATTGGTAAATATGGTCTTTCAGTGTGTGCATGTATGCGTGTGTGCACGTGTGCATGTGTGTGAGTGTGTGTGTGTGTTAAAGACAAAAACGATTAAAAAAATGAAAAACAACACTTTGGGAGGCCGAGGCGGGTGGATCAACTGAGGTCAGGGGTTCGAGACCAGCCTGGCCAACATGGTAAAACCCCATCTCTACTAAAAATACAAAAATTAGCCCGGCATGGTGGCACATGCCTGTAGCCCCAGCTACTTGGGTGGCTGAGGCAGGCGAATCACGTGAAGCCAGGAGGCAGAGGTTGCAATGAGCTGAGATCTCACCACTGCACTCCAGCCTGGGCAACAGAGCAAGACTCCTTCTCAAAAAAAACAAAAACAAAAAAAAAAACAAGAAAGTTTTAGGTGTAGGTGGGCTGTGTGTGGCCAGTGGTATAATGTATATGGATAACAGATAACAAAGGAATCCCCGTCTCTGTGGGCATTATGTTACTTCCCCTGTGCTACTTCTACTGAGTAGAGGATGGAGATTGCTTTTGTTTCCCAGAAGCCATTCCCATGACCCTGGCATGGAGGACAGGAGAGTGGTGGTGTGGAACATGATTGGGCATGGCCCGTTAACTTACTCCTATTTCTGTGGATATAGTGATTGGCCGAGGAGCAGGCAGGTGTCTCAAATACAGCCAATAGGGTTCTTGCCCAGAATCTCTTAATCTAAAATTAGGTGAGAAGCATTTTAGGCTATTATGCTGGCATGTGTTGTCGCTGGTGTTTGTCTGCAGTAAAAAAAGAATGAAGTCAGATAGACAAGTGGAGATGAAAGAAATGGAAGGAGAAAGAGATCTGGCTATTCTAAGTCCCCGTTCTCATCCCTAAGATCACGGTTCCTCAGGTCTTTTTTTTCTGCGATATAACCTAGTATCCTCTTTTTTGTTATTTGTGCTAATTGAAGCTGGATTTCTCTCATTTGGAACGAAGTGTCTTTGCTAAGTAGACCTCAATTACAGAGAATGAGCTTGAGACCTACATGAGTGGAATACATTTTTAAATTGGAAATACAATCATTTAACTGGTAAAATAATTCTAACAGAACATCTTGTTTTATAAAAATAAACGAGTGTCCTGGTCTCAGTGCAAGGGCCATTTGTCAATGCCCAGTGAGGAATAATGAGAGTAAAAGGAGGTGCCCTAACTTAGATATTTTAAACATAGTTACAATTTGTGAAAGAAAAAAAGAACACATCATGACAGACATGGCCAGATGCCCACCAAAGATTTATATTCCCTTTCCATGGCTTAGAGTGTAGCTGGGAAGAGGCCAGAATGACATTCCTTTTTGGTAGTCATATGAGTGGTTTCCACCAATGGCACATGAGTAAAGGTGATAGACAGTTATGGCGCAGGTGTACCTTCTCTACCTCCACATTCCCCTCGAAGCCTTAGGGGAAGACCGAGCCATAAGTGATTAAGCCCCTGAGTCATGACATGGAATTTGTGACATTCTTATTAATTCATAATAAGAATTATGAATTGCTCTGAGAATGGCAAAAAATTTATTGCACGAATCCACTGAGATTGTGGAGCTTACCTATCACAGTAGCAAGTGATATATACCCTAAGCAGTACAGGTGGGAGAGCAAACCACCAAGTCCTAGAAAAACTCTGTGACAAATCTGTGTGTCATTACAAAAGAGACCAGCACCTAAGTAATTTATATCAGACTAGTCTGAGTGTTATCTGAGACCACTCCCAAGCCAGAACAACAGTGAGATGTATTAGAATATTTGGTATATCTGGATGTAGACAAAATAATTGACATGGATCTCTTGATATCCCTGAACACAAGGCACATTTGTAAACAGCTGGACTAGAGGAGTTGCCCTGCATTGATTATTAGACTGATATTATCTGGAGGATGGCTCTAGTGGGACGTGACAGGACCCCATGCTATCCTTAACCTGTACCTACTCTGATGCATTTTTAGAGATTTAATAAGAGACGTAACACGTCATCCTTATCAGATTGGAGCCCTTGCGAAAAGGAATGGATTATGCTATGTTCAACAACAGAATTAAAATCAAGACTAAGGTTTGGCAAACTTTTCCTGTAAATGACTACACAGTACATACTTTAGGCTTTGAGGTCAAGAGGTAAAATTGAGCATATGTCATGCTGAACCCCTATTAACCTCATGAAAAACAAACAAACAAACATGAATCAGCCTCACAAGGTAGGATGAGGGAGACAGACAACGCTTAGGAGTAGAATGAGTTTCAGTGACTTTAAAATGTTCCTCCCTGGACCACATCTCAGAGGAGCGGTTGAGGACTCTGGAGACAGTACAAGGAGGCACAGAATCTGGGATATTTGACGAGCTGTTCCCTGAAAGAGGAACTGATGTTTTCAGGGCACAGTCACTAGAAGTATTCCTCCTGCACTCAAGCACAGCAGATAAGAAGATGATGCAAGAGCTGAGCTCCTAGTGGTGGTTGGCCTGCAGCACCCTTAACCTCTTTCCAATCTTGAGGGTCTCTCTTTTCTCACCAGGCTTCTTCAAGACATGGCAGGTGTCTGTGTCATGACTCTACCTCTCACCATAAATATCCCATGAATATTTATTAACCAGTGAGCCTACCAGAATTTGCAAATTCTTCCATATATGAGCCAAGTATAAATTCTCCAAGCAGAGGGAGGTGGGCAGCCTCAGTGAGGGGCTTTGTGGAGTAAAATGCTCAGGGATCTAACTTTGTCAGATTCCATACAAAGTTTGGCTCCTGTTCTTTTTAACCTTGGCCTTGAGGAAAGATAGTAACCCTAGGGGTTTTATTCCCCATCCTCCAATGGCATTGCATTATTACTTTCAAAAACAAAGCAGGACAAACGTGCTCTTCTGGCTTTCAGGCCAAGCTAATCCCGGATGCCCTCCAACACTCACCCACATTACAGGGTGGGAACCTTCCCCACATAAGGCTGAGTTCTCCAGCTTGGCTCATAAACAGGCAGCACAAAAGTCCTCGGAAGCCCATTCAACAAGTGTTATCCAGGACTTACAAGCTGGCTGCAAAAAGAGAGAGGGAGCTCAGTAAAACATCCAGTGGCTTCAGACCTCCTGCAAACCAAATGCAGAGGCAGGCACCCGGGATCTCTCAGCAAAAGTAATTTCCAGAGCTTACTTATGGCCAGTGCATGGCACTTTGATAGGCATTTAGAAGGGGTCCTATTACTACAGAGAATTACTAGGCAGCTGCTGTGGCTGGCTTTCGCCCCAAGGGGGAAGGGTGAGCTGCAGGTCAGGCCAGCACACTGCTGAGTCCAGGGGGCCCTGCGTGGGGCAACAGCAGCCCTCACGCTCTCACTTGCAGAAGCAGACACTGTGCTAATAAGTTTCATCAGGAAACTTATTTACCTTGGCCAAGCCTGGGCGCCAAGGTAAAAGCAGTACAGAAGGGACAGTGTTGCCAGCTTTGTCCCTATGAAGCTGGGATGCAGAGAAGTGAAACAAGCAGGCCATGTCTCTCATCTCCTAGCATCTCAAACAAAGGAAGTGTAAAGGGCTATTCATTTCTGCACATCAAGTCTAACAGTCTTTAAACAGATACCAAGAAGCTTGTTGTTTTAGTGAGAAGTTTGCTTGAGACAAGCCCCACCTGTTTCCTCGGCTCCTGAGAGACCCTTCAGTTTATTCAACAGTCCAGCCATTTCTTATGGGACTGTGATCAGGCTCCCAGCCTTCCAGACCCACCTCCTCTTGCCTGGGGCTGAGCAGGCCTGGTGTGCAGGAAGGAGGTGGCGCTGTGTGCAAGCAGGAGAGAGGGATGGTGTTCTGCTGGTCCCTGCCCTGTACCCTGGAGACTGGATATTTGGCAAAGACTTCCAGTTTCAGGCTCACTGGGTGAATTTCAGAAACCCCTCGGGAGAGCTGGACTCTGCATGTGCATGGATGAGATTTGGCAAAAAAGAAAGAATACGTTCATTCCCTGATCATTCCTGGGGTGTTCAGTCAGTTCTGGGCGTCACTGAACTGCTCCTCCCCACACATCCCTGGTCCTCCCCTAAGGACAGTCAGGAAAAGTAGAGGAGCTCAGTGGACTGATATTCTTTGGAAGACAGGAGGGAATTGTGTGAAAGGAGCACTCTTTACTGCTCCTGCCTGAGTTCCCGAGTTGCTGACAAACACATTGGACTTCCACAATCCCTGCTCAGGGACTCACATCTCCTCAATCACATGTTGCTTAAAACCCTTTAGTGCAAAGTGGAAAGTTATTAAAATGGTGTCAGAGGTGCTTCATGTTCCGGGCCTTCCTGCCTCTCTGGTAGTATCTATTAATATTTTGGTCCACTGGCCTCCCTGCTGGCCCTCATGACCAGTTTGCCACCAAGTCCCCACTCTCCCTCTGGCCCTCTCTACCCTGCTTCACCTGTGGCCCCACAGCAAAGGCACCCACCCACCTGGCTAGCACCTACTCACCCTGCACACATCAGCATTGATGTTACTGCCCTCAGGTGGCCTTCCCTGTGTCAGTATCCTCCCCACTCCCAACGTGTGTTCTATGCCCTCCTAAGTCCTCTCTAAAACTTGATTCTTACCTTCATGGTTGAATGGTCACATGACCAACATGCCTGCATCACCCACTAGACAGGAAGTTCCAAGAAGGTCCTATCTATTTTCCTCACTATTGTTTTCCAGGCACCTAGCACAGAGCCTGGAACTTAGCAGGAGCACAGTGAAAACTGCTTCATTGCATGAATGAATGAATGAATATGCTTTCCTACTGCTTTGTTCCACTGGCTGGCTGAGATTACACCATCGCCTCTACACCCACTGGCTGTCTGTACCCATGGATGCTTAATGAAAGGTGTCTTGCATGGGCAGCTGCCCTGTACCTCCTCCTGCACTGCCCACAGGGTCCAGCACAACAGCTGCCCCCATTCTCATAGGAAACTGATCCAGGTGCTGGCCCCTCCCAATCCAATCCCTTGGATTACAGTTCACTGAGCCTTCCCACATGGTGCCTAGGGACCCAACAGTTGAAGTCATAGAGCTGCAACTAGGCGTCAATACGTCAAGGACCATCCTCAGAATTGTAGCTGGCAGTGTTCTGTGTGGTCTGCCAGGGAGCTGCCGAGGCTGCTGCTGTCCTGGTGGGAATGCTTCCTTTAAGGCTGTGTTGATGATAGGGAGGATGCGGTGGCTTGTCCTGTAGCACATGTGTCACATAAAACCTCTAGAGCTGATGCAGTTCAGGACATTGCCCAAAGATGAAAATGGAGAGATTCATTTTGGGGGAGAAACATAACACACCAACAACTTGACTTACATAAGCCAAGGTGGAGGAGGAGAGGAGAGAGGAAGTCATTCCTGGGCATGCTCTTCAAGTACATGAAGGCTGCCATTTGGAAGGTTGATTAAAGCCTATAAGGCTATGAATGTGCTTTGTTGGGAAGGGGCCTGATCCATGAACTCCCTGAATTATAAGCAAAACCTCAACTGTATGTACTTTTTTTTTTTTCCTGGAGAGAGAGTCCATAACTTTATTTTATTTCTCAAAGAGGTCCCCAAATTATTAAAAATGAAAATATGACTGAGAGCCAAAAATTATTAACTGGAACTGGAGATGAGTTAAAGGCAGGATCAAGGTCAGGTACGATGGCACTTGCCTGTCATCCCAACTACTCTGGAGACTGAGGCAGGAGGATTGCTTGAGCCCAGGAGTTAGAATCCAGCCTGGGCCACAGAACGAGACCTCATGTCTTAAAAAAGAAAAAGACAGGATCAAGTAAGAAGTGACTACGTTCAGTAGGAGAGGGGGCAAAGGAAAGGAAAGAATGGAAAGGAAAACTCTGCATTGATTCGGTGAGAGCTCATGAAGATGCTCTTGGCGTGAGGTTTTCACTTTGCCGAAGCCTGACTGCTTCTGTGGTTTTCCCCTGCAGTTCCCTTCAGCTATCCTTAAAGGTGAGGTTTTGTAGCATTTGACACTTTTAGTGTGGTATAAACTTTCAGTGTGATTTTATATTTTCTCCTAGAATGGCTTTAACTGTGTAGTTACTGGACAGTGTTGGAGATAACCAGCCTCAGTACCAATCCCAGATGGTCCCTGAAACACTTTTGACTCAGGGTGCTCTGTGTGTAGTCATCCAGAATCACCCCCATAAACCCCTAGAAGCAGCCAGCACAAGTGTGTGATTACCCAGAAGTAGGTATGAACGGCTCTGGCCTTCCCTGCTGTGATGGAGGCAGTCAGTATTGACCAGCATGAGGGTCTCATTTTCACTCCCCCAAGCTCCAAGAGTGGCCCTGCTTCCAGGAGCATGACAGAGTTGTGTATTAATTACTTGCCGAATTTCATGCCGAATAAAACCACATGTGTCTTTCAGCTGTGGTTTGGAAACATTTCCATCCTGGATATTATCTATGAAAGTTGGATGGGATTACATCACCTTGATGCTGGTTTATACATGTTCAAATTTCATGTCAGCAGAGAAGAGAAGGCACTTCTGTGTGTTTCTCCTGGAGTTTTCCAGAGAGGCGGCAGACAGGCAGAGACAGGGTGAAGCCTGGCCTTGGTTTGCACATTGTGGAGAGAGCTACATCTGCCATCTTGGGAGCCGGGAGTTGGCCCAGCAGGCAATAAAAGGAAACCCATGACAGTTTGATTTTAAAAACTGAGTGGTGGGTTTGTATAAGCCTGGTGGCAGCATGGAGTAAAGAGAGCATCAGAAGAGAAGCAGGGAGAAAAGTTAGGCAGGCAGGGAGGGCCTGAAAATAGCAGAGGTAAAAGGTGGAAAGTTTTGAAAATTTTTTAGGATGAAGAAATCAATAGCTATGATGATTCTTTAGACATTGCACAGTATGAGTGGGGGGGAGGGGAGAATCATTGATGAATTTCAGATTTCTAAGGTTTCTGACCTAAGTGGCTTTTGCAAGGTGGAACCACGACATATGAAGGTAGAGATGACAGGGAATAGGTCTTAGGGAAAAATAATGAGGCACGTTAGACTCTTTGAGCTGTGAGGTATCTGTGCAACAACTATGTGTACACATTCCTGGGCAAGGAAGTATATGCATTTGATGTGCTGGTGAAATGTCAGGGTGGGAAAGATGGCTTGTGGCGGGAGATGGGGTCATTGTCCCACAAGTGGTAGATAAACCATGAGTGTGGGTGGGATTGCTTTGGGGTCGGTTGAGGACCTTAGTGGACCAAGGAGAGAATCCTAGGAATTTCGATATTCCTATGAAGGAGATTAAGAAGAAATGCTCAGATTTGAAGAAGGTGTGTCAGATGAGAGCACAAAGGGAGAAAAGGAGTTGGCTTGCAGGGAGGTAAAATCCAAAGGTAGTGGTTACAAGAAATCAGGCATATGCAGAATTTCAAGATGTGTAATAGTGAAATGTATCAAATTATGTAAAGGATTAAGAATGGTAACAACATTTTTTTAAACTTAAATGTCAATAGGGAGAACACTGGTGATTTTTGCTAGAGCAGTTTTAGGGATTGTAGTGAGGGCAGAGGCTACATTATAAGGGTTTAAGATGAGACTGGACAGTGAAGAAATTCAGAGAGGAAATGTATTCTACTCTTTCAGGATTCTTAACTTACAAGAGAAGAAGAGGGATAGGTCAAGGATAAAAGGATACTGTTAAGAATGTGGTTTAAGTTTTAAGATTTTTGTTTATTTGTTTTGATGAAGGAGATTTGATCAAGCTTATAAGCCAAGGGAAATGAGACAGCAGAGCAGCATAGGTTGAAAGTAAAAAGAATACACTAATAAGTGATAGAGCCAGGTCCTGAATGGTTAGAAGCAGAGTGGACCATGAGCACAGGTGAAAAGCTTGGCTGTTAATAGAAGAAAGCACAAGGTAGGAGGGAGGATGTGGTATCTAAAGGTTGAGAAATGTGTAGCCAGTTCCCTCAATGTCCTCCAAAAATGATGCAGGACACAAGTCAGCTTTTGAGAGAAGAAGGGTAGGTATAAGAGCATGCTTGAGGAAATTTGTGTTTCACATCATTGCTTGAGTGGAGAGTGAGCTAATCAAAGTCAGAAAAGGAGTTGTCAAGAAATATTATGAGGAGACTAGGGAATTATGATTACACTAATGCCCAAAGTTCCTACCAGGTTTTAACCACTCAAGTGTAGCAGTTGGCATGGAGCTGTGACCTTGACACAATGATGCAACTGACTGCATGGATATGGAATTCATCTAGGAAGAAAGAAACATAGAGTAGATGGGGGGCTGCTTCTTTTGCCATAATCTTTAGTGAAAGTGAGGAGTGGTTAGTAATGTGCTTAAGA
This sequence comes from Homo sapiens, assembly GCF_000001405.40. NCBI lineage: Eukaryota > Metazoa > Chordata > Mammalia > Primates > Hominidae > Homo > Homo sapiens. The sequence goes on along the minus strand of NC_000007.14, from coordinate 42,612,989 downwards.
ATATGAGTTTTCAAGTTAAATATATTCAGGTTTGGGTCTCAGTTCAACCACTTCCTTGGCATAAGATCTGACTAGTGGCCTTGTGGCTTCTTGTATCTTGCAGGCTGAAGTCCTGGCTGGAATGCTTCTTGTATCATATCATTGGAGATTGGAAGAATTGAGATGTTTCTTGCTGTGGTTGTCCAACCCAGCTCTAGTTTGTCAGCCAGTATTCTGCATGCACAAAAGTAGTGTTTAATCTAAGAAGACTCGAGGCAAGAGAGTAAGTTATCATGGGTTGTCTTTCTGCTGTAAACAGGCAATAAAATAAGAACTCTGCTCACTAATCACTTACCTGCCCCCCTCCTGGATGAGACCCTGGCAAAAGCTAGAGCTACAAAGTAGAGGTGTATCCAGCCTTTCCCAACGTACTTTAATGTAACTACTACTACTAATACCTTGTTAGAAAATAAAAATTCCAGGATAAATGCAAACCAAAATGGATTCTAGGACAGCAGGCACAAACCAGGACTCTGAGACAAATCTGAAAGTACAGTCTACCTAGATGGAAGGATGAACACCCACCCGAGAGAAGGGTGCAGGGAAAGCAACATCTTCAGGGAAACAGTTTCAGATTCAGCTAGAAGCAGGCCCAGGTCTGGCTTCAGGCAACTGTCCCCAAGCCTGTTTCCCAGTGGACCAATAAATCTCCACCCTCAGACACAACTAGAGATGCAGGCATTTTCCAGGCACTGCTTGGCCTGGTCAGAAGAGTGGGCAGCACTTGGGCATTCTTCCATCGTGGCCTTTTTAGGGGTTGACTTTTTTATATTTTGCAGTGGCAGCAGCTCAGAAACATTTTTCTGCTGTGAAGATTAGCTTTCATCTTTGCATTGTGGTTTCTAGTTTGGAGGCCACAGAGATAATAAGGCTAAAGCCTTCTTCCTGTTGTCAGAAGTCTCCTTGCTTAGAATAAACAAAGTCTCCAAGGGCACAGGGTCATTGCAAGCAAATTAGAGTGATGCTCACCTGATGGAATGCAAAAGACCCACCCAAAAATCTCCCACAATGTTCTACTACCACAGCCGATGCTTTGTGATAACTTTGCCCTCGTAAAATATCGACAGCCTCTGGAAAGATAGAATAACCACTTCTTTTTCATATTTCACTGTGAACTACTTTGTCAGCCTTCTTTTCATCAATATTAAAGAGGCGAGCACATGGAGAAACCTGGAATGAGCATGGTTCAGAAGGAGGACTTACAGATCAAAAGGGCAAAGACAGGGCAAAAGGGCAGACAGGTGTGCGGAGGCAGGGGGTGAGCCTGGTGAGAGCCAGGTGCCTGAGACAAGTTACCTACTGCGCAACTTTGTTAGGAGCAGTTCAACTGGAGGAATCTGGCTGAGTAGCATTTCTTTGTTTTTGCTCTTTGAATTTTGGTCTTAGAAATACTTTAGGTGAAATTACTTGACAGTCCATATTTGTTGTCCCTGTGTCTGGTCTGGACTTGGCAGCAAAAGTAGAAAGACTGATGTGTTTGAGAAATGACTTTCTTTCCAGACTCTCTGGAAATATTTAATGTCTAAAATATTTGGATTGTTAGAATTTACAACTTTAATGGACATGCAGAGAGTAACAAGGACTTCCTTACTATCGAATCTGATCTTTCAAAGTTTTATTTTCATTTGCTTTATTGAGAAATATAATAAAAACACAGAAAAGTATATAAAATATACATGTACAATTTAAAAATAATAAAGCAGGGAATGAACAAACTATTTCTGCATGCAACAAAATGAGTCAATTTCATAAACAAAATATTGAGGAAAGGCAGCCAGATTAAAAAAAGAGTGCATACTGTGTAATTCCATTAATATAAAGTTCAAAAGCAGGAAAAACTGATCTATAGTGTTGAAAGTCAGAATAGCAGCTACCTTTGAGAGAGGGTTAGTGACTTGCCATTCCTTATTTTGTTTGGTTTTTGTTTGCTATCTTTCTCTTCATTAGGATAGAGAGTCAGATGTAGGGTGTTTTGGTGCTGGTGTGCTGGAGATTGCTGGCTTCATTCATTCAGCTGCAGGCTTCTATTTGTACACTTTTGTGTATCTATGCTGTATTTGAATAGTTTTTTTTTAAATAAAGCAAACACCTGAAAACCCAGCATCCAAGTAAATAAATGAATTGTGCCATTTTCTTAGCTACCAAGTTCTGTGCTTCGCCCCTATCTCCCAACCAAATGTAATCACTATCTTGACGTTTGTGATACTCATTATTGTGGTTTTCTTTAGGATGTTACATAATTTTAGAATGTATCCAAATAATGTATTATTTAGTTTTGCTTATTTTTGAAATTTATACAAATGAAATCATACTGCATGTACTTTCTCTGACTTGATTTGTCTTATGCTTTTGTGATTCTTTTGTGTTGATGTATGGAGCTGTAGTTTATTCATTTGTACTCCTTTATGGTATTCCATTGCATAAATATGCCACAATTTATCCGGCCATTGGATTTTTTTTCAGTTATTTGCATGAAATTGAAATGTTTTGAGATAGATAGCTATAATGTATATAATGTTTATATATTACATATACATAGTGTATCTTTTATATTATAGTATATATGTTATATATGTACACACACACACACACACACACTCCCATACATTCTTGAATACATGCATTGGGGCACATGATAAATAATTTATTTTTCTAGGGTAAATGCCTGGAAATAGAATTGCTCAACCATGCTCTTTTCAGCTTTTTATTTGAGCATCTTTTAAAATGCTTTTTATTTCTTTAAAAGAAAAACACATCCTTGAATAAGGAGCTCCTTTATCAACATGCAGTTATTAGAATATTCTTGTGGGTGGCTTTACAGGTTTGTTCACTCAGATTCTGTCTTCTTGCTTCAGAGATAGATACTTCTTTAAAAGACAACTTGTCTGGTCAGTCAAACTTGCTTTCTCACTTAGCCAGGATGTCTTCTGTTATGAACCCCGAGCTCTTATTGTTTCTGTAACAAAGAAACAAGGGACCCTGCCCTCCATTTCCCTCCCTTACAAAAGTATCCACTTTTTGATACTTTTCACCTTTTGACCCCTTGTGCACATTATGTATTTGTTTTTCAGCTGCCCTCAGCAAACATATCCTTGTCAACTAAAATTTATTTACAGTAGACTCCAATCAAGGTGGGTCCTTTCTTTTCAGGAGTGAGAATTTGCTGGAAAGGTCTAAAGTGTGCCATCACTAAGCCTCCTCCATCCTCTCTGTTCTTCCTGGCAACACTGCTGCAGCTCTGTGGCTTCCCAAGCAGAACTGTGTTATTTGGTGCATACACATTTAGAGTTCTTATGTATTATTGGTGAATTGAATCATGTATAATGTGTAATTAACCTATAACTAGGAAATCTTTTTGCTTTAAAATCTATTTTGTATATGATTGACATAACTACAGTGGCTTTTGTTATTGACATAGAATAATTTTCCTGAACATATTTTTCATCCTTTTACTTTTAGCCTTCTCTGTCTTTAGAGATATGCCTTATATAAACACACATCTTGTAGAGTTCATCTTAGAATGAAAGAATCTTAACTCCATTCACCTCCTTCTCTAATTGAAAGCTATTATTGTGGTGTATATTATTTCTCTGTTTATCTCAGGACAATTATTGTGGATTTATTCATTCAATAGTCATTAAATGTTACCCAAATATGTATTATTTTCTTTCCTCTTTGCTTCTTCTGGCATTGGGAAATTTCCACCTGTAACTTACTTTCCTTCAGTTTGAAGGATGTTGTTTAAGATTTCCTTTAGTGAGTGTCTGTGGGCAGCAAAACCTTTCAGTTCTTGTTTCTTTAAAAATGTCCAATTTTATTCTTGAAAGTTATTTTCCTTGGGCATAGATTCCTAAGTTGGATAGTGTCTGGGTTTGTTTGCTTGTTTGTTTTTCCTTTCAGTACCATGAAAATTCCACTTCACTGTCTTTCGGCTTCCATTGTAGTTTTTAAGAAGTTAGCTGTTGGTCTGACACATTTTTGAATGCGAATTGTCCCTTCTCTCTGGCTTCCTCTAGTATCTCTGCTTTGACATTCATGTTTTCCAGTGTTAATACGATGTACCTTATTGTGAATATCACTTTGTTTATCCTTTTAGATATCAAAATTTTTAAATCTCTTTCTCTGAAAGTTTCTCATGATTTTCTCCTCAAATACTGCTTTTGCTTTATTCTTTCTTCTCCTTCTGAAACTCCAATTAAATAGAGATCAGATCTTTAAATTCACCCTCCATGTCTCTTACTCTTTTATAGTCTATATCTGTTTCTTTGGCTTTTCTTGTGCTAGATTATGGATTATGCCCTTCAGCTCAGTTTTCCAGTGTACCATTTAAATCCTCAGCTCTGTCTGATGTTTTCAGATGTACCCACTAAGTTTTAAATTCTTGTAATATATTTCCTTTTTAGAATTTTATTTGATTTTTCTCTTGAATCTGCTTTTATTTTCACACTATAAGTGTTCACAGATAGCGTTTAACTCTCTGCTGATTCTCACTCAACGGTATCTTGTTACTTTATCTGTCTCATGACTTTTAAAACGTGAGCTGTTGATTTTCCTACGTAACTTGTGTGTGTGTGGAAATCTCCTTAGATTTACACAAAGGTGAATACTTCTAAAGACAATTATGACTTTCCTCTGCCAGTTGACAACTCGTCTAGGATTATTTAAACTAAATTCCATTCTCAGTTTTTTGGGCCATCCAAATACTATGGAATTGAGGCAGCAAACAAACACGAGATCTAACCTATAAATACAGTTTCTCAGAGTCTATTTTCCCCTTTCACTCAGTGCCAGGATTTGAAAACTTGCAATTCTCCCCCATCTCTTTTTCCTTTTTCCCATTTTCTTGTAGGAGGATGGGGAGAGTTTATTTCTAGTTCATACTTATGCTTAAGATAAAGACTTTTGGTGTTGCAGCTTTATCCAGGGAGGTCTCCTGTTAGACACTGTCACTTAAAGGGAGCTGTGCTTTATTTTCTGACCTCTACACCTTACAGGCTCATAACAGCTTAAATTGTTAAGTTCTGAAAATAATCTCAAGGTAAAAATACTGAACGAAATTCTATGTTTGCCTCTCTATGTTCTCATCTTCCCTTAGATTTTGGCCTGAGCAAACATTACTTTCTTGCTAGCTCACCAAATCAATCATTCAGCAAATATTTGTGAAGCCCCTACAATCTTCCAACTACTATTCTATGTGTTGGGAACACAGCAGTGTAAAAAACAGACAATAATCCCTACTCTCAAGGAATTTATCTCAGAACGGTTGAGTGGTGGTTTTCATAATATTTTCAAAACTACATTTTATCCAGCTTTCTTTGTCTTCAGTGGGTTGATCCAGGTACCTAGCCTGACATGTTAACAAAACCAGAATCTCTCTCTTTCAGTTAAGCCTTGAAGGGAGTGAGTTGGTGACAGTTTTCAGTTTTATTTTTTTAGGTGCATTGGATTTAGTGCCTTGAAAGGAACACATGACTGAGAAATGGGAAGATTAGGTATTAGTCCCATTCCACATCTTAGCAAGTTCATATATCTTCCTTAACTTTTAAATAGTTACATTTATCCTTCTTAAATTAAAAAAAAAATAAGTTATTTAACCTTATGTTAAATGGATTGATCATCTCCTCATCACAGGATTGAGGGCACTAATTATAAATGTAAGTAAAGACACATTGTGAAGATTACTCTTCAAATACCAATATTCTCATTGTTTTTGAACTAGAGAAATTTTCCTGTGGGAGTTGAGTATCATGTCCAAAATCACACTGCAATAATTTATTATTCAAATCAAATCAGTATCCACTGAGTAGGAACTTAAGTATGAAAAATATCTTTTTAGTAAAAATGACCTCACTTTCAATATAGGCTTTTAATTTTTGCAACATTTAGCAAAAAATTATTTTCCTGAATTCACAGAAGCATCCTACCCATTAAATGAGCTGTAAGCAATATCATTGAGGTCACTCTGAAGAGCTATTGTAAAGCCATGTCCGGTGCATTCATGAGAGCTAGAGAAGGAAGCTGGGGTATGCAAGAGGCGTAGGAGGCCCAACCTCTCCTTAAACGTTCTATTTTCTAATGCCCACAGCCCCTTAAAAGAACTATCTCCTCTGGGTCTACTTTACCCTCCTGATAGTAGTGAATACCCACACTGGGGCTGCTGAAAGGCAGGCAACTATCTTTGTGGCCTCTTCTGTGTTTCCACAATTAGGAAATGCTGACTGAGGAGTGTTTCTCTCTCAGGGGCCTCAAGCACCTCTGGGTCATTTAGCTGTGTAAGTCAGGAAAGTCCAGATAATTTCCCAAGTGTCTTCCAGGTAGCTGAATCAGCTGCCACACAGGACTAGGCAGAAGCCTGCAAGGTCTTAGTATTAGCTAATTATTTTCATTCTCTGTGTCCCTTGATGGGATTCGGAATGCACCTTGTGCCACTGGCCCCATGCTCAAGTTGCTCAAGAAAAGCAACATGGAATGAAGGAATTCACCATCTTTGCCAGACGAAGTGTTTATTTATAAATAGAAGGATTCTTCTAACAAAGGGAGGCAGATGTTCACTATCCTGATTCATTTCAAATGTGCTCAGACTAATTCAACAAGCTTCACACAGGGGATCAGAGGGCAAGCCCTGTTTTCCTGACATCCTTCAGGGTCACATTAAACCCATGTTGTGTTTTCTGAGAGATTAGAAACAGACTGCAAAGTGGACCCAACAGATTTTGAGAGACAACTTTTCTTCACAAATATAAAACCCCTCAGAATTTTTTTCATGTGTATGATGTAGGAGTTGTTATTCATGCTAACTACCCCTTTATTCAAAATCTCAGACATGCAGGGAGGCTTAGATGCCAATCATTTTACACACTCTTTATTCTCTGTTTATTCATCATCAAGGGCCAAGCAACTTCAGTGTGAGTAAGACTCAAGGGATGTTAAGAGAAACATTCTTAATTTCATAACAATAAAAATATATGTTTTTCAAACGGAAAAGACAGCACTATATGAGTAAGACTCCCTTGAGTCCAAGGAGTGATGTTTAACTTTGTTTGAGAAGTTTATTCTTGCCTCAAGTAAAATGAAACTAGTAAATATCAAGTCCCAATGCAGATTGACTGATTAACAAATTGCTTTAATTGCTTTAAACGGAGAGGCCAAATATTTTGACTTAATCATTTTTCACTGAAGTCTTTCACTAAACCTGACCACAGCTGTCCTTGAGGCCAGATGTTAGCTGTAAAAATCAGTGCATTTAATATACCGTGCAACCTCTCTGCCTTTTTGGATGGGCTGAAGCCCACAGCGTCTGTGTGTATTAGCAGTACATGGCTTCGGTCGCTGTGTTGAGATGCCTATTATCCTCATGTGGTTTGGCGGTAGCTCAGATTTCCTCTAAGCTTGTGCACAATCACTTCATTTAGAAGCTATCTGCTTCTATTGAGGTAAAGGAACCTCACAATTGCACTTGGTACTGCCTGTTCCTGAAAGTATTTGGACAAAGTCAAATACCTTCCCCTTTTATCATTGTTAAGCTGCCCAAGCCCAGTTAATTGTGGCCTCACCAAATGCATTTTCCTAGAAGGTTGCACGATCTGGCCTGGCACTCCTCTCAGGGGAATGAGTAGTTTGCAGAGTTTCCAGGGTTGTCCAGGGCCCTCTGCTCCCCACCTGAAGCACTGCATTTTCTGCTTTGTTAATTAGAGGCTTAGGACTGTGCAAATGCCTGTCTGTAACTCCTCACGGCAAATTTGCAAAACCTGGGGAATAGCGATGCAATGGAAAGAGCATGGGTTTCAGAACTGGAAAGACCTGGGCTTAAATCAAGCAATACCATTGAATTTCCTGAATACCCATTGATTCCAGTCTAAGCTCTACTTTTGACTTAAGGCAGTACAGTAATTTCCAAGCCACACTGAAGACTGCTTCAGGGTCTGCAAATGTTTGAGTGACTTCTTAAAAACCATAATTAAAACTTTTTAAAAATAGTAATTAGAAAGCACATACACTCAAGTGTGTTAGGTACTAAAATTCGTTGTTCCCTAAATAGCCTCTTTGTTCTTATTGATTACCTTACAAGTATGAAATTATAAATTAAACTTTTATTCATAAAGGCCTATTTTAATCTGTATTGTAAGATGGAATTACAGTTGTGGTTTCATGTGGAAAAAAAAAAAAGGCCCCACTGTTAAAAATGTTTGAAAACCACTGCTTAAGAATGTGATTCCAACTCTTCCAAAATGTTCTTTCCCTGAGATATTCAGTGTTTCCTATCAACCCATGAAATGCTGCAGTTTGAAGGTGCTTAACTTTCAGATCTCTCTGTCATCATTTCTTGTAAGGTTGTCTCAGCTACTTGGGAGGCCGAGGCAGGAGGATTGCTTGAGCCTTGGAATTTCAGGCTGTAGTACGCTATGATTGTGCCTGTGAAGAGCCACTGCACTCCAGCCTGCCTGGGTAACATAGTGGCACCCCATCTCTTATTTTTAAAAATGGTTTGAAAAATGACATGTATTTTTAAAGAGTGCCATGACAGGGATGCAGGGCGGGTTTGATGACACAGATCCTCTATGTTGGCTAAAAGATAGGGTTAAACCTAGGCAAAGGTAGTTCCACTCAGCGAGCATTCCATTAGAAGAGACTTAACAACAGTGTTGTCACTCTCAGGCAAAGTGGGGCAGAGGGAGCAATATCGGCAAAGGAATAAGACAGTAATGCCTGTGAAAGTTGGAGGTCTTTCAATATGACAGGAGCATGAAAAAGAGAGGCTGATGAATACACATATAAGATTAGACCCAGAGCAAATGGTGCAGATTTTGTATATTCTGCAAACCTATTTGGAATTTACCCACCAAGAAACTTTGGAAGTCTTTTAAAAAGCAGAGACATTTGAAAACTTCTGCATAGATCTTCTGTATTTTCCCAGGGGCAGTCTGACTTTTCCCCTTTTTAGCTCATACGATTAAATCATAAACTCTTTTTGGGATCATATAGGTCAAATAGAGCTGTTTAGGTTTTGTATAGTCTTTGCCATTTACTAGTGTGACTTTAGCCAAGTTCTTAAATATTTGAATCGAGTCTGGTACCATATTCTCTAAAGTAGATTTTAGTGCCTATAAGAGAAAACCTCATTTACACAGACTCTTTCTTCCAAAAATACTCTTTTGACTTCTTTTCACCCAGGAAGTTCTCTTTTCTTAGCACAGATGTCACTTCCCTGGGGACACCACCTTTGGATACTCAGACTGAATCAGGGCCCTCAGGATACCTTCCAACAACACCCTGCACTAGTCTACAGAGTCACCACACATGGAATGACTCGTAATTATTTACTCCTTTGTTAAAAAAGTTATCACCAATGCTGTATGCTAAGGGTTCTTACATACTAGATAAAGTCTGTCAATGGCCTTTTAAAAATCACTAAATAAAATAAAATGATATGGCAATGGAGAAACCTGAGGTTAGCTTGATTTTTTTTTCTTTGTATTTGGTTTTTATGCTTACATGGCCGAGTGACTAATTTTTAGAACTTTATTGAGGTATAATTCACACACAATGAATTGCACATATTATAGTACACAATCTGATGTTTTAAAATATATGTGTGTGTATATATATATTCCCATGAAATAGTCTCCACCATGAAGATAATGAGCACACCCACCACTCCCAAATGTGATCTTGTGCTTTTTTTTTTTTTGAGATGGAGTCTCGCTCTGTCACCCAGGCTGGAGTGTGGTGGCGCGATCTCAGCTCACTGCAACCTCCACCTCCTGAGTTCAAGCGATTCTTTTGCCTCAGCCTCCCTAGTAGCTGAAATTACAGGTGTGTATCACCATGCCCCGCTAATTTTTTGTATTTTAGTAGAGATAGGATGTTGCCAAGTTGGCCAGGCTGGTCTCAAACTCCTGACCTCTGGAGATCTGCCTGTTTCTCCCTCTCAAAGTGCTGGGATTACAGGCATGACCCAGCATGCCCAGCCCTTGTGTCTCTTTGTAATCGTTTTGTCCTCCCCACCCCAACTCTCTCATTCCCCACTCTTCAGTAAACCACTGATCTGCTTTTATTCACTGCCTGTTAGCTTTTATTTTCTAGAGCTACATGTAAATGAAACCACACAGTATATACTCTTTTTGGGGAGGGTTGGGGGTTTGGTTTCTTTCACTAAGCACAATTATTTTGAGATGCACTCATATTTTTGCATAAAGGAATATTTATATTGCTGACTATACAATGGGTATATCCCATTGTATGAATATACCAAGATTTATTTATTCATTCACCTGTCGATAACATTTGCATTGTTCCTAGTTTTTTGAAAATACTAATAAAGCTGCTATGAACATTTGTGTGTACATATTAATAAATTCAAATTTAATAAGAATTTTTGCCCTTTGAAATACATTGTTTAGAGAATGAAAATACAAAACCATGCATTGGAAGAAAGTATTTGCAAACCACATATCTGATAAAGATCTCCAACACTCAATAATAAAAAACAAAAACCCAACTGAAAAAATAGGCAAAAGATTTGATCAGACATGTTCCAAGGGATTTTGGATCTTGCTTCTAAACTTTGTCAGGCTGGACTGAGCAGCACTGGGTCTAGAGCTAATTCTTTCCTACAACAAAAGTATCTTGCTACTTTACTCCATGTCCCATGAGTGATGAGGTTTCCCAATCTGGCTCTTGGGAACAGGAACAGTTTCTGATTTTGCGTGAACCTCAGAAGTTATTTTCTCTAATTATTTCAGGTGGTTCTCTCCCTGGCCTCAGGTAGCTTCCTTACAAGCACATGTTGATCTTTACTCAGCTGAAGACTGAAGGGACCCTCTTCAAATCTTCATATCTTACTGTCTGTTCAGCTCTCTCTTCTTCAGTCCTTTGCCCTGAGCCTTCATGGACTCCCATCTCCATGAACTCAACTCTGAGAAACCACTGGGTTCTGTCTGGGGTCCCCCCACCTGCATTATGGCCTGGAAACTCTCCCCAGGCAAAAATATGTGGCAACAGCAGAACTCACCTCACTTCTTACTAGTGTCTCAGGGATCCTTATGGTTTGTTGTCTGATATTTAATGTCTTAAAATCCTTAGTTTCATACAGTTGCCCAATTTTCTAATTCCATGGGAGAGTAAACCCAGTCCCTGTTACTCCACGTTGGCCAGAGTGAAATTCTCTGAATGCTGAAACAGGTACCTAACAGTTATTGAACACACATATTGATAGTTGTTTAATCTGCATGACAATCCTATCAGTGGTGTATTATTTCTGCCCCCAGAGAGGTAACAGAGATTGCCTGGGAGGACACAGATGGTAACTGGAAAGACTGTGATTTGAACTTGGGCAGTACTACACAGCTTATTTTTTGAAATGTAATATCTTGATAAGCATTTCTCTTGTACCCAAATTTTATATATGTATGTATGTGTAAATATATATAAATATAATATATATGTTTATTTATTTTATTTATTATTATACTTTAAGTTTTAGGGTACATGTGCACAATGTGCAGGTTAGTTACATATGTATACATGTGCCATGCTGGTGCGCTGCACCCACTAACTCGTCATCTAGCATTAGGTATATCTCCCAGTGCAATCCCTCCCCCCTCCCCCCACCCCACAACAGTCCCCAGAGTGTGATGTTCCCCTTCCTGTGTCCATGTGTTCTCATTGTTCAATTCCCACCTATGAGTGAGAATATGCAGTGTTTGGTTTTTTGTTCTTGCAATAGTTTACTGAGAATGATGGTTTCCAATTTCATACATGTCCCTACAAAGGACATGAACTCATCATTTTTTATGGTTGCATAGTATTCCATGGTGTATATGTGCCACATTTTCTTAATCCAGTCTATCATTGTTAGACGTTTGGGTTGGTTCCAAGTCTTTGCTATTGTGAATAGTGCCACAATAAACATACGTGTGCAAACTATACTACAAGGCTACAGTAACCAAAACAGCATGGTACTGGTACCAAAACAGAGATACAGATCAATGGAACAGAACAGAGCCCTCAGAAATAACGCCACATATCTACAACTATCTGATCTTTGACAAACCTGAGAAAAACAAGCAATGGGGAAAGGATTCCCTATTTAATACATGGTGCTTGGAAAACTGGCTAACCATATGTAGAAAGCTGAAACTGGATCCCTTCCTTACACCTTATACAAAAATCAATTCAAGATGGATTAAAGACTTAAACGTTAGACCTAAAACCATAAAAACCCTAGAAGAAAACCTAGGCATTACCATTCAGGACATAGGCATGGGCAAGGACTTCATGTCTAAAACACCAAAAGCAATGGCAACAAAAGCCAAAATTGACAAATGGGATCTAATTAAACTCAAGAGCTTCTGCACAGCAAAAGAAACTACCATCAGAGTGAACAGGCAACCTACAAAATGGGAGAACATTTTCACAACCTACTCATCTGACAAAGGACTAATATCCAGAATTTACAAAGAACTCAAACAAATTTACAAGAAAAAAACAAACAACCCCATCAAAAAGTGGGCAAAGGACATGAACAGACACTTCTCAAAAGAAGACATTTATGCAGCCAAAAAACACATGAAAAAATGCTCACCATCGCTGGCCATCAGAGAAATGCAAATCAAAACCACAATGAGATACCATTTCACACCAGTTAGAATGGCAATCATTAAAAAGTCAGGAAACAACTGGTGCTGGAGAGGACGTGGAGAAATAGGAGCACTTTTACACTGTTGGTGGGACTGTAAACTAGTTCAACCATTGTGGAAGTCAGTGTGGCGATTCCTCAGGGATCTAGAACTAGAAATACCATTTGATGCAGCCATCCCATTACTGGGTATATACCCAAAGGACTATAAATCATGCTGCTATACAGACACATGCACATGTATGTTTATATATCTGTTTTTGAAACAGAGTGTAACTTATTCCATGGATATCTTTCTCTTACAATTTTGAATATGCCTTCAAAAATCCATTTTTTTAATTTGTATGTTGGATTATCTTTGAAACATATTTATCAATGGGGGAATGACTCAATGCTGTATGCTCTTACTAGGGTATAGTAGTCACAATTAAATGATGTTGTGTTATTATGTTGCCATTACCGAGATATTTAATGAAGAAAACACAGATATCAATAACTGAGTTGAAAAGTGATTCAGAACAATCGGATACCATGTGAAGAACTAGGACTGTCTTAACTAATTTATTGTATTTATAGTCTCCTTTTTTGTGTGCACCAAAATGTTACGTGTACAAAATAATCTATGTTGAAGATTAAATAAGCTCCTTTGGTAAATATAAAAATTTTAAGAAATAAAACAGCATTACATTATAGTGTAATTGTAGCACTTTTCCTTTTTCAGTGATACATAGAATAATAGCATGACTTACAATTGATGGCACCTTTGATTTAATGCAATATGGCATAATTTATTTAAATGTTTTAATTTTTTATATTTATCCTCTGCACTAATGCTTATGCCTTATTTTAATAATTAAATTTCAGGCATAATGTTCTGTTTATTATAGTTTCTGACATATGTGTTCTTAATATTGTTGTTTTGTTCCCTATTTTATTTCTTTAACACCGTGTGTTTGTCCATTATCACATTGGTATAAAGAACTACCTGATATTAGGTAACTTATAAAGAAAATAAATTTAATTGACTCACAGTTCCATAGGCTGTATAGGAGGCATGGCTGGAGAGGCCATGGCAGAAGGTGAAAGGGAAGCCAGCACATCTTCACATGGCAACAGGAGAGAGAGAGTGTGAAGGGGGAAGTGCCACACACTTTCAGATCTCTTGAGAAGTCAGTCAATATCACAATAACAGCAAGGGGTAAATCCGCCCCCATGATTAAATCACCACCCACCAGGTTCCCACCAAAACACTGGGAATTACAATTCAACATGAGACTTGGGTGGGAATACAGAGTCAAACCATATCACATTGCAACCTCATTTTTTCCCCCTAATTCATTCCATTGGTATTACTATTCTTTTTTTTAAGGCTTTCTTTGAAAATGAGTTTTTATTAAGTACTATGGTTGTGAGGGAATTATTTTCTTTTCGTTAGACTGGTTTGTTGCCTATAGAATTAATTTTCCAAAAGAACTTTCTCACTTTATCTTTTCTATTTAAACTCCAATAATTTGCCCCATAATTTTCTGTTCCCTACTTCAGTAGTGCCCTGCCCTGTCCTGCTCTGCAGTTCGGCTTGTCGCATCCCATCAATCTCTCAATGTCTATCTCAAAAACTCTTTATTTAATATGATTTTCATAATTTTATAAGATTAATAAGACCTCTCCCCCTTTCAAACTTCAAAAGATGCTATGAGGATAGCATCTTTTCCATATCTTGTAGATTCTATAGGTTCTCCTTTGAAGTTTAATTATTTATGTAATTGTGTAATAGGCTTGTTTGTTTTATTTTTTAGCACATCTTCGTATTCCCCCAATTAAAGCAAAGTGACTTGTACATAATAGATACTTCATAAATACTGGCAGAATTGAATTGAGTTGATAGATCTAGGTTATGAAAAACTCTGTTATATGAACAGTTAATTTTCTGGGTTTTCTGTTGCTTTGTTTTGTTTTTGGAACAGGGTCTCACTCTGTCACCCAGGCTGGAGTTCAGTTGTGCAATCATGGCTCACTGCATCATCAATCTCCTGGGTCTAAGTGATCCTCCTCACTTCAGCCTCCGGAGTACCTGGGACCATAGGTGCGCACCACCGCACTCAGCTAATTCTTAATTTTTTTTTGTACAGACAGGGACTTGCCCTGTTGCCCATGCTCAATTAATTTCCTGACGTGATTATAAAAATTATTGAGGAGTTATTAATATATCTTTAGATGGTGGTTCTCTGCCTTTAGGGCCTATCAGAATTATGCTTGTAAGTTTTCTTTGTTTTTGTTTTGTTTTAATAGCAATTCTTGGTTCAAGCCAAATCTACTAAAACTATAATTGCTGAGAATGGGGCCCAGGAAATTGTTTGTAAAAGCTCTACAGAGTATTATGATGCTTGTGGAAGTTTAAAAATGCTGGTTTTAGGAAGTAATATGATAATTTTCTTCTGAACTCTATGCAGATTTTGGAACATTTCTTAGTTATCCTAATAACTGGACATGTGTCTTGATTAAGCAAAATGGTGAATGTGCTAGAATAGCCAAAATCTTTTTTCTCATGAAGGGAAAATATAGCACAAATTAAATATGGGGTTTACTTTAAGCCATTTCTTCACATATTCAATATAAAATTTTATGTAGAAATAATCTAGCCCTGAAAATATTCTTCTTCCTTGAATATGATCATTATTTGTCCTGCCCCACCCCAGTAGCATAAGCTGCTATAAAAGGATATACATTCTCACAACTAAGAGTAACTCACTTTTTTTTGGCAGTGTCAGCTTAATTTTGTGTAAATAGTCTGGAAACATGATTTTCATCACAGCAAGCAAAACTTGTATAGACATGTTTGTAAGAGGATATTTATACACCACCCCAGGTAAGTCGTTAATCAGATAATGTGCACAGTTTCCTACCTACTGAATAACCCAGTGTTAATCATCCCGAAGCATTTGTGTATTTATTAATAATTTATGTGATTAAGTTAGTGTCTATAGAGATTCCAGAGTAGCTTGTAGGGTCTCCGTCCTCCAGAAATTTAGAATCGCAGATGAGTGAAAGAATGTGGATATGACTGAATTTGTTTAAATGACAGAACCGATAGAATAAATCTCTTACCCCATTGGCTATAAATAGGCATGTCTTTGTGGATCCAACACTACTAATGAATTTGCATAAACTGTGGGGCAGAAAAGTAATGAATCTTCTATAAAGATACAGACACTTGAAATACCAAGTTTTGGAGAACCAGAATTACAGCATCTGAGTTTTGGGAAAGATAATAAGCCTGGATTTAAGCTATGCATATCTTCTGTTATGCCATCAGGTACCTGACCATTCTGACATAAATTTGTGGCTTACCTATGAGGTGTCTACAGCTGACCAACATTTACATAGATAGAGAATGCATTTTGTGTTAGTTGAGTCATAAGAACATGAGGCTTATGATCCTCCATTTAGTTACTTTGAGCTCCCCAAACACACTCTTTTTGGCATCAGTCTTGGGGAGGTGTTTTTGTGTGTTTGCTAAGCAGGATGTAAGGTTCTAAAGGAGAGAAATTTTCTTTGTGCCTGTTGTGCCTAGAATTGTGCTAGGGATATAGTAGCTGTTCAATGAATGTTTGTTGATTTAATATTTATTATTCAATTGGAAAAATCAATGCAATACTTTCAATTTAAAACTTATGGTTTTATTTTAATAACCTAGCTCCTTCTTATAAAAGTAAATAGATTTACTATAGAAAATTGGGAAAAATTTTAAAACCTTCAGAAGAAAATAGAAATTTTTGTAATAATATTAACTAGAGAAAATCATCATAAATATTTTAACATAAGCAGTTCATCTGTGAGTGTTTTTATAAATATGATTTAGTGCATACGCATGTGGGGGCGATGTGGGTGTCCACATAGAAAATAATTGGAATTGTGTACATTGTTTTGACTTGATATATCATGAGCATTTTCTCATATAATTAAATGCTTTGAAACTATAATTGTTTAGTGGCTACATAATTTTCAATCAAACGGATGTACCAAAGTTTGTTGGGCGTGTACCATATTTGGAGTTATTAAGGTTGCTTTTGTTTAGTTATTTTTGGTAAAAATAAATAATACAATCATGAATGTCCTTATGTGTTAGACTTCTAACATCGCTAATTATTCCCTTAGGATAATTCCTCTCTGAAATGGCTATAGAAATTTGTATATAAACTAAAGATTTTCAAGAATGTCTCTTTTATTTCATTCTTGACAACAGTGATAATCATGCTTTTAAGTTTCTTTCTAACTATGTAAAATATAACATCTCATTAACTGTATATTTGAACTTAATTTATTAGTTGTGCATAGCAATATATTTTCATAAGTGGATGTTTAATTAAATAATTACAAGTATATGTGACATATTATTTGCTGTCTTTTTCTTAGTGGTTTGTAAAAGCTCTGTATATATTACAGATAGGAAGCATTTATATACTGCATACATGTTTCCCTTTAAATTGCTATTTCACTTTAAATTTTACATTACTTTTTGATATACAGAATATTTACATTTTTGTACATGTCAAAATGTTAATTTATGATTTCTTGTACCATCTTTGTTCCTAGGATGCTCTTTCTCAACTGACATCACCTGCATTTAGTCCATTTCAGTTCTTCCATGGCTTTATGTTTTCAGTAGGTTACATTTTAAAATTCATCTGTAATTTATTGCAATATAAGGTATAAGACAAATTGAATTTTATTTCCTGATAATATCTTATTATAATTTATTCAAGAATTGTTCCTATCCTCAATTATTTTGTATACAAATTCAGTTTCTATTAAATTATGCTCCTGATTCCTTCTGTTTAATTAAAATACCTTCCTTTTCACATTTGTACAAGTGTTAAAATTAAATAACGTCTTATATGTAATAAAGTAAGTCTCTATTCTTTCTAAAATGTCAAGACAATTCTCATCAGCTTTAAAATTGTAAGTAACCTTTAGAATCCTAGTGACAAATACAAAAAGAAGGAAGATGATATTCTATTGAAATTAAATAATTTGCCTAAATTAAAAAAGTAATGTGGGATGAATTAATATGTTTATAATATTGAGTTCTCCAACACATTATCCATACACACAGCACGACATTCTGTTTACATAAATACACGTCCCTTTTTTCATCTTTTTCTAGGTCCCTCATCAAAGCTGTAACATTTTCTTCAAATAGAACAAGTGTATTTCATATTAGCATCTATCTTAATATTTTTCTTGGGATTTTTTAAAAAAGTTGTTGGAAATATGGGTTTTAATTTTTTGGTTATTGTGAAGAATGCTTCTATAAACATTCATGTACAAGTTTTTGTGAAGACACATGTTCTCATTTATCTCGGGTAGATACATAGAAGTAGAATTGCTGGATTGTATGGGAACTCTATATTTAACCATTGAATCACTTCCAGACTGTCTCCAGCTACACATTTTGCATTCCCACCAGCAGTGTATGAGAGTTCAAATTATGTATTTGTGATTTTGCTATTCTTCTCTGGAAGTCTCTATTTTAAAATAATCATTAAAGAAGGAAAAGCAAAAGTATCCAACTAGAAAAATTATTTTAATTAGGAGTCACTTTGAGGCCAATTTGACCTGTTTCCTAATTAGCTGAAAAAAGTTTCACAGGTAGTCTTTACCTTTGATCCATTAGGTAAACTTGAAACATTCTAAATGAATTTTAATACGACTTGAATAAAAACATTTCATCTCTAGCTTTTGAGGGAGAGGTCAAGCAACATAAGGAAGAAATACAGAAAGAGAGAATATTCTACTCAAATTAGAGAAACAAAAAAAAATAAAAAGTAGGACTGAAGTTCCGGCTAGCCTAAGAGCTTTCACAAAATGATCTGTCTTTCTTTTTCTCTCCCACTATCCTGGCCCTTCCCTCTGCTCCACCACTAATGAGACTTCAGTCTAGGCAAATTCATTGTGATGCATATGGTTCTCCTTCATACAGACTCTACCTGCAAATCTTGGTGTATTCATTTTCTACGATGCTGTAGCAAATTACTACAAATTTACTGGCTTAAAACAAAATGAATTAATTATTTTATAGTTCTGGTGTTAGGAAGTCCAAAACGGGTGTTAAGAGGCTAAAATCAAGGGTTGCGTTTCTTCTGGAAGCTTCAGGGGAGAACATTCTTTGCTTTTTCCATCTCCTTTAGGCAGCCTGCATTCCTTGGCTCTGGCCATGGCTACACCACTCCAGCTTTGCTTCTGTCATCACATCCCCCTCTCTAACTCTCCTGCCTCCCTCTTTCCCTTATAAGGCACCTTGTGATTACACTGGGCCCATCTGGATATTCCAAGATAATGTTCTCAAGAACCTTAACTTAATCATACCTGCAGAGTGCCTTTTGTCATGTAAGGTAACATATTCACAAGTTGCCAAGAGTAAGATGAAGACATCTTGGGCAAGGGGAGGGTGGCGGTTGGTGGCACATCACTCTGCCTACCACACTTGTTGTCTGTCATGTGTAACTTATCCTGCAGTATTTTTACAAACAGGGTTACTATGATAAAAAAAAAAAATTCTGACTTCTGCATTGATTTTATATATATATGAAATAATTTATGGGATACATTTTGAATATGGAAATTTATTCATCTGCTTACCACAATGTAAACAGTATCAAGAAAATTCAAGCAATCAAATATCTTCAGCATAAAAAACAATCTGACATCACACTTATGAGTACAGACAACATTTTATTTTGGGCCAAGACAATACAAAAGCTATCCTGACACTTGTGAAACCAGTAGATTTCTCCAGACACTCCAGAATTATCTGACTGGTTCTTTGGACTTTCTCATGAATGCCTCAGGGCTTTTAATTAGCTCTAAAAGCTGACTTCATCAGCTCCTAAAATTAGGGCTTTTCCTCTTATTAATAGGGCCCATACTTTGCCTCACTATTCAGTGTTCTATTAAATTTGTGTCAAAATTTAACAAGAGCACTAATGTTTTTATTATGCAGGTAAGAGCCCCAGACCTGGCACTCAGCAATATCTACAGGCCACTACAAGACAGTTTCATTTCCTCAATCTTGATTGAGATACTCCTCCATTATCTGTGTCCTTTGTCAGCAGGAAGCAACCAGAGTGGTCACTGTCTGATTCCCTCCTGCCTCAAGATTGAGGAAATGAACAAGTCAAGAGGGGACTGAAACCACCCTCATGGGGCTAGCTAGACTTACACACTAGGCTATAGGCAGAATTATAGTTAGGCATTGACCAGGGTGCACTGGTGCACTTTGACTGACTTTTCTGCAGCTGCTACCTGAGAGTCATGTAGCACAGTGACCACCTGCTCCTCCACTGTTTCTATAGATAGAATCTCTGATGATAGACCATTTTACCCAAGAATTGTGTAAGGTATTTTCCAGATCCTGAATTCCAGCAGGATGGCTAATGCCAACTGGTCTGAATCCCCTCCCCAAGGAACCTACTCAGCACAGAAATGTAGTTTCTTCATCTCCCTGTCCCATGACTTCACCCCTCACTTCTTGACCAATCAGTGGCCACCACCCTTTAGCCCATCATCTGTTCAGATCCCTAAAAAACTCTGTCCCAAAACCTCTTGAGAGGCAGATTTGAGGTTTCCTCCCATCTTCTCATTTGGCCAACCTACAGTTATTATATTCATTCTCTGCTGCAACTCCTGCTGTTTCAGTGTACTGGCTCATTACTGTGCAATGAGCAATGAAACCTGGTGGTCATATAGCATTTCATTGGTAGGAGCATGGGAAACAGCTCAAAATCTTAGATATAAAATGGGACATTTATTATGTTTAGCAGAAGGGTTCTGAAGTATATGGATTAGTTATTGTTTCACATAATAATTTAGGGAGTCCTTGTGAATGATAATCTGCTAGTGGTTCTACTCTTCCATCTTACAGTATCAGAAGATACATTTCAGGTTATTAGCAGCTCCTCTGATCAGTCTTTACCCGTCCTTTGTAATACAGACCGTGAGTCCCATCTTAAGAATACAGGACCTCCTACTGACCACATCTTATAGTGGGCCTCTTTGGAAAATGTAGCCACCTCCTCCTTTTTTACTTCCATTCAACCTGGTCCTATGTAAATAGCTTACCATCATATCCAAAGAGATCTTTTAAATAAAGATGCCATTTCTCTTTGGATATAATGGTACAATAAGATCATCTAGTTGAATGATATTTTCTAAAAGTCCTTTATGTCCTGAGGCTAATTGTAAATCCAGAAAATCTTGATGCTGAATCGGTTGGTATGGTAGTTCTTAATGGTTAGCAAAGAAAAAAAATCGTAATTTCAGTTAGAGTTAAAATTCATCAAAGGCTTTAGACTGAAGGTCACCTGACCAGGTTCAACACAGAGCATAATAGCTTTATATTGTGATAAAAGAGAGAAAATATTCTCAGAACAGACTACAATGTAGGCATATCAGGCTATACTATGAGGATAAAATATTCAAAATATCACTTCATAATGATAATAGGACTAGGGCCACCAAAAATTGAGGCACATTTGAGATGTTTCCTTCATTACCAAAGTTTAGCTATAAAAATTACCTTGTCCTTGAGGTTCTGGTTCCTGGCTAGATGGCATAAACACACTGTATCCTATGACTGTCTCTCATTAAATGCAACAATAAGCTCTAGATAGAATGCAGGAAGCAGCTAACTAAGTACTCCAAAAGTCAATGATAGCCAGCAGCTTAACAAAAGAGAACACAATGTGATATAATACAACACTGGCAGTGAGTTTCTCATTTTTCCCCACTCCAGAATCAACCTGCCTGGACTCAAAAGCAGACAAAACCCAGAAGTAAACAGCAGATAGAGATGGAAAAAGCTCCAGAAGAATTTCTCTCCTACAGATTTAAGAGGAGAAAATGAGACTCCTAAGTGTCATAAAGAATGTGTGTAGGTGGGATATCCTCTTTTTTTCTTCTGTTCTTTCCCATCCAGCCCCAAGACAATAATATGATGGCATGGTAGAGGTGAAGATAATGGGAGCAGTGGCTCTAGGGACCCCTCTATGTGAAGAGAATATATTCTGGCCAGGGGAGCTGTACTCACAAAAGTGACTTTATTATTAAAGTGCTGAAAAAAAGAGAGCAATTCCTAGTGGTGTTTTTTTCTCTGACCTTATGCTTCTTGGCACTGATATAGATGTAGACGTGGGAATTGTGAAGCAGAACAGAAAATACAAAGCTTGATTTTCTGACTATAGTATTAAAAAAGGGAGAGTGGAGCCTGGAATCATGAAGAAAACATCAGACAGATTGCAAAACAAAAAAAAAAAGGGAGAATGAGAGATCAGTTGCATCATATTGTTTATGAACTCCTAGGCTCATCTGAGAGCTGTTCATGAGTGTATCTAGTCTTGACAGTGTATTAACATCTTTGAGAACTTCATTAAAGTATAGGCCACCGGCCAGGCCTCAGACAGGCCACTGGGGCTATGCATATGGAACAGACCTAAGTAGCTCTGAAAGTAATAGAGAAATGAGTAGATATTGGAACTATAGCTGGAAGAGAGTGGGTCAGAAGTTGTAGACTGACCAGCCAAGAGCCAAATCATGAATGAACTCTCTTTCACAATTGCCACAAAGAGAATAAAATATCTAGGAATACAGCTAACAAGGGAAATGAAGGACCACCATAAGGAGAACTACAAATCACTGCTCAAAGAAATCAGAGAGGACACAAACAAATTGAAAAACATTCAATGCTCATAAATAGGAAAAATCAACATCATGAAAATGGCCATACCGCTCAAAACAATTTATAGATTCAATGCTATTCCCATTAAACTACCATTGACATTATTCATGGAACTAGAAAAATATATTTTAAAATTCATATGGAACCAAAAAAAGAGCTTGTATAGACAATGCAATCCTAAGCAAAAAGAACAAAGCTGAAGGCATCACACTACCAAACTTCAAACTACACTACAAGGCTACTGTAACCAAAACAGCACAGCACTGGTACAAGAACAGATACATGGACCAGTGGAACAGATTAGAGAACCCAGAAATAAGACCACACATCTACAACTATCTGATCTTTGACAGATCTGATAAAAATAAGCAATGGTGAAAGGATTCCCTATTTAATCAATGATGCTGGGAGAACTGGTTAGCCATATGCAGAAAATTGAAATTGGACCCCTTCCTTACACCAATATACAAAAATCAACTAAAGATGGATTAAAGACTTAAATGTAAAACTCAAAACTATAAACGTCCTGGAAGACAACCTAGGTAATGCCATTCAGGGTATGGGCAAGGATTTCATGATGAAAGCACCAAAAGTAATTGCAACAAAAGAAAAAATTGACAAATAGGATCTAATTAAACTAAAGAACTTCTGCACAGAAAAAAAACCTGTTATCAGAGTAAACAGACAACCTACCAAATGGGAGAAAATTTTTGAAACTATGCATCTGACAAAGGTCTAATATCCAGCATTTATAAGGAACTTAAACAAATTTACAAGATTAAAAAAAAAATTAGAAAGGTATGAGCAAAGGACATGAACAAACACTTCTCAAAAGTAAACATACAAGTGGCCAACAGGTATATCAAAAAAAGCTCAACATGACTGACCATTAGAGAAATTTAAATCAAAACCACAATGAGATACCATCTCATGCCAGTCAGAATGGCGATTATTAAAAAGTCAAGAAACAGCAGATTCTGGCAAGGTTGCAGAGAAACTGTTGGTGAGAGTGTAAATTAATTAAACCATTGTGGAAGACAGTGTGGCAATTCCTCAAAGATCTGGATAAAGAAATATAATTTGACCCAGCAATCCCATTATTGGGTATATACCCAAAGGGATAAAATTATTCTCTTATAAAAATATACATACACATGTGTTCATTACAGCACTATTGACAATAACAAAGGCATGGAATCAACCTAAATGTCCATCAATGATAGACTGGATAAAAAAAACGTGGTACATATACACCATGGAATACCATGCAGCCATAAAAAAGAATGAGATTATGTTCTTTGCAGGCACATGGATAGAGCTGGAGGCTATTATCCTTAGCAAACTAATGCAGGAAAAGAAAACCAAACACTGCTCATTCTCACTTGTAAGTGGAAGCTAAATGATGAGAATACATGGACACATAGAGAGGAACAATGCACATTGGGGCCTACCAGGGACTGGGGAGGTGGGAGGAGGGAGAGTTTCAGGGAAAATAACTGATGAGTACTAGGCTTAATACCTGGATGATGAAATAATCTGTACAGCAAACCCCTATGACACATGTTTACCTATGTAAGAAACCTGCACATCCTGCATATGTACCACTGACCTTAAAAGTTAAAAAATAATTAATATGTGATTTTTGAAAATAAAAATTTATTTTAAATGTGAAAAAAAGATGTACACTGAAACTAACCAGATATCTTGCCTGTTAAAAAATGAAAGAAGAAAAACTCAACTGTCTCCTTAAGATTTAAACGAGATCCAGATTCTCATGATATAATATTCAAAATGTCCATGATACAATCCAAAATTTCCTCAGCTAGTGAAAGATTGATAAATCTCAACTCACAGTGGAAAAGGCAATCAAAAGTCGCCATTATGATTATGCTCCAGGGAGTAAGGCAGACCATCCTTGAAACAAACAGAAAAGTCAAAATTCTCAGCAAAGAAATAGATAACATAAGGAAGAACTAAATGGAAATTTGGGAACTAATAAAATGGACATAACTAATTCAGAGGGTGGGGTCAATATTAGAATGAGAAGACAAACAAAAGAGTAAATTTGAAGAGAGAAATTATACAACCTTAATGACAGAGAAAAAAAGGATTGACAAAAATGAACAAAGACTAAGAGAACTCTGGAAAAAGCAAAAGACATTTACATCATCAGAGTTCCAGAAAAAGACTGTCACAGAAAACTTGTTTGAGAAACAATGGCTGAACATTTCTAAATTTGGCAAAAGACATTAACTTGCAGATTACAGAAGTACAGTGTCTTAGTCCATTTGTATGGCTGTAAAGGAACACCTGAGACTGAGCAGTTTGTAAAGAAAAGAAGTTTAATTGGCTCATGGTTCTTCAGGTTGTACCAGAAGCATGGCAGCAGCATCTGCCTCTGGTGAGAGCTTCAGGCCACTTCCACAAAAGGTGGAAGGTGAAGGGGAGCTGCCATGTGCAGACATCATATGGGGAGAGAGGAAACAAGAGAATCGAGGGGAGTTTCCAGGCTCTTTTTTACAACCAGCTCTTACGGGAACTAGTAGAGCAAGAACTCACTCATCACTGTGTAAATGGCACCAAGTCATTCACGAGGGATCCACTCCCATG
The DNA here is from genome assembly GCF_000001405.40 of Homo sapiens. Lineage (NCBI taxonomy): Eukaryota > Metazoa > Chordata > Mammalia > Primates > Hominidae > Homo > Homo sapiens. The sequence goes on along the minus strand of NC_000007.14, from coordinate 42,587,970 downwards.
ACCAAAACACCTCCCATCAGGCCCCACTTCCAACACTGGGGATCAAATTTCAGCATGAGATTTGGAGGAGTCAAACAAACCAAGCCACAGTATACAGCAAACCTCCAAAAGGATAAACTCAAAGAAACCCATACCCAGAAACATTGTAATCTAACAGCTATAAATTTAGGAAATGAAAAATATTTGAAAGCAGCTAGAGGAAAACAATGCACTACCGAAGGGAAGCAATGACTGCTTATTTCTTACTGGAAACCATGGAGGTAAAAAGGTAGCATAAATACATCATTAAAGTGTTAAAGAAAAAGAACTATCAATTATGAATAGTATACTCAGCAAAAATATTCTTTAGAAATAAAGATGTAATAGGCCAGGCACAGTGGCTCATGCCTGTAATCCCAGCACTTTGGGAGATCAAGGCAGGTAGATCACCTGAGGTCAGGAGATCGAGACCAGCCTGGCCAACATACTGAAACCCCGTCTCTACTAAAAATACAAAATTTAGCCAGACTTGGTGGCGGGCATCTGTAATCTCAGTTATTCGGGAGGCTGAGGCAAGAGAATTGCTGGAATCTGGGAGGCGGAGGTTGCAGTGAGCTGAGATCATGTCATTGCACTCCAGCCTGGGTGACAACAACAGCAAGACTGTATCAAAAAAAAAAAAAAAATGAAGATATTCTCAGATAAAGAAAAACTAAGGGTATAAGAGTATATCTCATTAGTAGAGCTGTTATGAAAGAAGTACTAAAGTAAGTTCTTTTGGCAGAAGGAAAATGATACCAGAAAGAAACTTACAGCAATGAAGGAACAGTAAAAGAAATGCTACATATATATGTAAATATAATAGACTATTTTTCTCTTATGTTCAAATTTATGCAGTTAAGAGAAAATGGTATCGCATGGTCTGAAGAGGCTTTAAAGTATGTAGATGTAATATATGAGAACTACAACACAGGATAGGGGAGAATAAAGAGATCTATATGGCAGGAAGATTTCAACATTCCATGTGAAGTAGTAAAATATCAACCCTAAGTAGACTGTGGAAAGTTAAGTTTGTATATTATAATTTGCAATAAAACCACTTTAAAAACCTATTCAAAGAAATACCATCTAAATGGAACAGAAAAATTAAAATGAAATGCTCAAAAATTCAAACAATTAAGGAGAAAAACAGGAATAAAAAGCAGAGGAAGCAAACAATACAAAAAACAAAATGGAGTTGGTGGAGCCAAGATGGCTGAATAGGAACAGCTCTGGTCTACAGCTCCCAGGTTGAGTGATGCAGAAAATGGGTGACTTCTGCATTTCCATCTGAGGTACCGGGTTCATCTCACTGGGGAGTGCCAGACAGTAGGTGCAGGACAGTGGCTGCAGTGCACCGTGTGCGAGCCAAAGCAGGGCGAGGCATCACCTCACTCGGGAAGTGCAAGGGGTCAGGGAGTTCCCTTTCCTAGTCAAAGAAAGGGGTGACAGACAGCACCTGGAAAATCGGGTCACTCCTACCCTAATACTGAGCTTTTCCAATGGGCTTAAAAAACGGCACACCAGGAGAGAATATCCCTCACCTGACTCAGAGGGTCCTACGCCCATGGAGTCTCGCTGATTGCTAGCACAGCAGTCTGAGATCAAACTGCAAGGTGGCAGCAAGGCTGGGGGAGGGGCGCCTACCATTGCCCAGGCTTGATTAGGTAAACAAAGCAGCCAGGAAGCTCCAACTGGGTGGAGCCCACCACAGCTCAAGGAGGCCTTCCTGCCTCTGTAGGCTCCACCTCTAGGGGCAGGGCACAGACAAACAAAAGACAGCAGTAACCTCCGCAGACTTAAATGTCCCTGTCTGACAGCTTTGAAGAGAGTAGTAGTTCTCCCAGCACACAGCTGGAGATCTGAGAAAAGGCAGACTGCCTCCTCAAGTGGGTCCCTGACCCCCGAGCAGCCTAATTGGGAGGCACCCCCCTGGTAGGGGCAGACTGACACCTCACACGGCTGGGTACTCCTCTGAGACAAAATTTCCAGAGGAACGATACGGCAGTAGCATTTGTGGTTCACCAATATCCGCTGTTCTACAGCCACCGCTGTTCTGCAGCCACTGCTGTTCTGCAGCCACCACTGCTGATACCCAGGCAAACAGGGTCTGGAGTGGACCTCTAGCAAACTCCAACAGACCTGCAGCTGAGGATCCTGTCTGTTAGAGGGAAAACAAACAAACAGAAAGGACATCCACACCAACAACCCATCTGTACATCACCATCATCAAAGACCAAAAGTAGATAAAACCACAAAGATGGGGAAAAAACAGAGCAGAAAAACTGGAAACCCTAAAAAGCAGAGTGCCTCTCCTCCTCCAAAGGAATGCAGCTCCTCACCAGCAATGGAACAAAGCTGGATGGAGAATGACTTTGACGAGTTGAGAGAAGAAGGCTTCAGACGATCAAACTACTCCAAGCTACAGGAGGAAATTCAAACCAATGGCAAAGAAGTTAAAAACTTTGAAAAAAAATTACACGAATGGATACCTAGAATAACCAATGCAGAGAAGTCCTTAAAGGAACTGATGGAGCTGAAAGCCAAGGCTCGAGAACTACGTGAAGAATGCAGAAGCCTCAGGAGCCGACGCAATCAACTGGAAAAAAGGGTATCAGTGATGGAAGATGAAATGAATGAAATGAAGTGAGAAGGGAAGTTTAGAGAAAAAAGAATAAAAAGAAATGAATAAAGCCTCCAAGAAATATGGGACTATGTGAAAAGACCAAATCTACGTCTGATTGGTGTACCTGAAAGTGACGGGGAGAATGGAACCAAGTTGGAAAACACTCTGCAGGATATTATCCAGGAGAACTTCCCCAATCTAGCAAGGCAGGCCAACATTCAGATTCAGGAAATACTGAGAACCCCACAAAGATACTCCTCGAGAAGAGCAACTCCAAGACACATAATTGTCAGATTCACCAAAGTTGAAATGAAGGAAAAAATGTTAAGGGCAGCCAGAGAGAAAGGTCCGGTTACCCACAAAGGGAAGCCCATCAGACTAACAGCAGATCTCTTGGCAGAAACTCTACAAGCCAGAAGAGAGTGGAGGCCAATATTCAACATTCTTAAAGAAAAGAATTTTCAACCCAGAATTTCATATCCAGCCAAACTAAGCTTCATAAGTGAAGGAGAAATAAAATACTTCACAGACAAGCAAATGCCGAGAGATTTTGTCACCACCTGGCCTGCCCTAAAAGAGCTCCTGAAGGAAGCACTAAACATGGAAAGGAACAACCAGTACCAGCCACTGCAAAAACATGCCAAAATGTAAAGACCATCAAGGCTAGGAAGAAACTGCATCAACTAACGAGCAAAATAACCAGCTAACATCATAATGACAGGACCAAATTCACACATAACAATATTAACTTTAAATGTAAATGGGCTAAATTCTCCAATTAAAAGACACAGACTGGCAAATTGGATAAAGAGTCAAGACCCATCAGTGTGCTGTATTCAGGAAACCCATCTCACATGCAGAGACACACATAGGCTCAAAATAAAGGGATGGAGGAAGATCTACCAAGCAAATGGAAAACAAAAAAAGACAGGGGTTACAATCCTAGTCTCACATAAAACAGACTTTAAACCAACAAAGATCAAAAGAGACAAAGAAGGCCATTACATAATGGTAAAGGAATCAATTCAACAAGAAGAGCTAACTATCCTAAATATATATCCACCCAATACAGGAGCATCCAGATTCATAAAGCAAGTCCTTAGAGACCTACAAAGAGACTTAGACTCCCACACAATAATAATAGGAGACTTTAACATCCTGCTGTCAACATTAGACAGATCAGTGAGACAGAAAGTTAACAAGGATACCCAGGAATTGAACTCAGCTCTGCATCAAGCAGACCTAACAGACATCTACAGAGCTCTCCACCCCAAATCAACAGAATATACATTTTTTTCAGCACCACACCACACCTATTCCAAAATTGACCACATAGTTGGAAGTAAAGCACTCCTCAGCAAATGTAAAAGAACAGAAATTATAACAAACTGTCTCTCAGACCACAGTGCAATCAAACTAGAACTCAGGGTTAAGAAACTCACTCAAAACCGCGCAGCTACATGGAAACTGAGCAACCTGCTCCTGAATGACTACTGGGTACATAATGAAATGAAAGCAGAAATCAAGATGTTCTTTGAAACCAATGAGAACAAAGACACAACATACCAGAATCTCTGGGACACATTCAAAGCAGTATGTAGAGGGAAATTTATAGCACTAAATGCCCACAAGAGAAAGCAGGAAAGATCCAAAATTGACACCCTAACATCACAATTAAAAGAACTAGAAAAGCAAGAGCAAACACATTCAAAAGCTAGCAGAAGGCAAGAAATAACTAAAATCAGAGCAGAACTGAAGGAAATAGAGACACAAAAAACCCTTCAAAAAATCAATGAATCCAGGAGCTGGTTTTTGAAAAGATCAACAAAATTGATAGACTGCTAGCAAGACTAATAAAGAAGAAAAGAGAAGAATCAAATTGATGCAATAAAAAATGATAAAGGGGATATCACCAACGATCCCACAGAAATACAAACTACCGTCAGAGAATATTATAAACACCTCTATGCAAATAAACTAGAAAATCTAGAAGAAATGGATAAACTCCTGGACACATACACCTTCCCAAGACTAAACGAGGAAGAAGTTGAATCTCTGAATAGACCAATAACAGGCTCTGAAATTGAGGCAATAATTAATAGCTTACCAATAAAAAAATTCCAGGACCAGATGGATTCACAGCCGAATTCTACCAGAGGTACAAGGAGGAGCTGGTACCATTCCTTCTGAAAGTATTCCAATCAATAGAAAAAGAGGGAATCCTCCCTAACTCATTTTATGAGGCCAGCATCATCCTGATACCAAAGCCTGGCAGAGACACAACCAAAAAAGAGAATTTTAGACCAATATCCTTGATAAACATTGATGCAAAAATCCTCAATAAAATACTGGCAAACCGAATCCAGCAGCACATCAAAAAGCTTATCCACCATGATCAAGTGGGCTTCATCCCTGGGATGCAAGGCTGGTTCAATATACACAAATCAATAAATGTAATCCAGCATATAAACAGAACCAAAGACAAAAACCACATGATTATCTCAATAGATGCAGAAAAGGCCTTTGACAAAATTCAACAACCTTCATGCTAAAAACTCTCAATAAATTAGGTATTGATGGGACATATCTCAAAATAATAAGAGCTATCTATGACAAACCCACAGCCAATATCATACTGAATGGGCAACAACTGGAAACATTCTCTTTGAAAACTGGCACAAGACAGGGATGCCCTCTCTCACCACTCCTATTCAACATAGTGTTGGAAGTTCTGGCCAGGGCAATCAGGCAGGAGAAGGAAATAAAGGGTATTCAATTAGGAAAAGAGGAAGTCAAATTGTCCCTGTTTGCAGATGACATGATTGTATATCTAGAAAACCCCATTGTCTCAGCCCAAAATCTCCTTAAGCTGATAAGCAACTTCAGCAAAGTCTCAGGATACAAAATCAATATGCAAAAATCACAAGCATTCTTCTACACCAATGACAGACAAACAGAGAGTCAAATCATGAGTGAACTCCTATTCACAATTGCTTCAAACAGAATAAAATACCTAGGAATCCAACTTACAAGGGATGTGAAGGACCTCTTCAAGGAGAACTACAAACCACTGCTCAATGAAATAAAAGAGGATACAAACAAATGGAAGAACATTCCATGCTCATGGGTAGGAAGAATCAATATCATGAAAATGGCCATACTGCCCAAGTTAATTTATAGATTCAATGCCATCCCCATCAAGCTACCAATGACTTTCTTCACAGAATTGGAAAAAACTACTTTAAAGTTCATATGGAACCAAAAAGAGCCTGCATCGCCAAGTCAATCCTAAGCCAAAAGAACAAAGCCAGAGGCATCACACTACCTGACTTCAAACTATACTACAAGGCTAAAGTAACCAAAACAGCATGGTACTGGTACCGAAACAGAGATATAGATCAATGGAACAGAACAGAGCCCTCAGAAATAATGCCACATCTCTACAACCATGTGATCTTTGACAAACCTGACAAAAACAAGCAATAGGGAAAGGATTCCCTATTTAATAAATGGTACTGGGAAAACTAGCTAGCCATATGTAGAAAGCTAAAACTGGATCCCTTCCTTACACCTTATACAAAAATTAATTCAAGATGGATTAAAGACTTACATGTTAGACCTAAAACCATAAAAACCCTAGATGAATACCTAGGCAATACCATTCAGGACATAGGTATGGGCAAGGACTTCATGATTAAAACACCAAAAGCAATGGCCACAAAAGCCAAAATTGACAAATGGGATCTAATTAAACTAAAGAGCTTCTGCATAGTAAAAGAAACTATCATCAGAGTAAACAGGCAACCTACAAAATGGGAGAAAATTTTCGCAACCTACTCATCTGACAAAGGGCTAATATTCCTTTGTCAGATGAGTACAATGAACTCAAACAAATTTACAAGAAAAAAACAAACAACCCCATCAAAAAGTGGGTGAAGGATATGAACAGACACTTCTCAAAAGAAGACATTTATGCAGCCAAAAGACACATGAAAAAATGCTCATCATCACTGGCCATCAGAGAAATGCAAATCAAAACCACAATGAGATACCATCTCCCACCAGTTAGAATGGCGATCATTAAAAAGTCAGGAAACAACTGGTGCTGGAGAGTATGTGGAGAAATAGGAACACTTTTACACTGTTGTTGGGACTGTAAACTAGTTCAACCCTTGTGGAAGTCAGTGTGGTGATCCCTCAGGGATCTAGAACTAGAAATACCATTTGACCCAGCAATCCCATTACTGGTTATATACCAAAAGGATTATAAATCATGCTGCTATAAAGACACATGCACATGTATGTTTATTGTGGCACTATTCACAATAGCAAAGACTTGGAACCAACCCAAATGTCCAACAATGATAGACTGGATTAAGAAAATGTGGCACATATACACCATGGAATACTATGCAGCCATAAAAAATGATGAGTTCATGTCCTTTGTAGGGACATGGATGAAAGTGGAAACCATCATTCTCAGCAAACCATCGCAAGGACAAAAAACCAAACACTGCGTGTTCTCACTCATAGGTGGGAATTGAACAATGAGAACACATGGACACAGGAAGGGGAACATCACACTCCAGGGACTGTTGTGGGGTGGGGGAAGGGAGAGGGATAGCATTTGGAGATATACCTAATGTTAAATGACGAGTTAATGGGTGCAGCACACCAACATGGCACATGTATACATATGAAACAAACCTGCACATTGTGCACATGTACCCTAAAACTTAAAGTATAATAATAATAATAATAAAAATGGTAGACCTAAATCCAAATATAAAAATAATAACATGGAATATAAATGATCTAAACACACCAATTAAAGTATTTAGATTGTCATAATAAATAAAAATAAAATCGAAACCGTAAACTGTCTAAAACAATCCCATTTTAAAATGATGATATGGATGAGCTAGGCATAGTGGCATATGTAATCCCCACTACTTGGAAGGCTGAGGTGTGAAGACCACTTGAGCCTAGGAGTTTGAGGCTAGCCTGGGCAACAAAGTGAGACCTCTTCTCTAAAATAAATAAATAAATAAACAAATAAATAAATAAATAAGTAAAGATATGGTTAGGATAAAGGCAAAATAATAGAGAAGATAACTGCAAACAGTAATGGAGAAAAAGCTTATGTGGCTATATAAATATCAGATAAAGTACACTTCACAGTAAGTAAAATTACTAGGGATAAAGAGAGACACTACATAATGATAAAATCACAGATAAACATAATAGCCTAAGCATTTATATACCTAACAACATAATGTCAAAATAAAGGTAAGAGAAATAGGAGGAGAAATTATAGTTAAAGACTTTGACATCTCTTTCAGTAATCAGTAAAAAGGTAGAAATAAAATCAGCAGGGAAAAAGAGGAACAAATATAATACCACAGCCAAATGGATTTAACTGATACTTATCTAACAAATGGATTTAACTGATACTATCTAACAATAACAGAATACACATACCTTTCAAGAACACATGGACATTTATCAAGATAGATTATATCCTTGGTCATAAAATAAACAACAACTTAAAAGAAATAAAATCAAACAAAGTGTATTTTCCAACCATAATGAAATTAAATTAGAAATCAATAACAGGAAGACAATAGTAAAATCTCCAAACTGTTGAAAATTAAACAATATACATCTAAATAATAAGTCAGAGAGGAAATCCAAAGGGAAATTAGAAAAATGGAACAAAAATTATCGAAATCTGTGAGATGCAGTTAAAGCAGTGTACAGAGGGAGATTCATAGTATTAAATAACCATGCTAGCGTGAAGATGTCCAGAAACCAGTTTCTACTTAAGAGATTGCTCTATCAAATAGAGGTCAGGAGCAAACACATGGGGGAACTCAAGTTGTATATTCAGGCTCTGTCAGATTACAGGGAGTAAGAGCAAGCTTAGGGAACCTCACTTAGTGAGAGTCTGCATGGAGAATTAAAAAAAAAACCGTTAAAAAAAGTTAGAAACACATAGCATTCCTTCACTGGAATCTAGTCTTTGTTCACCATCATCCAGGGTGTAACAAATGCATGGGCTTTGAATTCAGGCATATTTCGGTTCTGATCCAGGATCTGCACTTACTAGTTAGATGATCAGAGGCCATATACTTGAGTCTTTGGCATACAGCAAGTCCTTAATAAACTCCCAATAATAGTGGTGGTGGTAGTAGTACCAGTAGTAGGCAATAGCTTTAGAGATGCAACAGCCCCAGCAGTCTGTGTGCTATTGATTCAGCTCCTACATTTCTGCCTTTCACTGCTCCTTTCTTCTTCATTTATTCTTCCTCCCCTTAGACCTGGTTTTGGGGTCCTTCAGGATTCTGTTTAAAGGATGAGCCAGGGTTCTGTGGTTTAGCAGCACTAACAGCACAGGGAGAGAGTGTTCCACACTGAGCATTTATTAGCTTATTTGGTTCCTACCAGGACCCCACTAGGTAAAGGGTTTTATCTCAGTCTTACCAGTGATGAACGGAGATTCAATTTGTACGAGAATGAAGTTGACCAACTGTCAATCCTGTGCCATCTTTCTTACACCACACTGTTTCTGGGGAGACTTCAGATAGACGGCATTCCCTTTACTGTGTTTATTAAGCAGGCTTTTGTCCCTCTGAGTTTTAGGAGGCCACTTCCTATAGCAGAGCTGCTAACCTATAGCAAAACTGACTTGAGTTTTTCTCTCCAGTTTCCATCTACCATCACTTGGTGGAAGTGCTAAAAGGCAGTGAAATGATTAAAAGTAGGTAGAAAAAAGAAGCGAAGGGTCACGGAAATCCACCAACTGGAACATCCTTTATTAAATACTCAAGAATAGATTGCTTGCATGCATGCTCTAATTTGGATTGTTAGGGAGTTCCCAGGGGAGCCGTCAGAGGATTATTTAAACCTAACAGGCTCTGTGCCTCATTCCCTCAAGTCCTCAATGTTTTGGCAAACCACGTATTAGAAACTGTTCCACGTCTGCTTCCTTCGATGGAGTTTGCAGAGATACCAGGGACTATCTCAGGGAAGCAAGAAGAGCTCTGAGTGCAATGGGCCCCACCCCAGGAGACAGCTCCCTCTGGCCTTCCTCAGCTTCTCGTGATAATCCATTTTAGTGTCTGCATCTCAAGACTTTCTTGGCAGAAGTATCTCCTTATGATAACCTGCATCCCCTGTATTGCCACTTAAGCTCACATCCTCTGGGAAAGGGAGAACAGCTGGTCACCCTTTTCTGCATAACTATCCCTCAGGAAATCAAGCACTTGCTGGTATTTTTAATACGTGTTGAGATTACTGATGCTGCCAAGATTCTTGTTGAAGGGTGTTATGTCTCTTTGCTTTCTATATCCCAAAATGACACTGCTGGTGAGTTGTTTTCCACGTGTGTCAGGAGAGCTGAAATAACAGAAAATGTCTATATTTTGGAAGATATCTGTATGCATATTGTCCGTAGCCTGGTGGTAGAATCTGTTGCCACCTAGGGCCCTGCCTCTAGACCTTGCAAGATTATCTAATGCCTTTGCTCAAACATTCTTTTGTTCTGTGCCTTGTCCCCTTCCAAATCTCTAGGATTGCTGAGTTGCAGGAGCCTCTCTCTTCTTCAGTTCCTGAGTGTTGCTCAGTTATACCACATCCTTTGAAAGGGCTTCCTTCATCGTCATCACATTTCATTAGCCTTCCTGGCTTGAGTTCTTCTGCTACAGCTGCTTTCAAATCCTGGGGTCAGTTTCTATTCTGTCCCAATTAACGGGCTGTTCTTGAATTGTGGTGGCTGCCTACACTGTTGAAATTTAGCTACCAGCCTTACCTTAAACATTTTGCTCTTTTCAAACAGTGGTCCTTAAACTTGAATACACAGTTAAATTACTTCTGGAGCTCTGGTAAAATACAGATGAACAAGCACCATCCCACACCTGTTGAATCAAAATGAGCAGAGAAGAGATCCTCATGCAGATTATTAAGAGAAAGGTTCTATCTGAGGTTCCGAAGTGACCAACGGTTAAGTGATTCTGAACTATCTCTAAATAGCAGTGGTTCTCAGGTTTAGTGTACTTCAGCATCACCTAGAGGGCTTGAGAAAACACATTACTGTGTCCCACCCTGGAGATTTGCTTTAGTAGGTCTGGGTGGCATCCAACTGTTTGCCTTTCTACCAAGTTTCAAGCTGGTATTGATGCTGCTGTAGGATCACACTTTGCAAATGACTCTTTTAGAGAATCTTTTTACTCTCTGGTTTACAGAGTTAATACTTTGTACAAGATAAAGGAGAACATAGGTGTCACAGACATGTTTCATTCCAAGTGAATTTACTTGACCAGAGATAATGACTGTGACCCAGGATTGATAAGTTAAAAGCCTAAGCAGGGAGGCACCCCACCAGACATGATGTATGCATGAACGGACCGAGTGGACATTGGTTGATTTCAACCTGCCCGACATCTCTTCATTTATCTTCCATTAAAAATTAAATTGATAAGATTTCTCTTATCAATAACATATTCCATATAGATCGAATGGAAATAACTCCTTCTTCACTTCCATCATGGAGTGGACACATGCCCTCGACCTAACCCATTATAATTCTGCATTTCTTTGTCATAGTTTTTGGATTAGGGGAGGATCCATCACCAAAGTTAGACAGTGAGTGCTCTTTCTGAATTTTGCTGAGATTCTCAGAAAAGAAGCATTCTTTCCTTCCACCTTGTAGAAAGAGCCTGTTTGGGGGAAACAACAAAACAAAGCAAAATCAAACAAAAATAAAACCAGAGAAAAGAAAAGCTGAAAGATGGAAGGGGAGAGAGAGAGAGGACTGAGGCGGTATGTGAGGCAAGTCCTCTGCTTGAGCCCCTGCTCAGTCACACACCCCAGCTCCTCAGCGACATGAGAAGAGCATTTTGGTTTTAGTTAAGCTATTTTGCATTGAATTTGTATCACCTTCAGCCCTAAGAGTTCTGTCTAACACAATGCATACTCCCAGATTTCTACCATCCTAAGCAAATTCCTGTCCCATAATAAATTGAGGTTTTAAAACGTGCAAAGAATGAATGCACTTTGTGTAACATTATGGTGTACAAAAGGGTCCCAGTGGTCAAATACATTTGGATAATACTTCAAATTATATCACTCATGTAAAACTGCATTTCATATATTGGTATATTTAAGAACCTCAGAAGTTCTGAAGTAAATAAACCATTTATTTTTTTTCAAATTTAGCATTTCCCTAATATATTTTACCATAAAGACTCTTTTTGTGGAGCTGGCTACCCATCATCCCTAGCTTTCATTTTACTTCTGTGATGAATTTGAGGAAATTTTACAATGGTCTATAGGTGAAGTATCATTCTTACATATAAGCCATTCCTCCAGAAAGCACATTACACCCATTATAGAGGAAATACTTCTTGAAAATAAAAGGCATAGGGCCCCTTTCTTGGAAGAATCTCTCTATAAATAGTATTAATTTTTTAGCTTAGACTATGAAAGATTAAGTGACGTGATCAAAGTTAGGGAAAGATTGTCTTTCTTTGATTTGGAAAGAGACCTGTATTTTCTCAGCAGCTGGCCTCTCTTTCCCTTAGAGTTTTGGAGCTTGGCCTCAAAATCTCTCTGGTGTGGTGAAAGGGCTTTTGCACTGGTTCTTTGCAAACCTGTAAAGATAAGCATGTGAGCCTAAAGGTCATTACTTCCTGGGGAAGAAAAAAACTCATGGCTTGAGGTTAGGAGGAAGAGCAAACCGAAGGCACATTCTCTTTTCCTTATATTCCTGCTGGCACAAAAGCAATTCTCTGATTCCTATCTACTCTGATTCCCTCAGCTACTTTTAAACAAAGGGAAAAATAATTCTGATGAGAACAAAATATTTATTTCTTCCACTCCAGTGTGGTCAGGGGTAACTCAGAAAGTTGGCTGAAACTTGAGTGCTGAGTGATGGTCTCTAAGCATCATCCAGCTCTGCCAAGTCCCTGGCCCTCGGGGCCACTCTGCCGGAGCTGAGGTTTCCTCTGCACTTCTTATACTGCAGCCCAAGCTCCAAGGGCCAGTGCTTCTTTCTGTTCAAACTTTCTGTTCAACCAAGCTTCACTAAGTAGGCACTCTGCCCTCTACAGCCATCCACCATCTTGGTCACCACATTCCTTGATACCAAAACCTTACCAGAGTCAACACATTGCCAGAATTGCATGACATTTATTGTGTGGCACTGAAGGGAGAGATGCCTCTTTCCCTTTCATTTTTGTGTGTTTATGCCCCTTCAAAGGGATTGCGAAGCAGCACTGTATATGACTGATTTCTTAAAGATACTTCTGTGAAATAACTCAGAATAATTTTGGTTCCTGATTTCATGAGAAAGAAAAGGTAAGTTTGATGAAGTTGTGATTGGAAAACAAATTTCAATAACTGAAACCGAGCTGTACTCAGAAATGCCCCTTGGTGGCAGCCAACACTCTGTTACTGAGGTGAGCCCTGTGTTCCTGACTTGGTCTTGCCCCAAATGAAGTTCTCCAAAGATGCTCCTCAGTCCCCATGAAAGCGGGCTTCTAGAGCTCTCACTTCCCCTGCCTGGATATACCTGAGTCCCATATTCAAGCCAGAATGCTCAATACAAGGTCACCAAATGAAATAGCAAAGATAGCAAAGGTAATATGAAGAGAATACCATTGATATTTTACACATCTTGAGTGACTGGTATTCACAGAGGTACAAGCGTAGTTTCCATTTACCTTCTTCTATGTCAGGGGCTGGAAAAACATTTTCTTTAAAGGAGCAGACGGTAAATATTTTAGGCTTTGCAGGCCATCTGGTTTGTGTCTGAATTACTCAACTCTGCTAGTGTAGCTCAAATCAGCCATAGACAATATGCAAATGAACGAGCATGTTTGTGTTCCAGTAAAGCTTTATTTACCAAAACAGGTGGCAGGCCAGATTTATTCTGCAGGTTGTAGTTTGCCAACCTCTGTTTCATGTGATTGAGGTATTTCAAGATCTTCTATCTTTGAAGTGTAAATGAAATGCTTGTAATTCATTTTGCTGATCTACATATCGAAAAAAAGCATTTGATTGATATTTTCTTTTGTTGTTGTTGTTCTTGGTCTTCCATTTAAATGTTCAGTGCTTTATAATTATGAACTGTTGAAACATGCCTTTAAGGTCTCGAATTGCAGTTAACTTGGGAGCTTGAGATATGAACAGTCTGGGAAATGTTTACTTAACTCAGTCATATTGCCAGAGCTAAGTAGGTATTTCTCAACCGCTCTCCCAAATACAGAAGTTAAACACAGCCTTAATGCTACCTCATGTGCACATGAAAAGACAGAAGAGGTACCTGATTCTTCTAAGACATCTATCAGCTTCTTCACTCCAACCCATTCCCAAGTAGTTTTAAGGCCACGATTATTTCACATCCACTTTCTGTAGCTGAGCCAAGACCATGCTATACACTTGATCTTAGCCAAAAGACTGAGAAGCAATCAAGACTACACTGTACAAACTTTCTCCTACTTTGTTTTCTGCCCTCTCTCCTTTGCTTTTCCATCCCTAGTTCCACCTTTTTGCAATTATGCCTTCAATGAGTGTCTAAAAATCGGCATATGCAAAATTAACATCAGGATTAAGAAAAAGATATGAAGAAATAAATATAGATGCACTATAGTTCCATGTAAGAGGATCTCAAAGTTGGAAAAATATTTCACTTTCTATTTCAAGAATAAGTTAAATATTCTTGCTTTTATTCAACAAACAAGCATGGAACAACCAGTATGTGCCTGACACTGTGTCTTGCATTTTGCACGGGTTGTCTCATTTAGACACTATTAGATTGTGCTGCCTAGTGACCCACTCCAAAACCTAGTAAATTCAAACAAGAAATAGCATTTTCATGATTGTATGCACTATTAAAAGGCAAAAATGGGCTTGTCTGCAAATATATCCCATTGGTTACTCTGCTCATGAAACCACAAGAAGATTTAAAAGTGAAATCTATCAACAAGAAATTAAGAATGTCATTTCACTGATAAATGATACTAAATAGTATTTTTAAAGTTTTCTTATTTTTAACTTTTCCCAAATATCCATTTAAAGGAAGAGAAAGCTGAAAGGGCACAAAACGCCTCTGAGAGCTCATGTCACAATTCTGCAGGTACCTCTTGTCTGGGACCTCATATGGGATGGCTGCTCAGCCCTCACCACCAGGTCCTCACCCTGAAGCCCACCATCCTGGGCTTGTCACCTAGTGGCAGAAGGCTACTGACAGCAAGAGAGCAGTCACCAATGTGCAAGCACTTTCAAGCCTCTGTTTGGATTACTTTTGCACTTGTTGCATTGGCCAAAACAAGGCACTGGTCAAGGAGTAGAGAAATAGACTTCACCTCTTGTAAGAGAATCAGGAAAGTCACCTTGCAAAATGTCATGCATACAGAGATGTGTGAATACATTGGGGTCATGATTACAACAACCTATCCCAGCCAACTCAATCTATCCAGTGCCTCAAACCACAAACTCCAGTATGGAATATAAAGGGAAAGTTTCAAGAAAAATCATCATACTCTTTTCTAATATGAGTCACTGTCATGGTACCAGGGAGATGCTGAAGGAAGAAACACAGTGAAGAGGTCAAAGCTAATCGTGGAGAGAAACTAAAAGACCATCACAAAGAGAAGAGGGGAAAATTGATATAAAGAGCTTCTGATAGAAGTCACCTTAAGGCACTATTTGTCCCTAAGAGGAATGTTAATTTTTTGATCTTAGAATAGAAAGGGAACAAGGAGAAGAAGAGATTAGAGCCAAAGAGAAGAGAAAAGGAATAAAGAAAAACAAAAGAGCTCATTGAATATAATGGGAATGGAAGAAGGGAGATATTTAGAGTAAAGGGGGTAAGCGAGAAGGCAAGAAGGAGTGAGTGAGTGACAGAGAGGGAGAGAGAGAGAGAGAGAGAGAGAGAGAGCACTCCACAGGGACCCTATTTAAAGGTCAGATGCACGACAGAGAGTTTATAAACATTTCTCAGACTGGTAGTAATGAGAAGGAGGAGCTTTGATTCTGAAACTTATTTTCCTTCATTAGTTAGTTTATCTTAGTTGAAATCAAACGCCAGAAGCAAATTCCCTGTAGACCGCAGCATAATAAATAGGTTTTTGAGGTCTTTTCTGCAAGCCGCTGAATAAGTATCCTCCGATCCTTTTATTATTTCCTCCTAAAAGAGAATTAGAAAAGGGTGCTGCCGGCACACAAGCCATAATATGACCACTGATGCTGGCAAACAGGAAGGCCCGCAGCTTCGTTGCCAGGGTGTGGGTGCTGTAACCCCGGGGCCTCACAGAATGGCTCTGCCAATTATACTGGGGTGGAATTATGGCTTTCTACCTTGTATAGCTGTCCCACCGGAAAAACAACGAACCAAAAATAATAGGGAAAAAAAACAAACCCACTCTGCACTTACTGTGGGCCCCAGAATGATCCTGTATTTAAGAACTGAACCCCTTATTTGGAGAATGCTTCTTCTTCCTTTTAGGCTTTGATTGTAATAGAAGAAAAAGTTAGCCTCCTCTGGTGCCCCAGTGAACATCAGAACACCACATAGTCCCGAACGCTTGGCAAGAATTTTCAAATGCACATAGAAGGTAATGTCATGAACATAAAGTCATTATTCCTCAGTGTACTTCCAACAGGCACGTTGGATCCTACAGAACTGAAGAGCCGAGAAAGGAATGAGATATGTGTTGCCTCTGATACGAGGAGTAGATGGCGATTGTATTGCAGGAATTGAGCAATGTACAGGAAACGCTGAACTCACAAGGGCTAAAATCTAGTGGCTGTTTTCATTATAATTAAAACTTTCAGGCTGCTTCTGAAACTCTGGATTTTAACTTTTTGCAGGAACCAGACCTTCCAGTTAGATTTCTAGCACTTCTTGCTCCCAGTTAGTGTTAAGCGGAGACCACAAAACAAAACAAAACAAAACAAAACAAAACAAAACAAAACAAATAACTATCTTCAGAGTTTGGAGGAGGGGAGGGAGTGGGAGAGGTACTGCGAGTGTGGATCTCTTTGCCAGTCATGGTCCAGTCATGGTCCATCCAGGAAAGAAGATACTACTTTTACTCTTTCACATAGAGAGGATTGAATGCTTGGAATTGGTTACACAGGCGATAGAAAAGCTGAAAGACCAAACAAAGGAAGATGATGCAATCAGAGATTATCAATAGCAAGAAGCTGCTCACATCCCAGGTAGCCAAGGCCAGCTGACAAGAACATGCTTTGGGACCTGGAATCCCAGGAGGCCCTGCAGTGGGAGCTGGAGCCACCCATATGCTGCTGGTGGAGATGAAGCTGGAGTGTTGTGCCCTTTCATTTGGGTGCATATTATTCTTTAGTTCACTAACTGTGTTTCTTAGAGTCTTCTGAAGATTCCTCTTTCTCTGACTACCTCCTAGGGATCCCTCCGTGGGTCTCTGGTCACCTCACTCTTCATACTCTTCCTGGGCAATGAGATCCACACTTGAGGCTTTGCTTTCTACTCAAAAGTTGATGATTCAGAAATGTCTCCACCCCAAAACTCTCTCCTGAGCTTTGGACTCCAGTAGTTAAACTACTACTGTATATTTTCACTCAGATTTCCTCAAAATGTATCAAACTTGAAAACTACAAGCAAAACAACCTCATGTTCCTTCCCGTGCACCACTGCTCCCCTGTCCAGATCAACGGTACCTTGGTGTATCCAGCTACCTAAGCAGAAATCTGGATGTCAGCGTTGAGAGTCCCACCACCTGGGGAAGAAAAACACCATTCATCTTCTTCATATCACACTTGGAATTTTCCCACATCTCTCCATCTCATGGCTTGCAACCTTTGGTTCAAGCCATCATCATTCTGTGCCTAGATTGTTCCTACAGTTTTCTGATCCATGTGCCTGTATCCTGTCTGGATCCTTTTCAGCCCTTCTCCACACTTCAACCAATGCAATATTTCTAAAAGGTACGTCCTTTTAATACCTTTCAGTGCCCCCTCACTGCCCTTAAGACAAAGTCTAAAGTCCTTAACATAGTTTATGAAACTATCAGAACATGACCTTACTTAACTCTTCATCCCAGTCCTCAACTTTTCTTCACTTCCACTCCTAACTCTCATCTCTTCTCTTTCCTTTTTCTTCTCCTCATCCTCCTCTCCCTTCTCTTCCCTCCTTTGCCCAACTCCCAGCTCAGGTTATGTGTAAACAATTGCAGTTTTCTTTTCTTTTTTTTTTCAGAAGGAGTCTCAGTCTGTTGCCCAGGCTGGAGTTCAGTGGCGTGATCTTGGCTCACTGCAAACCTCTGCCACCCGGGTTCAAGCAATTCTCCTGCCTTAGCCTCCCGAGTAGCTGTGATTACAGGCACCTGCCACCACACCTTACTAATTTTTGTATTTTTAGTAGAGAGGGGTTTCACCATCTTGTCCAGGCTGGTCCTGACCTCGTGACCCACCCACCTCGGCTTCCCAAAGAACAATTGCAGTTTTCTCAACATGCCATTTCTCTCATTTGCAAACTATCCCAGTAACCTCTCTTTTTGGAAGACCTCTTCCACACCATTAAGTTCTGCCCAACGCAACAACACAATGACCACCTTCATCAGGCTAAGTCCTACACACCCTTCCCTTACCTCTCTTCCTTACCTCTATGACTTGTTTAGATGGCTTTCCTCTTTCCCTGTAGAACTGCACTTTTTCTTTCGTAGCATTTAACATGATGTACTCTATTATCTTGTTCCTGTTATCCTATCTTTTTCTCCAAAAATAGCTCCTTGAGGATGTAGCTATTCCTTTTCCCCCACTGTATCTCTAAGACAAAGCACAGGGCTTGGCAGAAAGAATATCTATTTACTGAATAAATAAGCTCTTCTGTTTTAAATTTATTAAATATTTGCCTATAACAACTACGACTATTTTTGCTCATGAATTCACACTCTTGAAGATAATTATTACCTTTAAAATGACTATATTTTAAAAGGCATTTCAGTTTTGTAGTTGTACCGCTACATACCAAGCCTTAGGATGTTTGAAAAAACTGTTCAGTTATGTTCAATATATGAAAAGTATAATTTACCAGAAAGAAAATCTGATGGATAAAAAAGACTCAAAACTATACCAATGTCTTTTTATCCAAAGAGCAACTCAAAAATTTTTAACATTTGTCTTTATGAAGACATGAAATTGTCTATAAAACAAAGGCATAGACCTAAGACCAATGAATGGAAAGTATAAATAAAGCAGAGCTTCCTGAGAGTGAAGCTTACCCTCTGAAGGCATGGAATGAGGTGTGTCCCCCCATCACTAAGTAATCCAAGTGCAGATCAGATCAAATCATCAGATGGAGGTGGACTCCTCACCTGATAGTGAAGGTTCTTTCTAACCCAGCAGTATGATTTTGATTCTGATGATTTAAAAATTTACCTCTGATACACATAGAATTTTAGACCTGGAAAATATCTGAGAAGTTAACACAGAATCTCAGGGTAGAAACCTTGAAGAAAGTTATTGCATGAGCCTTTGAGTATGCCTGTTCGGTTGAATAGCTAGAATTTCTATTATTTTAGGAGAAAGTCCATTTTTTAAACTGAGATTAAGTAGTTTTCCATTTAGGATATTTTTAAATGATTATCTTTGAATGACAAACCTCTAACATATTAAATATAGTTTGAAGTAGAATTCCATAAACATCAGTTTTGCCTCGCAGCTGTTGACTGAGTATTCAGTCGGCAATTGGTAGTGTGTACATTTGGGTTGTTACCCAGCCATCACAAAACCATGAAGTTGCAAAGTTGACCTTTGTTGTCATTTGGTACCCCTTTTCTGCCCAAGTCCTACACCTACCTTATCTGTCAGGGCTTTACAGCTTTCTCCATGATTCCCAGATTCTTCCCTCTGTGATCCTCATCTGTAACCACTCATCCAGTTAGTGTGCCACAAACCTGTGGGTACATGCCAAGTCACCTCAGTTTCTCCAGTAGACTGGTTTTTGGAGACAGATTTTAGACCACATATGTGTAGAGTCATATTTGGGTACAAGCATGCACTTCTGAACAGGGCTGCTACATTCAACATTCCAAGAGTACAGTTTTTGACCATCAATTTCTTTTGCATTACAATTTATAAGGCTTGGACTCTAGGAAATAATCCCAGGACCTTTGTAATTCCTGCTGGGCTCTCTATTCCTGCTTTTTCACTCCATGGTATTCTAACTATTGGCCTATCCCATGCTGTGTTGGTTAGATAAAAGTGTACAAACATAAAAAGTAACAGAAAAGGCTGGAACAATTTACCAAAGACACATCAGTAAGTAAATTAATTCTATATCAAGTAGAAATCCTTGCTTATAGCATTAGCACTCCAGAATTTGTGCAACCCTTCTCTCTTACCTAAACTACATGTTTATTTCTCATTTCCTCAGGGCTCTGCTAAATGAATCATTATCTGATCTCTGAAAAGTCATTTCATTAGATTATTAATGCTCAGCATTATTTAATATCTTCTCCCAGAAAATATTTGCATTTTGAGAGGTTCCCTCAGTGTCTTAATCAAAATATTGATCAATAAGTTAATTTTAGGCATCATTCTGGACATTTAGGAGACATATTAAATCTTAGAGAAAGCCACCTATGCTTAGTCCTATTCTAATTTGTGGTTCTGATCATTAGGAAGTTTTTGAACCCATCCCCAAGAAAATGTTCCAAGCGTGGTTAGTGAGGTACCTGCTTTAGATCCAGTGGCCACAGTTCAGCTTCCAGACTTTATACCCCATGGCATTGTAACCCTGGACATATATATTGGCCCTCTCTCTAAATGATTCTTGCCATGGCAAGAAACATCATTAGAATTTGCCGTAAGTCATTTGTTACAGATTGGAAGTGCCCCACTGAGAAACCCCTTAAATATGAAATATTTATTTACTAAGAAATGCCTGCGTTTTTCAACTACTCATTACAATGGGATTTAGAAAAGTCATCCTGTTGTTGATGACAAAGGAAGTGACACACAGAACGGGTGTGGATAAATACCAGCAAGGGCTTTGCTCTCTCGGAGTTGGCCTAGTGTTGTTATTTGGCAAGCTTTCTTTTTTTCCCTAGCTGGTTTATTCATCTTCTGTTTACAGAATCTTGAGCCTCTATTTATACTTTAAAGGCAACAGAACTTTACTTAGTTTCTAAGGCAGCATTGCCTTAGGAAGATCATAGAACATATCCTGAGTGTGGCATTCGACCTTTAAAGATGGATTTGTTGTTCAACCCCAGAGGTGGATCTCTGCAGCATATTATTTTAAAGAGGGCAGTGTAGTCCACTTCACCGCAACCTAGAAAATAGCAAGCTATTTGCTCTCCGGCAGTGACCATTTTTTCCTAAACAAATGGAGATAATTGTCTATTTAATTTATGACTTGGGGCAAGTCACTTATTGCCTGAAAATGTTCATTGGAAAAGCCTGGCATTTTCAGACTAAAATATGCTATAATTTGGGCCACAGTTGGTTATTTATTTTAATCTAATCATCTTCTTTCATTTTTATATCATCAATATTGATTAAAGATATATATTTTTAAAAAACAGCTTCTTCCTGTTTCTACTAAATTACCTATTAAAGGCCCAGAAAAACATAAACATTCATAACAACAGAGAACATTAGAACTTACAAACAGCCCATTGCCAGAATATGCGGTAAATTTCTACTAATTACAAGGATGAAATAACTAGTTTGAAGTAAAAGGACCTTGATTAGGCCAAAAGCCAAGTGGTGAGTGTCAGAGATTAGGTTTCATGAGTCTGTAAGTAAGAAAAAAAAAAGGGTCCCACCTAAAGCAATACAGAACATCAAAAAATGGAGAGGCATTTTAGGTTAGAAACTTTTAAGGAAAAACAAATCTTATGCAGTAGCAACAACAGGTTTGGAATAACAAGAGCATTCACTAGATATTTGGTAAAATTTTTAATAAATGAACCTATTAGCCAGTCATTGCTAAAAATATCTGGTTTTTGTCCTGCTTTACCTGAGGAAAGTTAATGAAATTGATCTGAAAGAAGATTAAGAGTCTCTGAGAGATACCATCTACTCATCCTGTCAACACTGCAACTTACTATTACAGTAAGAAAATACAAAAGCATCCCTGAGAATAGAAATAAATATATTCCTTAGGTTTAAAGATTGCTAGGAAGAATCTAACGGCATTTTCTTAATATATGTAATAGTTTGGAATATTTTCCATTCTTACTCTAATTAACATTTATGAAATTAACAGGTTAGAAGAAAAAGTTCTAAGGTTTCTCCTTCAAAAATCATGTCCTAAACTTCAAGTTTAAAATTGACCCTCATGGTAGCCCATGACAAAGCTTCTCCAAAATGCCTACTAAATACCCCCAAAGAGGAATTCCACTGAAAGTGATAGCAGTGTAGGTTGTTTCAGATCAACAATCAGGCAGAATACAAGTCGAAAAACGGACAAAATACTTTAAAAAATCTGCTTGAAAGTATCAGAAATCTGTCAAGGTAATGATAGTTTCAAGATCAAGATTTGAAAGAAAAGGGAAATCAAGTGATTGCCAATTTCAGAATGAAAAGCTGTATGTGAATGGCCAAGAGGCTGAGCAGGTCTTTGGCAAATACAATGAGGTAGAAAGACAAAAGTTGCAGTTTAGAGACCAGGAAAGAAAGACCCTGGTAAAAATGCCAGCTTTTCACTTACTATCCTAAAGGCTACATCTTAGAAGTAATGGTAAAATGGAAAGAAGAGTCCTCACAAGGACTGAAACCAAATTTGAGTCTTCTAAGTTTCTAATAGATTAATATAATGTGACTCTAGTTTAGTTGTCTACCTGAAGCAAAAGTAAATCCTATTATTCTTAATGGAACATCATATAACACCTTAAAACTCCATTCTATTTTCTACAACACAATGTCTATACACAAACAAAAATAATCAGGCATACAAGAAGATAATAATTGGCCGGGCGCGGTGGCTCACGCCTGTAATCCCAGCACTTTGGGAGGCCGAGGCGGGTGGATCATGAGGTCAGGAGATCGAGACCATCCTGGCTAACAAGGTGAAACCCCGTCTCTACTAAAAATACAAAAAATTAGCCGGGCGCGGTGGCGGGCGCCTGTAATCCCAGCTACTCGGGAGGCTGAGGCAGGAGAATGGCGTGAACCCGGGAAGCAGAGAGCTTGCAGTGAGCCGAGATTGCGCCACTGCAGTCCGCAGTCCGGCCTGGGCGACAGAGCAAGACTCCGTCTCAAAAAAAAAAAAAAAAAAAAAAAAAAAAAAAAAAAAAAAGAAGATAATAATTAATCAAAGCACAGCAGAAAAACATACAATAGAAATAAATCAGTAGGAAATTTGATTTTGATAAATGATATTTGATTTATCAGACATGAACATTTAAATAACTATGCACATATACTGTGTGAAATGGTAAACTGAATATACTCATTGCCCAAAATTGATAAATAGATTGAAAAACATACCAATCAAAATATCAGTAGGCTTTTCGAATGGAAATTCATAAAATACATAAAATATGTATGGAAATGCAAAGGATCTAGTATAGTCAAAATAATTTTGAAAAAGAAAAAATATTGGAGTATTTATACTACATAAACAGAATAGAGTATGGAAATATACCTATACTTTGTGGCCACACTTATTTGACAATGTGCCAAAGAAACTCAATAAGGGAAAGAAAGTGTTTCCAATGAAACGTTCTGAGGCAATTAGATGTCCACATGGAGAAGATGAACTTCAGTCCCTATCTCACACCACATACAAATCTATTATTTATTTATTTATTTATTTGTTTGTTTGTTTGTTTTTCTTTTATTTCAATAGGTTTTTGGGAAATAGGTAGTATTTGGTTAAATGTGTAAGTTCTTTAGTGGTGATTTCTGAGATTTTGGTGCACCCGTGACCCGAGCAGTGCACACTGCACCCAATGTGTAGGCTTTTATCCCTTACCACCTTCCCACCTTTTCCTCCGGGTCCCCAAAATTCGTTGTATCATTCTTTATGTTCTCATAGCTTAGCTCCCAAGTGAGAACATACAATGTTTGGTTTTCCATTCCTGAGATACTTCACTTAGAATAATGGCCTCCAACTCCATCCAGATTGCTGTGAATGCCATTATTTTGTTCCTTTTTATGGCTGAGTAGCATTCCATAGAATATATGTACTGCATTTTCTTTTTTTAAAATTTCAATAGATTTTTGGGGAACAGGTGGTGTTTGGTTACATGAATAAGTTCTTTAGTGGTGATTTCTGAGATTTTGGTGCACCCATCTCCTGAGCAGTGGACACTGTACACAATGTGTAGTCTTTTATCCCTCATCTCCCTCCCATCCTTTCCCCTGAGTCCCAAAAGTTCATTGTATCATTCTTATGCCTGCCCGTCCTCATAGCTTAGCTCCCAGTTATGAGTGAGAACATACGATGTTTGATTTTCTCATCCTGAGTTCACTTAGAATAATGGTCTCCAATTCCATCCAGGTTGCTGCAAATGCCATTATTTTGCTCTTTTTTTTGGCTGAGTACTATTTCATAGTGTACATATATATATATATGGCACATTTTCTTTATCCACTTGTTGATTGGTGGGCATTTGGGCTGGTTCCATATTTTTGCAATTGTGAATTGTGCTGCCATAAACATGTGTGTGCAAGTATCTTTTTTGTATAATGACTTCTTTTCCACTGGATAGATAACCCAGGAGTGGGATTGCTGGATCAAATGGTAGATTTATTAATACTTTTAGTTCTTTAAGGAATTTCCACACTGTTGTCCACAGTGGTTGTACTAGTTTACATTCCCATCAACGGTGTAAAAGTGTTCCTTTTCCCCACATCCACACCAACATCTATTATTTTTTGATTTTTTGATTATGGTCATTCTTGCAGGAGTAAGGTTGTATCACATTGTCGTTTTCATTTGCATTTCCTTATCATTAATGATGGTGTATTTTCACGTTTTGTTTGAAGATTTAGGACTCTTTTTAGCAGTTCTTCTAGTGCTGGCTTGGTAGTGATGAATTCTCTCAGCATTTGTTCATCTGAAAAAGACTTTATTTTTTCTTCATTTATGAAGTTTAGTTTCACTGGATGCAAAATTGCTGGCTGATAATTATTTTCTTTAAGAAGGCTAAAGATAGGACCCCAATTCCTTCTAGCTTATAAGGTTTCTGCTGAGAAACCTGCTGTTAATCTGATAGGTTTTCCTTTATAGGTTACCTGATGCTTTTGCTTCATAGCTCTTAAGATTCTCTCCTTCATTTTGACTTTAGATAACCTGATGACTATGTGCCTAGGTGATAATCTTTTTGTGACAAATTTCCCAGGCGTTCTTTGAGCTTCTTGTATTTGGATGTCTAGATCTTTAGTAAGGCCAGGGAAGTTTTCCTCAATTGTCCCCTCAAATAAGTTTTCCAAACTTTTAGATTTCTCTTCTTCCTCAGGAATACCAATTTTTCTTAAGTTTGGTCGTTTAACATAACCCTAAGCTCCCTGGAGTCTTTGTTCTTTTTTATTATTATTCTTATTTGTTTGTCTTTGTCAGATTAAGATAATTTGAAAGCCTTGTCTGCAAGCTTTGAAGTTCTTTCTTCTATTTGTTAAATTCTATTGTTGAAACTTTCCACTGTATTTTTGCACTTCTCTAAGTGTGTCTTTCATTTCCAGAAGTTGCAATTGTTTTTTATTTATGCTATCTGTTCCTCTGGAGATTTTTTCATCCATAACCTGTATTAGTTTTTAAAGTTCTTTAAGTTGGTTTTTACCTTTTCCTGGTGCCTCCTTAAGTAGCCTACTAATTGACCTTCTGAATTCCTTTTCTGGCAATTAAGAGATTTCTTCTTGGTTCGGATCCAAGAGTCCTGTGATATATGATCCATCTTCAGGTCTCTCAGCCATGGATACCAACACCTGCTCCAGTGAGAGTAACAGGGGAGTGAAGCAGACTCTGTGAGAGTCCTTGGTTGTAGTTTTGGTTAGTGTGCTGGTTTTCTTGAATGCTAGTTGTGCTAGCATTGAAGTTGTAACATGAACAGACTCAGGACCTCTGGTTAGCCAAAAAGTTACAGGTAGAGGAATTAGCTGTTGTTTTCTCCTTCCTTGGAGCAGGATTGTTCTACTATGAGTTGCTGTAATGGCTTGAGTTGGTTGGCCTCCAGCCAGGTGGTGCTTTCAAGAGAGCATCAGCTATGGTATTATAGGTGGGGTACAAGCTTGCCTTAAGGCCACCTGGATAAGTATTTTGGTTTCTTAGATGACGGGTGGGGCCATAGAGCTCCCATGGGTTTATGTATTTTCCCTTAGGCTACTGGGGTGGGTAGAGAAAAGCCATCAGGTTGGGGCAGGGTTAAGTGTGTCAGAGCTCAGACTCTCCTTGGGCAGGGCTTGTTGTAGCCACAGTGGAGTATGGAGTGTGGTTCTCAGGCCAATGGAGTTATGTTCCAAGGGGGATTATGGCTGCCTCTGCTGCTTCATACAGGTTGCCAGGGAAGTGGAGGATAACTGGTAGTGACAGACCTCACCCAGCTCCCATGTAGTCAGCAAGGCTAGTCTCACTACTGCCATGCTCCCCCAACAGCCAACAGAACCAAATTAATATCCACGCCTCCAGTGCACAGGGCTGAGATCTTGCCCCAGGCTATAAGCCTCCCCACTGCGAAAGCAAGAAGGGCTTTCGGGCCTCAGCCCTCACTTCTGTGCTCATATCTGTAACTCCTGTTCACCCCCTACTCTCCCTACATCTCCAGATTCTGCACAAGAAAATTCGTGCTCAGTGAAAATTATTACAAAGATAAGCTGGAAGTCTTCTCCAGTTGGACCTTCCCCAACTCCACAAGCTGCCTTTTCCAAGGACCCCCATGACATAAAGTCAGAAATTGCTTCCCTGGGGGGACTGTGAATGCCTCAGTACTAAACACTGAGTACACATGGACACAAAGATGGACACAAAATAGACACTGCGGCCTACCTGAGGATGGAGGTGGTGGTTGGAAGGAGAGTAAGGATTGAAAAACTACCTATTGGGTACTATGCTCACTACCTGACTGATGAAATAATTTGTATGCCAAACCCCAGTGACATGCAATTTACCCATGTAGCAAACCTTCACATGAACCCCCTGAACCTAAAATAAATAGTGGAAGGATATACTTTTAAAGAGATAAAAATAGAAATGTCAACATAGGTGAGATAAATGCAAACATAATCACAGCTGGGACATCTTGCATGGCCACAGGCAAGACAGAGCTTGTGTAGGGGAACTTCCCTTTACAAAACCATCAGATCTTGTGAGACTTATTCACTATCATGAAAAAAAGCACGGGAAAGACTCACCCCCATGATTCAATTACCTCCCATCGGGTCCCTCCCACACATGTGGGAATTATGGGAGCTACAATTCAAGATGAGATTGGGGTGGGGACACAGCCAAACCATATCATTCCCCCCAGCCCCTCCCAAATCTCATGTCCTCATATTTCAAAACCAATCATACCTTCTCAACAGTCCCCCAAAGTCTTAACTTATTTCAGCATTAACTCAAAAGCACAGTCCAAAGTTTTGTCTGAGACAAGGCAAGTAGCTTCTGCCTATGAGCCTGTAAAATTAAAAGCAAGTTAGTTACTTCCTAGATACAATGAAGGAACAGGTATTGGATAAATACACCTGCTCCAAATGGGAGAAATTGGCCCAAACAAAGGGGCTACAGGCCCCATGCAAGTCCAAAACCCAGCGGGGCAGTCAAATCTTAAAGCTCCAAAATGATCTCCTTTGTCTCCATGTCTCACATCCAGGTCACACTGATGCAAGAGGTTGGCCCCCACAGCCTTGGGCAGTGACACCCCTGTGACTTTTCAGGATGTAGCCCCCCTCCTGGCTGCTTTCATGGGCTAGCATTGTCTGCGGCTTTTCCAGGCACATGGTACAAGTTATTGGTGGATCTACCATTCTGGGGTCTGGAGGACAGTGGCCCTCTTCTCACCACTCCACTAGGCAGTGCCCCAGTGAGGACTCTGTGTGGGGGCTCACACCCCACATTTCCCTTCCACACTGCCCTAGCAGAGGTTCTCCATGAGGGCCACACTCCTGCAGCACACCTCCACCTGGATATCCAGGCATTTTAATACATCCTCTGAAATCTAGGTGGAGGTTCCCAAATTCTTGACTTCTGTGTACCCACAGGCCCAACACCAAATGGGAGCTGCCAAGGCTTGGAACTTGCACTCTCTGTGGCAAAGACCTGAGCTGTACATTGGCTGTACATTTAGCCATTTTAGCCATGGCTGGGATGCAGCTGACCAAGTCTGGAGAGGTTGCTATGAAGACCTCTGACATGCCCTGGAGGCATTTTCCCCATTGTCTTGGTGATTAACAATTGGCTCCTCATTACTTTTGTAAATTTCTGTAGCCAGCTTGAATTTCTCCTCAGAAATCACATCATCAGGCTGCAAATTTTCTGAACTTTTATACTCTACTTTCCTTTTAAACATAAGTTTCAACTCCAAACCATATATTTGTGAATGAATAAAAGTGAATGCTTTTATAATAATAATAATGCTTTTATTTTAACTGTACCCAAGTCACTTCTTGAATGCTTTGCTGCTTAGAAATTTCTTCTGGCAGATGTCCTAAATCATCTCTTTCAAGTTCGAAGTTCCACAGATCTCTAGGGCAGGGGAAAATTCTACCAGTCTCTTTGCTAAAGAATAACAAGAGTCACCTTTGCTCCAAATCCTGACAAATTCCTCATCTCCACGTGTGACCAACTCAACTTGGACTTCATTGTCCATATCACTATCAGCAGTTTTGTCAAAACAATTCAAGAAGTCTCTAGGAAGTTCCAAACTTTCCCACATTTTCCTGTCTTCTTCTGAGCCCTCCAAACTGTTCCAACCTCTGCCTGTTACCCAGTTCCAAAGTCGATTTCACATTTTCAGGTATCTTTACAGCAGCACTCCACTCCTGGTAACAATTTACTGTATTAGTCTATTCTCAAACTGCTAATAAAAACATACATGTAACTGGATAATTTATAAAGGAAAGAGGTTTAATTGACTCACAGTTCCACATGGCTGGGGAGGCCTCACAATCATGGTGGAAAAGCATGCGACATCTTGCATGGTCACAGGCAAGAGAGAGCTTGTGTAGGGAAACTCCCTTTATAAAACCATCAAATCTTGTGAGACTTATTCACTATCACGAGAAAAAGCATGGGAAAACCCCCCGCCCCATGATTCAATTACCTCCCACCAGGTCACTCTCATAACACGTGGGAATTATGGGAGCTACAATTCAAGATGAGATTTGAATGGGGACACAGCCAAATCATATCAGAACATAAATAGTTTTGGCCAGTTGCCATGGCTCATGCCTGTAATCCCAGCACTTTGGGAGGCCAAGGAACGCAGATCATTTGAGGTAAGGAGTTTGACACCAGCCTGGCCAACATGGCTAAACCCTGTCTCTACTGAACATACAAAAAATAGCTGAGTGTGGTGGCACACACTTGTAATCTCAGCTTCTGGGGAGGCTGATGCAGGAAAATCACTTGAACCTGAGAGACAGAGGTTGCAGCAAGCTGAGATCACGCCACTGCACTCCACCCTGGGCTACAGAGTGAGACTCTGTCTCAAAAAATAAAAATAAATAAAAAACAAGAACTTACATAGTTGTAATGATTGATCCTTAAAAATATACTAAGACTCACTAACATCACCATGAAATATTTTTTTCTTAAAAGAGATGAAATTTATAGAGTATAACTATTGCTTCAAGCTGTTATACCAATATCTGTATGTTTTTCCTCCAGAATATTAGCTACAGGTTGCAACAAAGTAGAGAAGAACAAAAGGGAACACATATAATGTTTGCAATATTCCTGTTAAAAGTTCTTTTTTTTTTCATTTGCCAGCTTCTTTCATGTATTTGTTAGAGAAAAAATAGAATCATCTCCTTTAGTGCCTCAAATGGAATAAAAGCATCGTGATTGCATGTTTCCATTGAACTTTCCCAAAGCATAATTTTAAACAAGGTTGTCAGGAAAAACTCACTAGTAAGATTACATTTGAATGAAGACTTAAGAGAGTAAGCCATGCCAATGGCTGGTGAAAGTGCTGCAGGCAGAGGAGAGGTCAAGTTCAAAGGCACTAAGATAGGCCAGGGAGGGAGGGGTGTACAGTTCATATTGGGCATTATAGTTCATTTGGTCTTTACTATGAGTGAGATGGGCAGTTATTGAAAAGTAAATGATCTCCTTTATCTTTTAAAAGAATTACTCTGGATGTTGTATGGAAAATAACCTTGAGACAGGGTGTAGGTGGAGTGAGAGTGGATGTAGGAAGCTCAGTTATGAGGCAACTACCATAATCAAGGTGAGAGATGTTCATGGCTTGGCCCAAGGTGATGTTCTGTAGAATGATGAAAAGTGCTCAGGTTCTGTATATATTGGAAAGGCAGAATCAACAGAATTCACAGACAGGCTGAATATTGAGAATTAGAAAAAGAGGAATAAAGCTTATTAATTTTACTCAACTATTTTTCAACCTACCAAAACCAACAATACAGTGATCCCACCACCTTTTAAAACTTTTGTCTTTTTTTGTCTTTTGTCTCCATTCATGGGCACATTTTCCTTTTGGCATAACAGTGACTTTGTGCCTATGATTATAAATGATCCTTTGTATATACTTCATCTCCCATGTATGGCTCCCCGACCATTGAACTCACCTGGAACTCACTTGCCTTGTTAATTCAAGTCTTGGCCTAATGTGTACTTGAATCTAGAGCTGGCATAGCTAGAGAAAAGCATGGGTTCATGCTTACTGATCTCACTTTAAACGTATTACTGACGACCTCACGCTAGACATTAGAGTTGCCAGCAATCTTACAATACCCTAATCCAATCAGTTTTACTTCCCATATTTTCCAGATGCCACAACATCTCTTTCCTCAAAATTCCATCAACCCCTCTCCTGTTGTCTTTCCATTGATGGCCTTGCTTCTTAAATTCCTGAGAAAATAGAAGTGATCAGAAGAGAATTTCCACAAGCTGCAACTAACCCTACCACCCTCCCATCTATATCAATATCCATATTCTCTGCCTTACTTCCTATTACTACAAATAAACGGTCCAATTCCTTATTAAAAGCCAACCCATCCCCTTGAACACTGATTCCCATCTTCTCTTTTATATTCAAAGACATGTCTTGGTCTTTTTTCCTACATTATTAAATTTCCCTGTGTATCAGACCATTCCCACCAATATGCAAATAGATATTGCATAATGTTTCCTCTTCTACTAACATTCCAATTCTCTGCTTCCCTTTAAAACAAATCTCTTCCAAAAATTATGTTTTATTGGTTCCATTTCTTCTTTTTCCATTTCTCTTGAACAGATTACAAACAAGTGTTTCTTTACATCACTTCATCACAGCAGCTCTTCTCAAGATCCTCCTTCCCCTCCACATTGTCTAGTTCAGTGATGAGATGTCAGTCCAAATCTTAATCCTACTTGACCTATCAGTGGCATTTGATGGCACTGAACACTCTTGCCTTAAAATAATTTTTCATACAACTTTGGGAACTTTTTTTTTTGAGTGGGGGGCTCTCTTCTCCCTTCACTGGCAGTACATTC
Source organism: Homo sapiens (assembly GCF_000001405.40). Taxonomy (NCBI): domain Eukaryota; kingdom Metazoa; phylum Chordata; class Mammalia; order Primates; family Hominidae; genus Homo; species Homo sapiens. The sequence goes on along the minus strand of NC_000007.14, from coordinate 42,556,684 downwards.
TTTATCTTTTTATTGGCTCCTCATTTCCCTGAACTCTAAACATCAGATGGCCAGGACTCAGTCCTTAGGTGTCTTCTCTGCATTCACTTACTTGGTGATCTCATCTAGTTTCATAGCAATAAATAATACTTATATTCTGATGCCTCCAAATTTATATCTGAGATCTCTTCCCAGAACTTTATATTTTCTTCCCAGATCTCTTTATATTTGCTTCCCAGATCTGAGATCTCTTCCCAGAACTGTATATTGCTATTTGGTTTGGGTGTCTAGTTGGAATCTCAAACTTAAAATGGCCCACTCAAATTGCTCATATGCCCTGTGCCACCAAACCTGCTTCTCCCACATTCTTGTCCATCTCAGTGAATGAAAATACCATTCTTCCAGTTGCTACGACAAGAAATTCAGAGTCCACCTTAAATTTTCCCTATATCTCATACCTCACATCCCTGGGAAAACTCTATCAGCCCTATCCTCAAATTATACTCAAAATTTGGCAAATTTTCACCAACTCCCCAAATACCACAATAATTTTAGTTACCAATTATTGAAGTAGCCCCTGGACTGGTCTTCCCCATTCTGTCCATGGCCCCCCTCTGAGTATTCATCACACAAAGAGCTAGAGTGATTCTTTTAAAATGTAAGTAATCTTCAGTTCCTTCAAAAATCTCATTTGCAATAAATGCTAAGTCCTTAAATAGTGGGCTAAAAGACCCTACACATTTTGGCCTCCTTAGTCCTTTTTGAATTTCCTTTATTTCATCCTTTTTCTCACCAAAACAGCCAAACACCTAATCATGTCCCCACTGTATTAGTCAGTGTCCTCTAGAGAAACAAAACCAATAAGATGACAGATTGATTGACTGATCAATTTATTATAAGCAATTGGCTCACAATTATGGAAGCTGGAAATTCCAATGTCTCAGTTCAAGTTCAAAGGCTGAGAAGATGCTATAAAACCATGAAGAGTCTATATCCCAGGTCAAAGGCTGCAAGGCAGGAGAATTTTCTCTTACTTGACAGAGGGTCAGCCTTCTGTACTTCAATTGGTTGGATGAGGCCCACCCACTATCGGGGGAACCAGTCCCCGATATTTCAATGTAGGTTCTTTTCTATTTTCCCTAAGTGTTGGCTGGTCTGAGAAATAAAGGGAAAGAGTACAAAAGAGAGAAATTTTAAAGCTGGGTGTCTAGGGGACACATCACATGTCGGCAGGTTCTGTGATGCCCCCTGAGCCATAAAACCAGCAAGTTTTTATTAGCAGTTTTCAAAGGGGAGGGAGTGTACGAATAGGGTGTGGGTCACAGAGATCACATGCTTCACAGGGCAATAAAAGATCACAAGGCAGAAGGTCACGGCAAGATCACAAGGTCAGGGCAAAACTAGAATTACCAATGAAGTCCCATGTCCCACTGTGCATGCATTGTCATTGATAAACATCTTAACAGGGTTCAAGAGCAGAGAATTGGTCTGACTACAATTCACCAGCCTGGAATTTCCTAATCCTAGCAAGCCTGGGGGCGCTGCAGGAGACTAGGGCATGTTTCATCCCTATCTACAACTGCATAAGGCAGACACTCCCAGAGTGGCCATTTTAGAGGCCCCCCCTGGGAATGCATTCTTTTCCCAGGGCTGTTAATTATTAATATTCCTTACTGGGGAAAGAATTCAGTGATATTTCTCTTACCTGTTTTCGGCAATAAGAGAAATATGGCTCTGTCCTGCCTGGCTCCCAGGCAGTCAGACCTAATGGTTATCTCCCTTGTTCGCTGGACATCACTGTTATCCTGTTCTTTTTTCAAGGTGCCCAGACTTCATATTGTTCAAACAAATATGCTTTATGAACAATTTGTGCAGTTAACGCAATCATCACAGGGTCCTGAGGCGACATACATCCTCAGCTTACAAAGATGATGGGATTAGGAGATTAAAGACAGGCATAGGAAATTATTGATTAGGGAAGTGATAAATGTCCATGAAGTCTTCACAGTTTATGTTCTTCTGTCACGGCTTTGGCATCAGCAGCTCCCTCCATTTGGGGTCCCTGACTTCCTGCAACAAACAACAGGGAAGGCAGTCTGTTTCACTCAGTCTTCCAATTTAAATGTCAATCTCATCTAAATACACCCTAACAGAATCACCTAGAATAATGTTTGACCAAATATCTGGGTACCTCATGGGCCAGTCAAGTTGATGCAAAATTAGCCATCACACCTGTGAAGGACTTTGGTGTTTTCTGTTCCTTATTAGAGCATTATTTCCCTAGCTATGCACATAGCTCTCTCCTTGACTTCCTTCAGGTCTCCTCTGAAATGTTGTATTATCAGAGAGGTGTGCACTCTGACCCCCCACTGCATCACACTGACACTTCCTGGTCCCCCTTCCTACTGTTATTTTTTCCCTTAGCACATGCCACCACCTGTTGTAGTGTGTATTTATTTATTTATTGACTATCTTTCCTTCCTCCACCCCCATTTGCATGTGAGCCACATGAAGGCAGGGATTTTGTCTATTTTATTCACTGCTGAGTACCCAGAGCCTGGCATATGGTAGTCACTTAGTGAGTATGTGTTGAATGAACTAATACTTGATTACAGCCTTAAAAATGACCTCACCAATACAATGCAGAGAAAAGAGGGGGAATGAATACAATTTACACTTGCCAAAATGATAATGTGATATCCTCTTGAGTTTTAGTATTCTGAAGGATTTTCCTCTAGCTCCTTGCAAAAACTGAATATATATATATTCAGTTTTTATATGTAATATATATTATATATAATAAATGTATATTACATTTATATATAAATATATATTTATATGTATGCATGTGTGTGTGTATTTAAGGGTCCTGCCCGTGTATAACCTGTTATGTTCTTGATTCTGCCTGTGTCTGAACTGCAAAGAAAATAACTGTTATATCAGAATTCAATTTTGTTCCTCAAGTCTTAAAAAAATATGCAGTAGAAAGGAATACAGGTTCATGGGACACATTAGCATCATTAATTCTAGTTGCTTTAGTTGCATAGCAGGTCAGTCCATGGCAGATTCAACACAGGCACTCTCAAAAAGTTGTTCCTATGTTATAAAGCAGGGTTTGACAAACTACGGACTACAGGCAAATTTGTTTCACTGCCTATTTTATTAAAAAAAGTTTTCTTGGAACACAGTCATATTCATTTATTCATGTATGGTCTATGGTTGCTTGCTCTATAATGGTAAAACTGTAACAGAGACCATATCACCCACAAACAAATATTTACTATCCTGTTCTTTACAGAAGAAGTTTTTTGACCCCTGCTCTAAGGAATATGGCATAACATAAAGCAGGCATCCCCAACCCCCAGCCCACATACTGGTACTGGTCTGTGACCCGTTAGACCAATACCAGTCTAACACAGCAGGAGGTGAGTGGTGGGTGAGGCAGTGAAGCTTCATCTGTATGTACAGCCTCTCCCCATCTCTCACATTACCACCTGAGCTGTGCATCCTATCAGATCAGCAGTGGCATTACATTCTCATAGGAGCACAAACCCTATTGTGAACTGCTTATGCAAGGGTTCTAGATTGCACGCTCCTTATGAAAATCTAATGCCTGATGATCTGTCACTGTCTTCCATCATCCCCAGATAGGACAATCTACTTGCAGGAAAAGAAGCTCAGGGCTCTCACTGATTCTACATTATGGTGAGTTGTATAATTATTTCATTATATATTATAGTGTAATAATAATAGAAATAAAGTGCACAATAAGTGTAATGTGCTTGATCATCTCTAAACCATACCCCAACATTTGTCCATGAAAAAATTGTCTTCCACAAAACCAGTCCTTGGTACCAAAAAGGCTGGGGACCACTGACATAAAAGATTGACAATAGGACAGATATATGAATGGGGCTAGGAGGATTGGGAGGAGGGAGGCCTTGCATAGTCGACTAGGCAATGTGGGATAAGGGAAGTAAGACCATGATCATAGAGAAAGCTGGTCAAATGTATGGAAAAAGATAAATATTGGCAAAAGAGTGTTCCTCTGCAGGGAATATGATCACCAAAGAGCAGCAACTGCAATGTTGCAAATAAGCTGTGCCAGTTGGACTGGAGTTTGTTGAGTCAATCTACTTATAAATCATATGTAAATCCTTGACAGAAAGAGACCTGCAACAGAACAAGAATGATATCATAGCTCAATAAAAATGTTTAGCAGAAGAGAAAAATGGAAATGCCTCATCTTTTTTAGGCTTGGGAAGAAAAACAGGTTGTTGGTAGCACAGTAAAGGGAGGAGAAAGACCTGACAGGTCAGCACAGCTGCTTCTTTTTCTGCCAGATCTTGTTACTGCTTATTCCATCTACACCTCAAAGCAAACACACATGTTCATACTGGTCTTTAGTGAAGCTGATTCTTTTGTGGATTACCTATTGGGAAAATACTTATGTTGGAGCAAAGAGAGGTGATATTAACCATAGATGTCTCAGTTATAGGTGGGCAGAACTGAGCCGGTTTTGGTAGGAGAGGGAGTTAGAGCATTCAAACAGTAGTTCCCACAGGACTGGGACAGAATGAAAGAGGTGAAGCCACTGAGGCATTAGGAGCCACCACCAGTACCCCTTTAGACCTCATGCGTAACTGCACAAAGCCTAAGCTCCAGCTGCCTTTGTCTGCTTAGTTCAAGGGCACAGAGTTGGAAGTTCCAGAAAATACTAATACCACTGCTGCTCTGTCCTGCCTCCCACCCGCCAGCAGCCCTCCACAAATGACTAAAGGGAATGGGCAATAAATGCCCCAAATCTTATATCTCATAAGGGATAACTCTGAGGCAGGTGCCCTATGTTTTTCTCCTGGAGTCCTGTGGTACTCTGCTCCTATCAGCCACAGTGACAGGTGACTCGAGAACATGCTCCTTTCTGTCTCACTCGCCCATTCTCTCCTTCCATCCTGGGAGCACTTAGAATCATTGTCTCCAGATCTTCTTTTAGGGGCATCCAAATTAAGAAAGCTGTCTACAATGAGGTGAGAGGCAGCACAAGAAAACTTACATGAGGATATGTCCAAATTGGTTTTGGATCATAATCCCTAAAGACACAATCCCAACTGTCGGAATTCCTAAAGATCAAAATCCCTAAAGCCTAAAATTCCTAATGTCTAAAATCTCAAAAATTACACTCACAGGATCACTACATCATATTAGATGGAACTATTACCTTGTTACTGTCTTTTTGCTGAAGAAAATTGATTTCAATGGAATCCCCAAACCATAATGAGAGATTTGGAATTAGGCTCCAGTGAGGATTCTAAAAGTGAATTTCAAGCTATTACCCATAAAGTTGTATTTTTCTGTTCAGTCCAATGCATTTGGCAGAAAATTCAGGTGAGTGGATTGGCCATATGATATGGCAACTATGAAAACTTTAGTTTAAAAATGAGTCATTTGTCTACATTGCATTCCTTCCAGCTGATGACATCCCAGGATCTTTTAATGAATTAAAGCTACATTTGCTTGAAGAAGCCAGTTAAGTTACCAAATGGTTAAAAAATAATTATATGCATGGTACTATAAGAAAATATTTATGAAACAGTGCTGTTCCATCATCAGTATTGTTTCCACCAAATTTATGGTCTGTATATGACCATATGTGGAATTGATTTCCAAATACCCAAAACAATATGGAAGCATCACACAGAAGATGGGAAAACTTAATAGGAAATGCTCCTGTTGGCATATGTTAAATCACAGAAAAAATTTCAAAAAGAGCAGCATCATGTGGAAAATGAATGTGAACATATTCTCCCAGGAGAGTCATATTTTAAAACAAAAAAAGGCAGCTATTCATTCTGATGCAAGACTTCAAAATACAGTTAATGAGTGCAAAAGTCAGCCAGCTTTTATGGACTATCTCTGTGTAATTACCCATAATCTACCCCTGTAATACACTTTTTCATATATGGAAATTTCTTTTTAGTATTTTTCTTTTCTTTTTTTCAGCTTTTTTTCCCACTATTTGAAATTGACAGAATTGTTTTTTACAATGTGCTATGCTGTGTATTTCATCTTCACATCATTTTCAATACTGGAGGTATAAATTGTATGGAAACTTTTAGAGAGTTGTCATTTGTTTTATGTATGTTTTTTGCAAATATGACCACATGAAATTGTGTTATCACCATGTTAACTTCGTGTATGAGCAGTGTGCAAGTATTTATAAACATTGAAACTTTATCAATAAATAAAGAGATGTCCTTTATGTACATCTGCATTTGTGAAAGATAAAATTTCTTGAGATGTTGGCTCTTGGGAGATCAGATTCTCACAGACCTGAAGAAATCAAATATACATATCTCTATTGTAGTATTCATGCCAAAAATATTTAACCTAAATGTAGTTATGAGACAACAATTAGTCAAATCCAGATTATGGCACATTCAATGACACAACTTACCTGGACTCCTCGAAAATGTCAAAGGTATGAAAAATAAAAAACAAGAACCTTCTAGAGTAAAGAGGACTAAAAGGACATGACAACCCAAAGCAGGGACAGTCCTGAGTGCATCCAGAATTTTAAAAAGCAAAGAAAGAAAAAAGAAAAAAAAAACAGCCTGTAAATGTCTGACTCATTTTCCTTTGAGATGACTTTTTGCCTGGGGCTCACAAGCCAGGAAAAGTACCAGTCTTTCTTTCCAAAACACCATTTCCATACTCAATTATACATTTAAGGGGTGGGAGTATTTCTGATAACCAGCCTTCTACGTAAATATTTCTCCATTTTAATTCTTTTATTCTTTCCTGTTCGTTCTTTTATTAGAGCAGAGGGTTGTACATTTTTTTTCAGCAATTTGTACTTAAAACGGCATTAGTTTAAATTATTTCAATTAGAATTTTCCCCATAATCTCAGACCCACGTAGCCTTACCTTAGTAATAGTTCTAACATAATGTTTTTATTTGTTTAGGCTTTGAGTACATTAAATCAGGAAGGCATAGGTAAGAATTCATTTAAATGGAATCATTGAAGCTTTAAGGGAAATAGCCAACCTTGAATAGAATGTTGGACAGTATCGAATATGGTTTATAACTATCCTGGTTTTCGAGTTTTTTGTTTTCTTGTTTTTTTTAACTAAAATACATTGAGGTATAATTTATATGCAATAAAATTCACCCATTTAAAGTGTGTGGTTTGATAAATTTTGATGAATGTATAGTGTCATTTAACTACCACCGAAATCAAGATAGAGAACATTTCCACCACTACAAAAAAGGTCCCTCATGAGTCATGACCCTTTGTAGACATTCCCTTCTCTCCACTCCTAGTCCCTGGCAATCCCTGATTTACTTTCTGTCTCTATAGTTTTACATTTGGAAGAATGTCATATAAATGGAATCATACAGTATATAAATTTTTGTGTCTGGATTCTTTCACTTAGCATATTTGAGATTCATCCACGTTTTAACATGTATCACTGGTTCGTTCATTTATTTTACTGAATACCATTTCATTTTGTGGGTGGACTATATTTTGTTTATCCATTGATTGTCCAGTTAATGGATAGTTACATTGTTTCTAGATTTTTTGATATTATGAAAAAGCTGCTATAAACAGTCACATGCAGGTCTTTGTGTGGACATATGTTTTTATTTCTCTTGGATAAATACCTAGAGCAGAATGGCTGTCAGATGGTAAGTATATATTTAATTTTATGAGAAAATGACAAACTGTTTTGCAAAGTGGTTGTAACATTTTGCATTTCCACCAGCAATATATAGATTTCTCAGATGCTCCATATCCTTACCAAAACTCAGCAATATCAGTTGTACCAATCATATCCATTCTGGTGGGTGTGCAGCGGTATGTCATTATAGTTTCGTTTGCATTTCTCTAATATCTAACAGTTTTTAACATTATCACATGTGCTTGTTTGACACCAACTTATACAAAACAGAATGCAAAGATTTTTATTGTGATTGTGTTGAATTTACAGATTATTTGGGGAGAGAATTGACATCTAAGTCATATAGAGGCTTTCAAGCATGGGAATAACGTCTCCTTGGGTTCTGGTGAGACCTCAGGAAGCTCTTAGTCATGGTAAAAGGGAAGGGTTTCAGAAGCATCACACAGTGTGAGAGTAAGTAAGAGAGTTGAAGGTGCCAGACTATTCTAAGCAATCAGATCTCACATTAATTCATTAACAAAGAGAGGCCACTGAGCCATTTGTGAGGGGTCTGACCCCTAACTCAAACACCTCCTACTAGGCCCCACCTCTAAAAACGGAAACTACATTTCAACATGAGATTTGGAAGGGACAAACATGCAAACTATATCAATATATTTACATAACATTTTGCTGATGTTATGAATTACAGTGACTTATTTTTTAATGTTGAACTAAATTCATATTCCTTTACTAAACCCTACTTTGTGATGATTTACTAACTTTTCTGTACAATGCTGGATTCAATTTGCTAATATTTGGCTAATAATTTCTGCTTCTATGTTTGTGAGGGATATTGTTCAGCAGCTTTCTTTTCTTAAAATGTCTTTGTCCAGTTTGGTTATCAGCATAATGCTGGTTTCATAAAATAATTTGGGAAAATTTGCATCCTCATCAATTGCCTGGAAAAAAATGTGTTCAACTGATATTATTTATTCTGTAAATGTTTTGTAGAAATCACCAGAACAGTTCCCTCAGCCCAAATTTTTATCTATCTATCTATATCTATCTATCATCTATCAATCATCAATTTTTTGTGGAAAAGTTTTAAACTATATATTCCATCACTTTAATAAATATAGTACTGTTCAGATTATATATTTCTTTTTGAGTGGGCTTTGGTACATTGTGTCTGTCAAGAAATTTATATTTCAGGGGCCCACTTCCTCAGGACATTTTGAGACTGTTCCTCAGGCCGTGGTCACTCATATTGGCTCAGAATAAACCTCTTTAAATATTTTACAAAGTTTGTTTTTTCCATTAACAATTAATTGGCACCCAATGTGGGGACCTTGGAGAAACTCAAGACCCTCTGAAGGAGGCACCCAAACTCAGAGCTAAGGCATTTGTTTCATGCAAAAGTAATTGCAGATTTGCCGTTTTGCGATTACATTTGCACCAACCTAATACAAGTATGGGCCCGTTGAAAGCCCTCTGACTTTGAGTTTCTCCTTACATAGAACTGGTAAGTCCTCCTGAGCCCCAGGCTTCATGCTTGGTTGATGTTCCTTTGGTTTATTCTTAGCTGGTTCTTTTCCTAGGAAGTTATTGTTTGGGATCCTAACTCTGATTCAGAGGTGCATTCTAAAGGGTCTTCTGTGTTGTCTTTTTCTCCCAAAATTAATCTAAATTGGCTCCTCTACACATTTATGGAAGAAACACAACTGTCCTTTCTGTAAATGAATGAGAGACTGAGCTTCTCAACTCCACTACACTGAACCCCAGACTACAGTTCAGTTCCTGCCTTTAAAAAAGGAAATGAATCCTCTAAGAATGAGAAAAGACAAGGAGAAAGACCCGCTTTGGGCACGCTGGTTGGTTTTATGGTGCCTCTACTCACAAGTATTTGTGTAAATGGGAAAATTTGAAGCCATGTTAGGTTTTCTAGGACTCCAGTTGGTTACATATTATGGTCTGTTCTTGTACACATTTTTAAACACATGGGTAAATTACATCAGGAAAAATTCAGAGTGTAATAGTTGACTTGCAACTATAGAGTTAAATACAGTCTCTTAAGTTCTCTGTCTCTATTTTCTTCTCTGCCTGCTTTAAATCCACTGTTACTTTTCTACCAGCATTGAGATAAAAGCCACTGTTTATGGCATTACTAACTCAAGGCTACTTGGGAGACTTTGTTTTTCTTACACAGTTCAGCCGGTTCTAGCTAAAATGTAAGCATTAAGAATTTAACCCTAAATTTACTTAAAAAAGAGTGAAAGAGGTTTTAAAATCAAACTTCTATGGAAAACGTTATACCTAAAATTTTGGTCCACAGCCTTTATTGCATTACCAATCAGGGCAACTAAAGTTTAGCTGTATGAACAGGCCCCAATCTTGCCAGAAATAATTTGAATCCAGTCATCTTTTGTAAGCCAGTAAGTTTGTACTGCTATCCCATGGCTAGGGTCCCAAAGTAAAAGTCTCTCTCTCTCTCTCTCTCTCTCCCCCACCCCCTGAACTCTGTGTGTGCGTGTGTTTGTGTTTAGATGTGTTTCTATGGATATACATGTATTATGTTGTGTCTGCCTGGTTCCAAATTGGCTTATAAATAATGAAGTACTCATAAATTAAGTAAATAAGCCCAAGTGCCTTTCAAGTTCATGTAACTTGAGTAGATCATTAATAAATAAGCTGGCTTTAAAATTATTGGTAAAATAAAACTAGACATGTATTCAGAATTGTCAGCATACATTTTTGCCTGGGTTTATTGCTCATGTAGTTTTTATATTTATATTTTAAGGTGCCACGATTTGGCACAAAGGTTATAAAGCTATAAATCCAGGCTAAAACAGAATGGTTTTTGTTTGTGTAATTTTTGATAAATAAGACTAATTTAATGTTGTTGATTTAATGAAAACAGCTAAATCCTCTGAATTATCAGCAAAAAATATCTATATGTTTAACTTCAAGGTTCTGATTAAGGTGAACACCTGATAGTCACAGGCTATAAAACTGGTTAGCAAGGAAATAACTTTAAATGATGACTAGCTTTGTCTAATGCCTTAGTTCTCATAAGTAATCCAGGTAAACTGCTGAAAATGAAGAAATTGAGTAAATGTAAATGTGATAAATGCTTATAGGTGAATTTTTATGTAGTTTAAAATCTCAAAATTATTTTGGATTAAGTAACAGGTACTCATTAATTGTCTGGGTCATTTCCAATTAGAAAAGAGTTATAGTTGAAGAACCATATTTCCAAAAATTATAGATTGGTTTCATCTATAAAAAGCTAACATTTGCTAGACAGTTTGGGATTTCTTGCTTCCTAGGTTTTCACTAAAATTCAACACTACCAAAAATAAAAATTCTAGTTGGCATATAATTCTATGTGTAAAATATACCAAAGAAGATGTGTTTTTAATAAAATAAGTAAATTATAAGAAAGACATAAAGTTGTATTCTTATTGAGAAAAAGAGTAATTTTGTGCAATTCAGAAGTTATTGAAAGGTTATTTATGAAAACATTAAAAAGGAACCAATAAATAGGAGAGAGTGAAATGATGAAAGTTATAGATGTGAAGATGTATTTTTCTTGCTTGGTTGATGTTCCTTTGATTTCAAAGAATCTTGTACGGCAAATTTTTGTCCTAAAGTAAAATGACTGGTTATTTTAAAAAGAGGGAAATTTAAGACAAAACAGAAAGTCTAAGCATGTTGTAATTGGTCTGTGTAAGTTGTGATAAGGTTCATAAAAATAGAAATTATGAAAAAAAATTTTGTACATGATTAAGTTGGCTATAACTAAAAGGAAAGTATTTATAACATTCTTCCTAGATATTGAACTTTGATACTAAAAACACACTAATACAAAACTAAGCAACAAGATTAGAACAAGTTTTTCTTAAAGTATTGACTTGCTTTTAAGGAAATTGCAAAATACTTTGATTTTTAAATTCCATAATCTGTTTCTTTTAGAAACTTCTCAGATTGATATATCAGAAGCTCAACTTCTGCTGTATCTTGCTGCCTTCAGCTTTTTCTCCCTTCAAGAAGGCCTGAGATGGAAACTTTCTCCTTCAACTTTTTGTCGGCCCCTGTAACTTTTTTTCTCCAGTTCTAAATCTGTTGTTATGGCCTGATGCTGAAATATTTTATCTTGAAGGTTTAAAAGGGCAATGTTTTTCTCCAGTATAACTTAATTCTATACTGTTGGCTTTTCTTAATATGTTTAGGGGCCAGGAGCCCTCTAAAGTTTTGCTGAAAAATCAACTCACAAAACACAGATTGGTTAAAGAGAAGGCATGCAGATTTGTTTGGTGTGCATATGCAAGAGTCTTCAGAAATGAAGAACTAAGATATAAAGAGAATTGTACACTTTTATGCCTAGGTTCAACAGAGTATGGACATTATATAAAAATATGATTGAACAAAAAGTCATAATCTAATGCTAGTAGATGAAGTGGGGAAACCCTGCAAGGCCAATCTGTCTAGATTCCTCTTGACCTCTCTGAGATGCCTTCCTTCCTTCCTTCTGGGTATGGGGTTCTTATGATCTAGAGTTGAACAAGGTAGGTCAGATATTAGTAATTTCTTTATGGCCAGTTCTTATGCAGAAAGGAAGAGTGAAAATTGGATTAATATTTTTAGGTTTTATGGCTGGCTTTGAGAGAAAAGGGTTCTGTTTTTTAGGACCTGCTTTGAGGAAGATAGATTCTAGTTTCTATGACCAGCCTTGAGGGAAAATGGGACTGAGAGACAGAAGGACAGGAGACAGAGAAAGAAAAACTTTTACTTCTGAGGCTGCTTGTGAAGCTTTCAGTTTGGTGTATTGTTTTCAGAGCCCCAACATATGACCAAAGTGTTCAACAAGGCCAGGAAACCTCCCACGCTGTGACTAAGAATCACATATCCCCTTGCTGAAGGTACTAGTTTTCCAGTTTCCTCTACAACGTAGTGTTCACACAGGAACCTGGACACACTCTTCCCGTGTCCTACTAATTTAAGTACCCTTTTCATCAGGTTTGACTCTCAGGATATCCAAATCCACTTCCCTAAAGGGGGAACAGTCCCATTGCAGAACATTTTTCTTCACCGTTTTGATAACTAGACTGAGAAACAAAGGTTTTAACATAATTCCTGTATTGTTTAATTATGTTTTCTGATTATTTAAGAAAACTGAATATTAAAAGGCTTAAGGTTTTTACATACATGTAAATTTTTTATTGCTTTTGAAGTCTTGATTATCAATCTGCTAAAATGAATAACTGTTATTTTACAGTGACCTGTGATTCCATTTTAATCAAATGTTTTCAGCCTTTTCTTAGCTTTCTTTTGAGATGGAGTCTTGCTTTGTTGCCCAGGCTGGAGTGCAGTGGCATGATCTCCACTCACTGCAACCTCTGCCTCCCGGGTTCAAGCAATTCTCTGATCTCACCCTCCTGAGTAACTGGGACTACAGGCACTCATCAACACACCTGGTTAATTTTTGTATTTTTAGTAGAGACATGGTTTCATCATATTGGTCAGGCTTGTCTCAAACTCCTGACCTGAGATGATCCACCCACCTCGGCCTCCCAAAGTGCTGGGATTACAGGCGTGAGCCACTGTGCCTGGAGCATTTACCCTTGTTAAAAGGTTTTAACAAACTGCTTATGTTTTATACAGCTAATTGCTACAAACCTGTAACTAAAACCAAGATTAGAGTAACTTAAGGCATAAGACATAAGTCAATTTTGTAACCTTGCCTTTGGGCTTTTAGTTTTTGGCTCCTACATTGCTTGAAATGTTTTAAGGGCTGATGAGTGCCTGCTCACTTCCATTCCTGTCTGGCCTAAAACATTTAATTGGTTATAATCCTTTTGGCTTGAAGTCACTTGGCCATAGGGGTCCCATTGAGGGACAGGATAGACCCAGTGTAAGTAGCCATACCATACCACCAAGGATATGGGACAGACAAAATAAAATTTGGCTATCAATGCTGCCTCTAGCAAATCTTAGCCAAAAAGGAGAGAATGCAATCCAAAAATAAAACCCTAAGCCCCTAGAACTGACTGAATGGAACTTCTCTTGGCTAAGAGGACCCCAGAGAAACATGAAAAACTTAATTCCCAGACATGATGTGAAGGGAGAATGGACATGTCTTGTTATACCCTTTCCCTTTTGGAGCTTAGGCACGACTAATCAGCATCAACATTAAAATAGAGATCATAAGATTGACAAAACAGAAAACAGACTCTGTGGCAATAAGATACCAATTTTTTTTCTTTTTCTTTTTCTTTTCTTTTTTTTTTTTTTGAGATAGGATCTCACTTTGTTGCCCAGGCTGGAATGCAGTGGTGCAATCATGGCTCACTGCAGTCTCAACCTCCCAAGCTAAAGCGGCCCACCCACCTCAGCCTCCCAAGTGGCTGGGACCACAGGCATGCACCATCATGCCTAGCTAATTTTTGAAGATACCAAATTTCAAACTGACTCTGGTATAGCATCAAATGACAGAGAGCAGACCCTGAAGGAAATAAATATATTTTATCTCAAAATGTATTTTTTGAATTTTTTTTTTGAGATGGAGTTTTGCTCTGTTGCTCAGGCTGGAGTGCAGTGGTGTGATCTCAGCTTACTGCAAGCTCCGCCTCCCGGGTTCATGCCATTCTCCTGCCTCAGCTTCCTGAGTAGCTGGGACTACAGGTGCCTACCACCACACCTGGTTAATTTTTTGTATTTTTAGAAGAGACAATAATTTTGTATTTTTAGAGTTTCACCGTGTTAGCCAGGATGGTCTTGGTCTCCTGACCTCATGACCCGCCTGCCAAAGTGCTGGGATTACAGGTATGAGCCACCATGCCCAGCTTTTTGAATTTTTTTTTTTTTTCTGAGACAAAGTCTCGCTCTTTTGCCCAGGCCAGAGCGCAGTGGCGCTATCTTGGCTCACTGCAAGCTCTGCCTCCCGGGTTTATGCCATTCTCCTGCCTCAGCCTCCCAAGCAGCTGGGACTACAGGCGCCCACCACCATGCCCAGCTAATTTTTTGTATTTTTAGTAGAGACGGGGTTTCTCCGTGATCACCAGGATGGTCTCAATCTCCTGACCTTGTGATCCACCCATCTTGGCCTCACAAAGAGCTGGGATTACAGGCATGAGCCACCACACCCGGCTGCCTTTTGAATACTTTTAAATGGCCCTGCAGAGCTGTCTTTTGTGGGGAAATTGTATTTGTAGAGAATCTCTACTAATGGACTCATGCCTTTCCTTTCTGGGTGTTCTTGGATCTAGGAGAGATTAACTAAGAGTCTGGCACCTTTTGAGGTTCCAAAGGAGAAATTTACCACATATTCTTTCTGAAACCTGCTATCTAAGAGGCTTCATCTACATAACAAGAACCTTGGCATCCACAACCCCCATCATCTTAACTCAAGCATTTCTTTCAGTTGACTTCCAGTTTTTTTTCAACAAATTGCCAATCAGAAATCTTTGAATCCACCTTTGACCTGTAAGACCCTGCTTCAAGATGGCCCATCTTTTTGGGCGGAAGCCAATGTATACCTTACATGTATTGATTTATGTCTTTGCTCATAACTCCTGTCTTCCTAAAATGTATAAAACCAAACTGTAAGCTGACTGCCTTAGGCACAATTTCTCAGGACCTCATGAGACTCTTCCCTGGGCCATGGTCACTCATACTGCCTCAGAATAAACCTCCTTAAACTTTTTTTTAGAGAAGAAAGAAACTTTATGTCAGTTAAATTATATTTATTGGCAAAGTATTGTTCATAATGTTTCATTAATATCCTTTTACAGTCTGTAGCATCTGTAGTGAGGACTAAGCTCTGGTTTTTCCTCATCCTGCCCAAATTCCTATCTAAGGGGTCTAGGGAGTCATGCCCTACAAACCATAAATTGTCATCAGATGGGTTTATTTAACCTGATATATTGTGACTTACTTTCCAATCTGACTCTGGCATAACATTACATGACAAAAAAGAAAATAAAAATATTTTACCCCAAAACATGTTTCTTTGCCATATTTTGAAGTGGCCCTGCAAAGCTGTCCTTTATGGGGGAAAATTTACATCTGTAAAGAAACTCTATTAACATAGCTAGGTCTTTTTCTTCCAGGCCTTCCCAGTCCTGAAGAGATTACTTGTCTAGCACCTTTTAAAGGACTGAATAGGAAACATTTGTCATCTATTGTCTCTAAGGGCAGCCACTATGAGACTTCAAAAGAACCTTAGTCTCCACAATCTTTTATCTTAACCTGAACATTTCCTTTCTATTGACCCCAGGTCTTTAGACAAACTCAACCTAATTGTCAACCAGAAAATGTTTAAATTTACCTATAGCCTGGCAGCCCCTGCCTTGAGTTGTCCCACCTTTCTGAACCAAACCAATGTATTTCTTAAATGTATTTGATTGATGTCTCATGCCTCCCTAAAATGTAGAAAACCAAGCTGCACCCTGACCACCTTGGGCACATGTTCTCAGGACCTCCTGAGGGCTGTGTCATGGGCCATGGTCACTCATACTTGGCTCAAATAAATATCTTCAAATATTTTACAGAGCTTAACTCTTTTCATTGACAGTAGTGGTGTTCCCTTTCTTATTTCTAATATTAGTAATTTATTTTCTCTTTCTTAATCAATCTGGTTAGAAATTTAGCAATTTTCTTGATATCTTTAAAAAAACCAGATTTTCCTTTGGTTAATTTTCTTTATTGTGTTTCTTTTTTAATTTTATCTATATCTGTGATTATTTTTATTGTTTTCTTCCCACTGTATGTTTGTATTAATCTGCTCTTCTTTTTAAAGAGTATCATAGATTTGAGTCCTTACTTTTTTTTTAATGCACTAAAATCTATAAATGTCTCTCTAAGCACTGCTTTCACTGAATCCCACATATTTTGATATGTTGTGGGGTTTTTTCATTCAATTTAAAACATTTTCTAATTTATATTGTTAATTTTTTAACCTATACGTTCTTATGACAGGCAGAACAACGGCCCTTTAAAGACATTCACATTTTAATCAATGGAACTTGTGCATATGTTACCCACCATGACAAAAGGGACTTTGCAGATGTAATTAAATTAGGTATCTTGAGATAGGAAGACTATCCTGGATTAGCAAGGTATACCTAACATAATCATGATAGTGATTAAAATGAAAAGAGTTAGGCAGAGGAATGAGAGATGTGATGACAGAAGCAGAGATTGGAGAAGTGCAGCCATGAGCCAAGAAATGCAGGCAGCCTCTAGAAGATGGAAAAGACAAGGAATGGCTCTCTCCATGGGGCTCCAGAAGAAATGCAGCCCTGCAGCTCCTTGCTTTTAACCTGGTGAACTGTTTTGAACTTTTGACCTCTAACACTGTAAGATAATAAATCAGTATTGTTTTAAACCACTGAGGGTGTGGTAGTTTGTTACAACAGTAATAGAAAACTAACACAGTTAAATAGAATTATTTTCAAATAAATATGTAGACTAACAAGATGATTATTTTAAAAGATCTCTCTCTCTTTCTTCCCCTCTCTCCATCTCTCGCTCTCTCTCTCCCACACATACACACACACATACACATGCACATGTCATGAACTTGCATTATACCCATGTAACCCCCACCCATATCAAGACACAGAACACACCCTTTTAAGCAGCAGGGTTTAGTGTATCTTATAATGTCATTACTGTCAACATTTATTTAAACATATACCTTGAGGAGATTGCAGGTTTAGTTCTAGACCACTGCAATAAAGAAAATATCACAATAAAGCAAGTCACAGTAATTTTTGATTTCCCAGTGCATATAAAAATTGTTTTTATACTATACTGTACTCTATAAGTGTGCAATAGTATTACACCAGAAAAAGCAATGTAAATACCTCAATTTAAAAATGCTTTATTGCACTTCATTGCTAAAAAATGCTAATGATCATCTGAGCCTTCAGTGAGTCACAATATTTTTGCTGGTGGAGGGTCTTGCTCTGATGTTGATGGCTGCTGACTGATCAGCGTCATTATTGCTAAGCATTGGGTTGGCTGTGGCAATTAAGACAACAATGAAGTTTGCTGCATCCATTGACTTTTCATTTTATGAGAGTTCTCTGTAGTATATGATGCTGTTTGATAGCATTTTACCCACAGTAGAACTTCTTTCAATCTTGTAGTCAGTCCTCTTGAACCCTGCTGCTGCTTCTTTAACTAATGTTTATTATGTAATTTTACATTAAAAGTATGTAATTTTCTAAATCCTGTGTTGTGATTTCAACAATGTTCACAGCATCTTCACCAAGAGTAGATTCCATCTCAAGAAACCACTTTCTTTGCTCATCCATAGTAAGCAACTCCTCATGTGTTCAAGTTTTATCATAAGATTGTAGCAATTCAATTGCATCTTCAGGCTTCATATCTAATTCTAGTCCTCTTGCTATTTCTACTACACTTGAATTTATTTTCTCCACTGAAGTCTTGAAGCTTTCAAAGTCATCCAATGAGGATTGGAATTAACATCTTCCAAACTCCTCTTCATGTCGATATTTTGACCTCCTCTCATGAATCAAGAAAGTTTCTAATGGCACCCATAATTGTAAATCTTTTCTGAATAGTTTTCAATTAACTTTTCCCAGATCCATCAGAGGAATCACTCTATCACATCTATAACTTTGTGAAATATATTTCTTAAGTAATAAGACTTGAAAGTCAAAATTGCTCCTTGATCAGTGGGTTACAGAATGGATGTTGTGTTCACAGGCATGAAAAAAACAAGTATATTCTTGCACATCTCCATCGAAGCTCTTGAGTGACCAGGCACATTGCCAATGAGCAGTAATTTTGAAAGTAATCTTTTCTTCTGACGAGTAGGTCTCAACAATGGGCTTAAGATATTCAGTAAACCACGCTGTAAACAGATGTGCTATCACCCAGGCTTTCTTGTTCCATTTGTACAGTTCAGGTAGGGTAGATTTTGCGTAGTTCTTTAGGGTGTTAGGGTTTTCAGAACGGAAAGTGAGCATTGGCTTCAACATAAAGTCACCAGCTGCATTAGCCCCTAACAAAAGAGTCAGCCTGTCCTTTGAAACTTTGAAATCAGGTATTGACTTCTCTCTAGTTATGAAAGCTTTAGATGGCATTTTATTCCAAGAGGGGCTGTTTAATCTACATTGAAAGTCTGTTGTTTAGTGTAGCCACCTTCATCAAAGATCTTGCCTGGATCTTCCAGTTAACTGGCTGCAGCTTTTCCATCTGCACTTGCTGCTTCACCTTACACTTTTATGTTATGAAGATGGCTGCTTTCTCCAAACCTCATGTACCAACCTCTGCAAGCTTCCAACTTTTTTTCTGCACCTTCTTCGCTTCTCTCTGCCTTCATACAATTTGTAGAAGAGTGTTTGGGCCTTGCTCTGGGTTAGGCTTTGGCTTAAGGAGATGTTGTAGCTGGATCTACCATCTATCCAGACCACTAAAATTTTCTCCATATCAGCAATAAGTCTGTTTTGCTTTCTTATCATTCGTGCACTCCCCAAAGCTGCACTTTTAATTTTCTTCAGGAACTTTTCCTTTGCATTCACAACTTGTCTAACTGTTTGGTGCAAGAAGCCTACCTAGCTTTTGGCCTATTTTGGCTTTTGATATACTTTCCTTACTGAGCTGAATTATTACTAGATTTTAATTTAAAGTGAGAGACATGGGCTCTTCCTTTAACTTGAAGATTTAGAGGCCATTGTAGGGTTATTAATTGGCCCTATTTCAATATTGGTGTGTCTTATGAGAGAGGCCTGAGGAGGAGAGAGATGGGGAAACGGCCAGTTGGTGGAGCAGTGAGAACACACAAAACATTTATTGATTAAGGTTCCGTCTTATATGGTTCATGGCACCCCAAAACAATTATAATAGTAACTTCAAAAATCACTGATCACAGATCAATATAAAAGATATGATAAGGCTGGGTGCAGTGGCTCATGCTAGAAGTCCCAACACTTTGGGAGGCTGACATGGGAGGATTGCTTGAGGCCAGGAGGCTGAGATGAGAGGATCACTTGAGCCCAGAAGTTTGAGGCTGCAGTGAGCTATGATTATGCCACTGCACTCCAGTCTGGGCAACAGAGGTGAGACCCTGTCCCCCACCAAAAGAACAAAATATCTAATAATGAGATAATAATAGTAAAAAGATTTGAGGCTGGGCATGGTGGCTCACGCCTGTAATCCCAGCACTTTTGGAGGCCGAGGCAGGTGGATCATGAGGTCAGGAGTTCAAGACCAGCCTTATCAACATGGTGAAACCCTGTCTCTACTAAAAATACAAAAATTAGCCGGGCCTGGTGGCACATGCCTGTAATCCCAGCTACTCGGGAGGCTGAGGCAGGAGAATCACTTGAAACAGGGAGGCAGAGGCTACAGTGAGCTGAGATCATGCCACTGCACTCCAGCCAGGGTGACAGAGTGAGACTCCATCTCAAAAAAAAAAAAAAGGTTTGAAATATTGTGCAAATTACCAAAATGTGATACAGAGGCACAAAGTGAACACATGCTATTAGAAAATTGATGCCAATAGACTCATTCTGTGTAAGGTTGCCACAAACCTTCAATTTGTAAAATTGATCAATCAATCAATCAATCACAGTATCTGCAAAGCACAATAAAGCTAAGAACAATAAAATGAGATGTGCTTGTATGTATCTGTGCACAAAGCACATTTATGGATGGATAATATTTAGGAGAATGGTCACTAACTTATTAGTATTCAACACTATAGTGAGAAATAAGTTGATTTCACTCTCACTTTTACACTTTCAGGTATTGTTAGAATAATTCCAATGAATTTGAATATGAATGTTTATCTAAAGCTTTGAGTACTGGCCAGACCTGGTGGGTCATGCCTGTAATCCCAGCACTTTGGGAGGCCAAGATGGGCAGATCACTTGAGGCCAGAAGTTCAAGACCAGCCTGGCCAACATGGTGGAACCCCGTCTCTACTAAAAATACAAAAATCAACTGGTCATATTGGCTCATGCCTGTAATCCCAGCTATTCAGGAAGCTGAGGCAGGAGAATCACTTGAACCTGAGGGGCGGAGGTTGCAGTGAGTTGAGATTGTGCCACTGCATTCCTTCCTGGGCAACAGAGTGAGGCCTGTCTCAGAAAAATAAAACAAATAAAATAGTAAAGATTTGAGTACTTTATTGTATGGAAATAACATAACATTAATTAATTTATCTTATTTACCTTAAAAAATTGTCTTTAGCCAGGGGCTTGAGGAGAGGGAGGGAGGGATAAATAAATAGCACACAGGGGAGTTTTAGGGCAGTGACACTATTCTATATGACACTGTAATGGTAGAGACACATTACTATGCCTTTGTTAAAAGCCATAGAATGTACAACACAAAGAGTGAACCTTAATGTAAACTATTGACTTTAATTAATAATAATGTCTCAATATTAACTCACAAAGTGTAATAAATGTACCACATGAATGCACAATATTGATAATAGGGGAAACTAAAAAGGATTGGTAAGGGGACCTATGAGAACTCCACTTTCCACTCAGCTTCTATGTAAACCTAAAACTTTTCAAGAAAATAGTTTATCAATTTATAAAAGTTGTCTTTAATTTGTGTAAAGGATCCTTATAAATTGAAACATGTTTTACCAATATAAGTTTGTATTATGATTATTACAATTATTTATGGTCAAGAGGCATTTCAAATTGGGAGACTTCAGGGCAGCCATACTTAGTGGGAAACATTGGCATTTGAGCTTTCTCTCTATTTTAAAAAGTTTTTATTTAATGCTTTTTCTAATAGCTGTAGCCTCAATTTGTTTTTCTGGGAAAATTTTCTATTTTCTTAACTTTGAAGGTCTAATGTATGGACAATTCTGGCAGCATATACTAGGGAGAACATTACGGAAGGCTGGAAAGATGTAGATTCACAATAAACATTGACAAAAATGCTTATAAAATATTTCCTATTATAACTTAGATGGCAGAGTATGCAGTATGTACCTACTTAGCTTATATTCTAATATAACACGTAGGAAACAGGATATGAATAGTGTGCCGCTGTTGTTTTTTTTTTATCTTCAACTTTTATTTTAAATACAGGGGTATATGTGAAGGATGTGCACATTTGTTATATAGGTAAATGTATGCCATGGTAGTTTGCTACACAGATCATGCCATCACCTAGGTATTAAGCCCAGCATCTGTTAGCAATTCTTCCTGATGCCCTCCCTACCCCAGAACTACTTACTTCTGACCGGCTCTGGTGTGTGTCATTCCCCTGCTCATGTGTTCATGTGTTCTCATCATTCAGCTCCCATGTATATGTGAGATCATGCAGTGTTTGGCTTTCTCTTCCTGTGCTAGTTTGCTGAAGATAATGGCTTCTAACTCCATCTATGTCCCTGCAAAGGACATAATAGCATTCCTTTTTTACAGCTGCATAGTATTCCATGGTGTATATGTACCATATTTTCTTTATCCTGCCCATCTTTTATGAGCATTTAGGTTGTTTCCATGTTTTGCTGTTCTGAATAATGCTGCAATAAAGATACATGTGCATGTATCTTTATAACAGAATGATTTATATTTCTTTGGGTATATACCCAGTAATGAGACTACTGGGTCAAATGGTATTTCTACCTCTAGGTGTTTGAGGAATTGCTACACTGTCTTCCACAATGGTGGAACTAATTTACATTCCCACCAACAGTGTGAAAACGTTCCTTTTTCTCTGCAACTTCACCAGCATCTGTTGGTTTCTGACTTTTTAATAACTGCCTTTCTGATTGGTGTGAGATGGTATCTCATTGTGGTTTTGATTTGCATTTCTCTAATGATCAGTAATGTTGAGATTTTTTTTCTTTTTCTTTTTCATTTTTTTGAGATGGAGTTTTGCCCATGTCGCCCAGGCTGGAGTGCAATAGTGTGATCTCGGCTCACTGCAACCTCCGCCTCCCAGGTTCAAGCGATTCTCCTGCCTCAGCCTCCCGAGTAGCTGGGATTACAGGTGCCTGCCACCACGTCTGGCAAATTTTTTGTATTTTTATTAGAAACAGGGTTTCTCTATGTTGGTCAGACTGGTCTTGCACTACTGACCTCGGGTGACCTGCCTGCCTCAGCCTTCCAAAGTGCTGGGATTACAGGTGTGAGCCACTGCCCCCTGCCTGAGATTTTTTTTTCATATGTTTGTTGGCTGCATGTAGGTCTTCTTTCAGCAGTGTCTGTTCATGTCCTTTGCCCACTTTTTAATAGGGTTGTTTGTTTTCTTCTTGTAAATTTGCTTAAGTTCCTTGTAGACTCTGGATATTAGACCTTTGTCAGATGGATAGATTGCAAAAATTTTCTCCCATTCTGTGGGTTATCTCTTCACTCTGATGATAGTTTCTGTTGCTGTGCAGAAGCTTTTTAGTTTAATTAGATCCTATTTAAACGATCTCATTTATCAATTTTGCTTTTGTTGCAATTGGTTTTTGGTGTTTTTGTCATGAAATATTTGCCCATGCCTATGTCCTGAATGGTATTGTCTAGTTTTTCTTCTAGGGTTTTTATAGTTTTGGGTTTTACATTTAAGTCTTTAATCTATCTTGAGTTGATTTTTGTATATGGTGCAAGAAAGAGGTCATTTCAATTTTCTGCATATGGCTAGCCAGTTCTCTCAGCATAATTTATTAAATAAGGAATCCTTTGCTTATTGCTTGTTTTTGTCAGATTTGTCGAAGATCAGATGGTTGTAGGTGTGCACTCTTATTTCTGAGTTCTCTGTCCTGTTCCATTGGTCTATGTGTCTGTTCTTGTACCAGTACCATGCTGTTTTGGTTACTGTAGCCTTGTAGGATAGTTTGAAGTCAGGTAGCATGATGCCTCCGGCATTGTTCTTTTTGCCTAGGAATGTCTTGGCTATTCAGGCTGTTTTTTGGTTTCTTATGAATTTTAAAATAGTTTTTTGTAATTCAGAGAAGAATGTCAATGGTAGATTAATGGAAATAGCATTAAACCTATAAATTGCTTTGGGCAGTGTGGCCATTTTCACGATATTGATTCTTCCTATCCATGAACATGGAATGTTTTTCTCTTTGTTTGTGTCTACTCTGATTTCTTTGATCAGTGGTTTGTAGTTCTCCTTGAAGAGGTCCTTTACTTTCCTTGTTAGATGTATTTCCTTGTTAGATGTATTTTATCCTTTCTGTAGCAATTGTGAATGGGAGTACTTCCATGATTTGGCTCTCTGCCTGTCTGTTTTTGGTATATAGGAATGCTACCAATTTTTGCACATTGATTTTCTCCTCTGAGACTTTGCTGAAGTTGCTTATCAGCTTAAGAAGCCTTTAGGCTGAGACAATGGGGTGTTCTAGACATAGAATCATGTTATCTGCAAACAAAGATAATTTGACTTCTTCTCTTCCTATTTGAATATCCTTTATTTCTTTCTCTTGCTTGATTGGCCTGGCCAGACCTGCCACTATTACGTTGAATACGAGTGGTGAAAGAGGGCATTCTTGTCTTGTGCCAGTTTTCAAGGGGAATGCTTCTGGCTTTTGCCCATTCTGTATGATATTAGCTGTGGGTTTGTCATATATGGCTCTGATTATTTTGAGATATGTTCCTTCAATACCTAGCTTACTGAGAGTTTTTAACATTAAGGGATGGTGAATTTTATTGAAGGCCTTTTCTGCATCTTTTGAGATAATCATGTGGTTTTTGTCTTTAGATCTGTTTATGTGATGAATCACATTTGTTGATTTGTGTATGTTGAACCAACCTTGCATCCTGGGGATGAAACCAACTTGACAATGGTGGATAAACCTTTTAATGTGCTGTTGCATTCAGTTTGACAGCATTTTATTGAGGATTTTTGCATTGATGTTCATCAAGGATATTGGCCTGAAGTTTTCTCTTTTTTGTTGTATCTCTTCCAAGTTTTGGTATCAGGATGACACTAGCCTCATAGAATGAGTTAAGGAGGAGTCCCTCCTTTTCAATTTTTCGGAATAGTTTCAGTAGAAATGATACCAGGTCTTCTTTGTACCTGTGGTAGAATTCAGCTCTGAATCCATCTGGTCCTGGGCGTTTTTTGTTTTTTTTTTGGTGATAGGCTATTTATTACTGCCTCAATTTCAGAACTCATTATTGGTCTATTCAGGGATTCAATTTCTTCCTGGGTCCATCTTGGGAGGGTGTATGTGTCTAGGAATTTATCCATTTCTTCTAGATTTTCTAGTTTATGTGCATAAAGGTGTTTATAGTATTCTCTGATGGTTGTATTTCTGTGGGGTCAAGAGTGATATCCCCCTTATTATGTCTGATTGAGTCTGTTTGATTCCTCTTCCTTTTCTTCTTTACTAGTCTAGCTAGTGGTCTATTTTATTAAGTTTTTCAAAAACCAGTTCCTGGATTTATTGATTTTTTTGAAGAATTTTTCATGTCTCTATCTCCTTCACTTCAGCTCTGATCTTGGTTATTTCTTGTCTTCTGCTAGCTTTGGGGTTTGTTTGCTCTTGGTTCTCTAGTTCTTTTAGTTGAGATGTTAGGTTGTTAAATTGAGATCTTTCTAGCTTTTTGATGTGGGCATTTAATGCTATAAATTTCTTTCTTAACACTGCTTTAGCTGAGTCCCAGAGAGTCTGGTATGTTGTCTCTTTGTTCTCATTAGTTTGAAAGAACTTCTTGTTTTCTGACTTAATTTCGCTATTTACCCAAGAGTCATTCAGGACCAGGTTGTTCAATTTCCTCGTAGTTGTGTGGTTTTGAGTACATTTCTTAATCTTGAGTTCTAATTTGATTATGCTGTGATCTGAAAGACTGTTATGACTTCAGTTCTTTTGCATTTGCTGAGGAGTGTTTTGCTTGCAATTATGTGATCAATTTTAGAGTAAGTGCTGGGTGGTAATGACAAGAATGTATATTCTGCTGTTTTGGGGTGGAGAGTTCTGTAAATATCTATCAGATCCACTTGATTCAGAGCTGAATTCAGGTCCTGAATATCTTTGTTAATTTTCTGTCTTGATGATCTGTCTAATATTGTCAGTGGGGTGTTAAAGTCTCCCACTATTATTGTGTGGGAATCTAAGTCTGTTCACAGGTCTCTAAGAACTTGTTTTATGAATCTAGGTGATCCTGTATTGGGTACAGGTATATTTAGGATAATTAACTCTTCTTCTTGAATTGAATCCTTTACCATTATGCAATGCCCTTCTTTGTCTTTTTTATTTTTGTTAAAGTCTGTCTTGTCAGAAACTATAATTATTGTCCCTGCTTTTTATCTGTTTTTCATTTACTTGGTAAATTTTTCTCCATCCCTTTATTTTGTGCCTATATGTGTCTTTGCACATGAGATGGGTCTCTTGAAGACAGCATACCGATGGGTTTTAGTATTTTATCTGACTTGCCATTCTGTGTCTTTTAATTGAGGCATTTAGCCCATTTGCATTTAAGGTTAGTATTGTTATATGTGAATTTGATTCTGTCATCATGATGTTAGTTGGTTATTTTGCAGACTTGTTTATGTGGTTCTTTCATAGTGTCACTGGTCTTTGTACTTCAGTGTGTTTTTATGGTAGCTGGTAATGTTTTTCCTTTCGATATTTAGTACTTCTTTCAGGAGCTTGTGAAAGGCAGGGCTGGTGGTGATGAATTCCCTCAGCATTAGCTTGTCTGAAAATGATCTCATTTCTCCTTCACTTAGGAAGCTTAGTTCGGCTGGCTACGAAATTCTGGGTTGATAATTCTTTTCTTTTTCTTTTTTTTTTTTTTTTAAAGTGGCAGAGCCATTTTTTAAACTTTATTTTTATGCATCAAAGAGCAGGGGAGAGTTTTGTAACTTAGCCTTTCTTTCTTTTTTTTAATTTTTTATTTTTTTATTATTATTATACTTTAAGTTTTAGGGTACATGTGCACAATGTACAGGTTAGTTACATATGTATACATGTGCCATGCTGGTGTGCTGCACCCATTAACTCGTCATTTAGCATTAGGTATATATCCTAATGCTATCCCTCCCCCACCACCCCACAACAGTCCCCAGAGTGTGATGTTCCCCTTCCTGTGTCCATGTGTTCTCATTGTTCAATTCCCATCTATGAGTGAGAAGATGCGGTGTTTGGTTTTTTGTCCTTGCGATAGTTTACTGAGAATGATGATTCCCAATTTCATCCATGTCACTACAAAGGACATGAACTCATCATTTTTTATGGCTGCATAGTATTCCCTGGTGTATATGTGCCACATTTTCTTAATCCAGTCTATCATTGTTGGACATTTGGGTTGGTTCCAAGTCTTTGCTATTGTGAATAGTGCCGCAATAAACATATGTGTGCATGTGTCTTTATAGCAACATGATTTATAGTCCTTTGGGTATATTCCCAGTAATGGGATGGCTGGGTCAAATGGTATTTCTAGTTCTAGATCCCTGAGGAATCGCCACACTGACTTCCACAATGGTTGAACTAGTTTACAGTCCCACCAACAGTGTAAAAGTGCTCCTATTTCTCCACATCCTCTCCAGCACCTGTTGTTTCCTGACTTTTTAATGATTGCCATTCTAACTGGTGTGAGATGGTATCTCATTGTGGTTTTGATTTGCATTCTCTGATGGCCAGTGATGATGAGCATTTTTTCATGTGTCTTTTGGCTGCATCGATGTCCTCTTTTGAGAAGTGTCTCTTCATATCCTTTTCCCACTTTTTGATGGGGTTGTTTGTTTTTTTCTTGTAAATTTGGCATGGGCAAGCACTTCATGTCTAAAACACCAAAAGCAATGGCAACAAAAGCCAAAATTGACAAATGGGATCTAATTAAACTAAAGAGCTTCTGCACAGCAAAAGAAACTACCATCAGAGTGAACAGGCAACCTACAAAATGGGAGAAAATTTTCGCAACCTACTCATCTGACAAAGGGCTAATATCCAGAATCTACAATGAACTCAAACACATTTACAAGAAAATTCTTCTCTTTAAGAATGTTGAATATTGGCCCCCAGTGTCTTTTGGCTAGTAGGGTTTCCACTGAGAGGTCCACTGTTAGTCTGATGGCTTCCCTTTGTAGGTGATCTGATCTTTCTCTCTGGCTGCCTTAACAAATTTTTTTCATTTCAACCTTGGATAATCTGATGATTATATGTCTTGGGGTTGATTTTCTCATGGAGTATCTTACTGGGGTTCTCTGCATTTCCTGAATTTGAATGTTGACCTGTCTTGCTAGATTGGAGAAGATTTCCTGGATGATATCCTGATATACGTTTTCCCATTTGGTTCTATCCTCCTCATCTTTTTTGGGTACCCCAATCAGTTGTAGGTTTAGTCTCTTTACATAATCTCATATTTGTCAGAGGTTTTGTTCATTCTTTCTCATTCTTTTTTCTCTATTCTTGTCTGCCTGTCTTATTTCAGACAGATAGTCTTTAAGATCTGAGATTCTTTCCTCTTCTTGGTCTATTCTGCTATTGATACTTGTGATTGCATTGTGGAGTTCTCATGTTGTCTTTTTCAGCTCCATCAGGTCAGTTTTATGCTCCTCTCTAAACTGGCTATTCTTGCTATCAGCTCCTGTATTGTTTTATGGTAATTCTTTGCTTCTTTGTATTGGGTTACAACATGCTCCTTTAGCTTAGTGAAGTTTATTATTACCCACCTTCTGAAGCCTACTTCTGTCAGTACAGCCATCTCAGCCTCAGCCCAGTTCTGTGCCCTTGCTGGAGAAGTGTTGAGGTCATTTGGAGGAGAAGAGGCACTCTGGCTTTTGAGTTTTTAGCATTTTTGCATTGATTCTTTCTCATCTATGTGGCCTTATCTACCTTCGATTTTTAAGGTTGCTAACCTTTGAATGGGGGTTTTTGTGGGGTCTTTTTTGTTGATGTTGTTGTTTTCTGTTTATTTTATTTTTCTTTTAATAGTCAAGCCACTCTTCTGTAGGGCTGCTCTGGTTTTCTGGGGGTCCGCTGTAGACCATAGTTGCCTAAGTTTTTCCCATACCTGGAGGTGTCATCAGTGAAGTCTGTGAAACAGCAAAGATGACAGCCTGCTCCTTCCTCTTGAAGCTCCATCCCATGAGTTACTGACCTGAACTGGCAGGCCTGAACATGTCTGTGGAAGGGGGCTGGAGACCCCTGTTGGTAGGTCTCACCCAGTCAGGAGAAATGGGATCAGGGACCTGCTTAAATAAGCAGTCTGGCTGCATTTTGGTAGAGCAGGTTTGCTGCATTGTAGGGGACTATTTCTCATCTGGACCATTTGTATTCTCCAAAGCCAGCAGGCTGGAATGGCTGAGTCTACAGAATGACAGAGATGGTGGCCACCCCTTCTCCCAGGAGCTCCATCCCAGGGAGAGATCAGAGCTTTGTCCATAGAACCCTGGCTGGAGTGGCTGAAGCCCCTGCAAGGAGGTCCTGCTCAGTGAGTAGGAACGGACTGGGGTTCCACTTAAAGAAGCAGTCTCACCACAATCTGATAAGGCAGATGCATTGTGAGGGACCCTTCCTTGTCTAGATCATTTGTATTCTCCAGCACCAACAGGCTGGAACATCTGAGTCAACTGAACCACAGAAGTGCCAGCTGCCTCTTCCCCCAGGAGCTCCATCCCAGGGAGAGATGAGAGCTCTGTCTGTAGAACCCTGGCTGGAGTGGCTGAAGCCCCCATAGGGTAGTCCCACCCAATGAAGAGGAATAGATCAGGAGCCTGCTTAAAGAAGCAGTCTGGTCATGATCTGGCAAAGCAGCTATGCTGCACTGGAGGGGACCCTTCCTTGTCTGTACCATTTGGACTCTCTAAAACCAGCAGGCTGGAAAAGCTAAGTTGACCAAACTGCAGAGATGGCAGCTGCCCCTCCCCCTGGAATTCCATTCCATATCAGGCAGACTCCAGCCTGTTGCCATTGGCTGACAGGAATTCCAAGCAAGTGTGTCTTAACTTGTGAAGTGCTCTGGAAGTGAGCCCTGCGGAACAATGCTGCCTGGCTCCCTGGATTCAGCCCCCTTCCTAGGGATATGTATGGTCCGATCTCCCTTCTTGCTGGGGATCCCAGGCCTGGAGTATGTAATCCTTGGTCTCTGTGTGTGCCTGAGCAGCTGCTTTGCTGAGACTCCACACAGCTCTGTGTATCAGACCCAAGGCCCTGGTGATGTGGGCACTCAAGGGGACATCCTGATCCATGGGTTGCAAACATCTGTGGGAGAAGTGTGGAGTTGATAGAGCAAAGACATAAAGTGGATTTGAGGACTATGTCCTAAAAAATGGTAGGTGTGGGCTGGGCACAGTGGCTCACACCTGTAATCCCAGAACTTTGGGAGGCCGAGGCGGGTGGATCACCTGAGGTCCGGAGTTCAAGACCAGCCTAGCTAACATGGTAAAACCCCGTCTCTACAAAAATACAAAAATTAGCTGGGCATGGTGGTGGACGCCTGTAATCCCAGCTACTCAGGAGGCTGAGGCAGGAGAATCGCTTGAATTCAGGAGGCAGAGGTTGCAGTGATCCAAGATCATGCCACTGCACTGCAGCCTGGGCAACAGAGTGAGACTCCATCCCCCTCCCCTTACAAAAAAAATGGTAGGTATGGTTATTAGCATGTGAAACTGACCAGATGCAAACAGGTCAGAACTTTTCTAAATTTTTGAGGGAACTGGATTGTCAAGTATACCATAGGACTAGATTAGGAATGCCTTTTACTGTTTGAGTTTTATATTAACCCTTGTCCCTGTCTCCTCCCTCTTCCAATCTCCCATAAATAGGAGGCAGCTTCAAGGTTTACACATCTTCTAAGGAGGGCATGCTACACAATCCTCACCTAGATACAGTTAAAAAAACAAAACAAAACAAAACAAAACAAAAAGTCTTGAAAAGGCAGAAGTCTCCCTAAAGGTGGAAGAAGGACCCATGGAGAACTATCGATAAAGTAGTTCCTCCCAGGAAGCAGATTCTGGGTCTCATCAAGGAATCCCCACATTCCACTGTGGTCAGCCTTCACTCTATCTGACAGAGGAATTTCAGAATTGCTATGGGCCAGTGATTACCATGGATCTATCATCCTTTACTTTGAATACTGGAATATAAAACAACTCCAATTATTTTGTTTAAAACAAAAAAAAAATGGTTTCTTTTTTTCTCTTTTGTATATCTCAGCAGGGGAACTCTGCCCCCTGTAATCACTTCAACGTCAGGTTTAGGAACACTCAACTGTCATATGATATTGCCATCTCAATACGTATCTTTGGTGTTCGTCATGAAAGGGAAACAAAACATTGAGCATCTCTCATAGCCTTTTAAGTGTGAAAGTCATTTCTGCTCACGTGGTCATGTCTCAATCTAAGGAGAAGATGACCAAAAGAAAGGAGAAGCAAAAATCCTTGTGAGCACTAGGAAGATATAGCATAGTTGTCTGACTTCCAAATTTTAGTTTGCAAATTCAACTTTTGTGGAAATTCTTTCTGTACCCTCCTCTCTCTTTCCATCTCTCATCTTCTGTCCTACTAACCACTTTGTATGTAAAACATTTTTTTCCTAAACCTATTCTCCTGAAGTACTAAGATAAAACCCAATATATTTGCAGCTAGTGGAAATTATTCATAGAACTATTGCAGACAGTAGCACTGAGTCAGTAGTTGCCTTGACCCATGTTTGGAGTTCACCATTAATTCCGTGTGATAAAGAGTCTGACTCCATTATTTTTTGTTCAGCTGCTGATGGCTTGTAAGCTTCACCCCTCCCTCTTCCCCTTTCTCCCCACATCTGAGCAATCCAGTGAGAAAGCCTGAGTGCTCCCTCCTTTGATGCTGGCAGGAGGTTTGAACCATGCAAGTCCCTGCCCACACACTGGAACGCTTGCCCTGGCCCCATACTCTACCCATCAAAAAAGCCCAAAGCCTGTCTCCTTTCTCTGCTCTCTCAAATCATGAAGGGTCTTGGAAAATTTGTACAGATTTTCAGGCTTAGCCTGCAGGCCGTGAGAAGTCATTGTAGGATTTTAAGCAGGTGAGTGGCTTGATCTGAATGACAGGTTAGGAAAATTTCCATTGGCTGTAGAACAGCCATGGGATTGAAGTGGGAAGAACTGGAAGCAAGGATCGCAGCTTGGGGTGTGTGGCTGTCATCTAGGTAAGAGGTGAGCATTGACTGTACTTGGGAGGAGGCAGTGGAAATAGGGGAGGCTGGAATAATTCAAAAGCCATTTGGGAAGAAGAAGTAACAGAACTTGTGAACTGATTATACTCCTGAGATGGGAAAGAAAGAGAAATCAAACAGTGATGAACAAGTTATAGATATTAAATAATTGGGTAAATCATGATGCCATTCATTGAGAAATAAAATGTAGGAGAAGCTGGCCCCATTGACAAATTTTATAGGGGCAATGAGAGACAAAAATTGTCATTTTACTTTAATGATGTCACAAATTGTGTACATCCCACAGACTGGTTATAGACAGAAAGAAGGGGGAAGAGTAAAGATGTCACACAGCAAAGGACTGAGATGCATCCAACCAAGTTTGTCCTTCATAAATTCTTTTCAGTGGCCAGCATGGTGGCTCACACCCCTTATCCCAGAGCTTTGGGAGGCCAAGGCAGAAGGATTGCTTGAGGATTTCAAGGCCAGCCTGGGCAACATAGCAAAACTCCATATCTACGCAAAATTTTTAAAAAATAGCCAGGTGCAGTGGCTCACACTTATAATCCCAGAGCTTTGGGAGGTTGAGGTGGGAGGATCACTGGAGCCCAGGAGTCTGAGGCTGCAGTGAGCCATGATTGAGCCACTATACTCCAGCCTAGGCAAAAGAGCAAGAACCTGTCTCAAAATAAATAAATAAATAAATAAATAAATAAATGTTTTCAGAAGTTCCATCAAATGAATTTCACTTACATTTCTTTAGCCAGTACTGGTTATCATCCCCTTTCCTGAAAAGGAATCTAAGAAAGTATTTTGAAAATATTGTCACCTTGACCAAAGCTGAGGTCTTAATAGTTAGGAATATCGTGTAGACAATTAGCAGCCTCTGCCAGAAATTATCTGTGACATGTCCAAAAATAGGAGACTAATACTTTGAATATATAAATAGAGCTCAGGGATGAGATCTGGACTGGAAGTAAAGATTTGAGAAGTCTTAGTATTTAGATGGTAATTTAACCCACTGGTGTGCATGCAAGCAGAGCTGCTAAGGGACTAAAATAAGCTTGGTAAGAACAGAGAGGAAATTCATAGAGCTAGTAGTTTAATTGACTATATTTGGTGATTATCTGGAAACGGGGAAGAAGCAGGAGTCTAGAATAATTCTCATCTCTTCTAGGTCAGCTGGGTGCATGCAATGCCATCGTGATGATAAGTGGTACCTGAGTAGGAACAGGTTTGTGGGGAAAATGACCAGAAAGATTGGAAAATGTTGAGTTTGAACTATTTGTGGAAAACCCAGGTGTGATTTCCTGGAGGGAATTCAAAATAAACATTTGTATGTCGAAAGGAAATTTGGGGATGGAGACAGTGATATAGGAGACATCCATGGGTACATGTGAGATTCTCCAAAGAGAGTGGGTAAATGAGTAAACAAAAAGGCCAAGGATAGAGCCTTGAACTACGTTAAAATGTAAGAGGAAATTCTATCGGCCTGTACATTTTCTTAATAGTTCCAAGTTTAGACTCATTTTCCCTAAATAAATTGTAATCCCTTTGAGGATTAAACAAAACAAAACAAAATACCCACCCCCAAAAGACCAGTTTTGTCTCAGAGCGCCTAATAGTTTATTTGACATCTAATAGATGCTAAAAGTTCAAGTCAGAAGACAGAATACATACATGGAAATTATTTATGAGTTCACTCAGGACAGAACTTTTAAAAAGCACATAATAAATGGAAATAAAATGGATAATTAGACTCAAAAATTATAAAAATTGGGATCTCTCCAAATCTACAAGTTATAAAATAACTAGTATTTACATTGCTCATTTTCGATTTGGCTGAGAAACTCAATGTGGATGAGAAATGGACCTTGATTTTAATCAAGTTTATTGAAACTCTTACTTTCACAAAACTTCAGTTTTAACAAATTATTGTGTGGTCCTGCTTCTAAAATAGCTTGCTATGTTTTTAAAGATTATACTGTCATGTAAGAATCACTTGGGAATCGATCATTTTAATTGGCTATCCTCTGTCCTCAGTCTGTCGAACCTTGGGGTTCAATATTCCGGGTCCTTCGTGTGTGTAGCTGTTTTCCTCTACTCAGGAAATGCCTCCTGGCTCTCGTGGCTTCTCTGGACAGAGGCACCTCCGCCGATTCAGCCACCACCTGGGCTTCATTTCTTTCAAACACACCACCAGACCTAGAAAAGATTTGTCAGCACTATTCGTGGGGGTTAAGGGTTATTTTTTCTTAGATAAGAGGTCAAGCGAAGAAAGTAGAACATATTTGCTCCTTTTGAAACTAAGGACAAAAGGGTCAGAGAAAATGCTTTTGCAGCTCCGTTTAGCCATTCTATTTTGTTATGAGAAAGTTGTTTTAAGCCTGCCTCTGCTCCAACCAAATCCCTGTTTAGATATCAGAGTCATAGCTCCCTGATCCGACTACCCGAAGCCTGCATTAGCTTCACCCTCCGCTAGTGCCTTGTGGTTGCGAAATGAACCACTCAGAACCATACCACTCTGACAGAGAGCTTAAAGGAAGCTCAGCCAGGCAGAGTCAAAGGGGGCGTGCTAGGGCGCCCCGGGTCTGCCACGCTACACTCAGGCCTGTGCAGCTGAGCTGCTTAATTGGGTTCTTGCTCCTCACAAGCCTCCAAATAGCCATTTGAGTACCGGAGTTGGTGGTGGAATTTTTTTTTTTTTTTCATCTGGCTAATAAGATTTTCCAAGTCACCAAAGCCAGAGGGGTTTGGGAAAGAAAGCCTTCTTTGTTAAGCAAAGCAAGTTCTATGGGACTTTCTGCGTTTGAATTTAGGGAAACCGACCCAATTAAGTTGTGAAATGATTGTGAATATTGAGGCATCTTAGTGGAAAAGGCAGCCTCTGACCCTGATGAGCATGGGCTAGGAATATTGGTTTTAGTGCAAATCCCTCCTTTGAAAGAGACGAAGGCTGGGACTTTGTTCCAAAGAATCAAGAAACATCACAGAGTCAAAGGCAGCAATAGACTCTCCAAAGAGTCTGAGAATTTAAATGTGTTTGTGTTTCCAGCCATCATGCTACAGATTTATTTTTTATATAAACTCAGAAAGTAGCCAGCATTGGCAGATGAGTAGAAGTCGGTGAAATTTCTTTTAAAGCTGAGTGAAGTATTCCATTGGGTATTAGTTAAGGCTTCTAAGCCAAGGTAGAGGTCTAGAATAATATATTTTATGTAAATTTACAAGAAGCTTGATTTCCTTCTCATATATCCATATTTAACACTTTAATATACCCTATTAGCAATAGATAGCAAACAGTAGGAAATGATCTCCATTCTAAGTGCTATAGCAAAGGAGGCCTTTCAAGTCAACGCAGCAAGGGAGTGATAATCCTAAATGATTAGTTGTGTAACCCAAACATACTTCCAATAGGCTTTCAGATTTGAGTTTGAGCGTGTCTGATTTCTTGAGCATGAAGGAAGCTGGAGGGAGAGGCCGAAGGGAGGGGAGGACGTGCCTGTCTAAAGGAGGCAGCAGCTTTCTGTCTCCAGCAGATGGCTGCCAGGTGGCAAAGATGCCCAGCAATGTCAGTTATTCTGATTTTTCTAAAGAAGCTGGAAATCCAGATTTATGTGTGAAATCTTCTGATATAAGAACACGGCAGCATCTAATTTAAAAAATGTAAACAACTTGTGTTTGGCAGGGCTAAAATTATGTCTTAGCATACAAAGATCTCAGATGGTACGAAAAGACATCTCTTATTGAAACAACAGGTGTCTAAGATTGATACAGTCTACACCTGTGTATTTCTAGGGAAGTGGTTCTCAAGGTGTAGTTGCAGAACTAGCAGCATCATGACCTCACCTAGGAACTGGTTAAAATACACATCCCTGGGCTTCACCCCAGACCTACAGAATTAGGAAATCTAGAGGTACAGCCCAGGGACCTGTGTTTTAACAAGGCCTGCAGTGCTTCTGATGCAGCTGAAGTTGGAAACCTTTGTTTTTGGATATTGTCTGTTGAGTTTCACGACTTCAGTATTTTTGTTTCATTTATTTTCCAAATGTTTTAAGGAGGGCAAACTTTTTTTCACATTTTATTTGAAATATTAGTAGATACAATGCAAACCAGAGCTTCCATAGGGGAAGTGGAGATGGGGAGTTTCCAGTCCCAGTCCATTACACTTCCTCTTGTCTCCTCTCCACTGAGGTTCCCACACCACCCCTGACCCAAGCAGCTGGTAGAGTAGTCGGCCAACCATTTGTCAAATATGCTTCATCTTTCTTTTTCCAGAAAAGAGTTGAAACGTTGAAATGAAATAACTCCTTATCTAAGAGGAGACATTTGCTGAGAATGAGATCTTACGATTTGTCAATTTAGCAAAACATTAGTCAAAGATTTGAAGCATAATATAAAAGAGCACCCAATATAAGTATAACTTAAAAACCTATCAATAAATGAACACTGACCTCTTAACAGCAAGCACTGAAAATTCTAATACAAACAAAAAGACGTCATACTGGGGAAGACAAATTAAGGAGCCAGAAGGACTTAAATGCTCATCCTGACTTTTCCTAGGGCTTATTTGTTAGAATCACGGATGTGACATCATTGGTAAAGTCTTCTTGAAACACAGCCTAAGATGAGCTGACTTTACCACTCTTCATATATCCCTCACTTGGGGAAACCGAAAGTTTGAGTTAAAGTTCTATTGGATACCAGGCTTTTTGGGGAAGCATATGTAAGCAAAAGATAATTAATTGCTTCAAGACATGTTTTCACCCTCTATTCCACTTACAACCTGAAAGGCAGGCCATCTTTTGATTATGCCAGCCCTTAATAAAAGATTTTGGAATAAATGAATCAATATCCAACTCTCAGTTGAATAATCCTTTCACTAGCTCTTTGGTGCTGTTATCTTTAAGAATACTTTCATAGCAGATGAGGAAGGGTTGGCTAGAGCCACTCACAGTCTTTATCTGGCTTCTTTATCCATTACCTCTTGTTCCACTTCAGAATGTGTAATGTTTTGAAGGGAACTGCAGCTCAGTTTTGAAAAGTAGAAACACAGGGAAGGGGCAGAAGGTGAGAGATGGCAGTTATTCTCCATCTGAGATCATGTATCTTTCATCGCAGGTACCAACTCCAATGTATCTGCCTGAAACCATGCACAGGAAGTCAATCTTAGGCAGAGCACTGTATCTGCCCCAAAATGTTACCAGTGCCAAGGCTGAGAAACACTCCTCTGTAGGACAAAACACTCCTCTGATGTAGGACATCAGAATCACTCAAGATGTTGATTGAATAAATCTAGGATGAAGCCTGAGAAACTTTACTTTTTCAAAATCTCCACAAGGGATTCTGATGTCCAGCCTGAGGTAAGAATCATGGCTATAAGCACATGTCCAGATTCCAGGAAGGAGTGCTGAAATCTGAAATCTATTAGTGATGTCTGCCTGGGATGTCAGAAGGCAAAGTAAAAGTATGCGCCTCCCATATTTTCTGACATGGTTTTATAGTTTACTCATTTTCCTACAAGACACAATCATTTAAGCCTTTATTATTACTAATCTATCAGAAAGAATCTTAGGGGAGAGAAAGAAATGCAAAGGAAAAGGATGCTATCAGGGAAGAAAGAGCCACAAAAACCAAGGCTCTCTAATCTTTGTATTTCTTAAGAACTTACACTTTTCTACAAAGTAAAGCCACTGAACCACCAAAAATTATCTCATATATCCAAAGTTTTCTATTTCTAAACTAAAGAACAAATCAAAATTGGTTAGACCTAAAGGGAACTCACAGTGTCAAAATCAAGACGGCCCCAAATCAAAGAGAAGCCCAACAAAGAAAAATTTGGTATTAGTAAGTTTTCATAGACAAATTCATACACACATCTCTCATTTCCTTAATATTTCTATCACATAAGAATCAGAAAGATGCTGTTATACCTTGTGACCTAAAACAATCAAGTCTGAAAGGATATTGGGATCACCTAGGTTAACCCCTGACCTTACAAATAAGGAAATTAAGGCCCAGCTGGGATGAATGACTGTTCTTATGCACTTCCAAATTTTTCCTCAGTAATTCTCACTTTACCTACTCCTCATACTCATAGTGACTTTGAATCTAAGCTCTCTACCTTCTCTATATCCATCAATTCTCTCTCTTGTACTCATTTCTTTCACCATCCAGTTTACATTCCACGTCCTCCACTTCAATTTCTCTCTTGCCAACATCCTCAGCTTCTACTCATCACTCGACTTCCTTGAACTCTCTTCAAATCTGCAACCCAAGATCTTTTGAATTGTTCTCATTCTTCTAGCTGGGCTGTCCTGTCTGGCCAGACAAAATAATGTAGAAATGAATATAAATTCATTTATTTCTCACCTCACTGCCTCCTAGCTTCTGCCCAACTATTCCACAAAAATTATTTTCACTGGCCATCAATGGCAGTCTTGCTGCTAAACTCAGGGCCACTTTTAGGATTCATTTCTATTGCTCTCTTAGCTGCATTTGCCCTTAGTGATCACATCTTTCTTACTGAAACACGTTTTCCCTTTGCTTCTGTGTTTTTGTCTACTCCTCTGACCATTCCTCAGACTCTTTTATGGGGTTTTCTTTCTCCTCTTGGTCCCTAAATGATGTACTTCAGTGTTTTAACCTTAGACCTTCTTCCTCTCATTTCTATAGTCATCCATTCTCATGGATTAGGTACTATCCATGTCAGTGGCTCTCACCTGGGGGTGATTTTGTCCCCTGGGGACATTTGGCAATGTCTGGAGACATGTTTCATTGTCATGACTTGGACACGCTACTGGACCTAGTGGACAGAGGCCGGGGATGCTGCTGCACATCCCACTGTGCCCTGGACAGCCTCACAACAAAGCTGTATCTGTCCCAAAATGTTACCAGTGCCAAGGCTGAGAAACACTCTTCTGTAGGACAATGAATCTCAAAACTGTTTCTCTCCTGGGGGGTCCTCAGAGTCAGAGCCACATTTCTAGCCATCCACTGGGTCTTTCCACTTGATGTTCCTCAGGCATGACAGACTCAAAATGTGTCATCTTACTCTGAAAACCTTGCCCCCTCCGGTGTTCATTGTTAATATTAATAGCACCACCCTTCACCCCCTCACTCATGCCAGAGCTCAGAGTGCCGTCCTTCATTCATTCTTCCCCTCACCACTGAAATACTATCGTCAATAAAATGCTGACAATCTACCACTTCAATATCTCTGAAATCCATCTACCACTCCTCTTTGTTGGACTTCTACTTCAGTCTTCTTGACATTCATCCCCCGCTCTATCCTGTAACAAACATGTTGGAAACCTTCTCTATTTTAGTTCTACTGAATACAGTACAGCTGGTGTGTGACGTGCTGCTATTGGCCACAGAAGCCAGCATATTCCGCTCTCTCTGTCTGCAACAGTTTGCATTTGTCTGAGATCTCTTTCTCCATAAGCGTGTGTGTGTGCATTCTCTCTCTTTCTCTCTCTCTCTCTCACACACACACACACGCACACACACAACACACACACTTTATCCGATGAATTCATTCAGGTCTCAGTGTTGGATGTCATTTCCTCAAGGAAGCTTGCTATAAGACTTAGAGCCTGCGTGTCCCCCTTCTACTGTCCCATGGCACCCCATTCTTCCCTAACATAGTACAACAACACTGTTTGGATAACTTGCCAACTCGATTGGAATTTCTATTTCCTTTTTATGTTACTGATGCTTATCACATTCCCTGCACATTGTGGGCACTGGATAAATGTCCAGTAAGTGAATAAGTGAATAATCCACTGTTCATTTATATAGTTAGTAACAAATTTAGGTCCTCATGAATGTTCTTTCTCAAACAACTGTTAATAAAAATTTGGCCACCTTAAAAATTTTTTTTGGTTAAGAACAATTTAATTTAAGACAAAAGAAATTAGAAATTATATCACACTTTATATATTTGGTTATTTATAGATGGATAATATGCAAATATTTTGTGAAGAATTGAGCTTCCATATAAAATTGTATCAGTACAATCGATACTTACTTTCATACATTTAGTGACAATGTATTCCTAAATTGGTATAGAACATATGCATGCTCTCTGAACTGACTACAAAGTGTTGGATAATAAACCAGAAAAGTTAACATCATACTTTTATTTGATCTTTTGACTCAAATAAGGTGCACAAACTGTTTACTGGCACCTGCATTTGATCCTCATTTCTTAAATGTTCAACACTGCTTACACTTAGCTTCCCAAACGGGATCATTCTAAAGCCACCCCACTGAGCTTTCTTTGCAACTGTGCTTAAGGGTGATATTTATGCACAAGTGCTAAGTCTAAGTAACTTCTATGGTTGGAAAAAAATCCCAAGAAAGATAAAAATGAAGACCAAGGTGAATCCCCAGCACTGCCTCCATACTTTTTGGTGCCTCCATACTGCACCATTCTTGCCACACAAAAGCAGAGATTACTGATGAGTTTCAGCCTCCTACTGTATTAGGTTACACTGTGTAAAACAAATCTACCACCAGGATGTGAACAAGGGGATGCAGGAAATGACATTCCACAAGGTTTGGGCAACTCTATGGATTAAACTTAATTCTTCATCCTGGGGATATGTGAGCTTAGACCTTAGTCATTATTCAAACCTTTGTGAAATGAAAATCCCTTCATCATGGTGTAATATACGGTGAAAATGAACTTCTTCCTGGAATATAAAAGAAAGTAAAATACTTTTTGCTGATGTTCTTTCATAAACTCTATACAGTAACTGCAGAAATCAAATGATTTACTCTCTTAGGCTTAATACATTTTCAAATCCCTAGACCGTTTGATGGACCTTCTACTACCTGGCCTTCTGTCAAACTGTAACTTATCTGTGACACCATTAGAAACTCATATTAAAATGGAAGCTGTAGAATTCAGTTGGCTGATACCATCATGCCCTTCCCTTCATTGGAAAATGGCCCAAAATGTTTCATCTCTGCAGTCCTCTAAGGTAAGGAAAAAAGTCCATGAAGAGGAGTAGTCCTCATTAATGAATTCCTCATATGGCATTCTTCTGGGTTGTTTGTGAGCCATTTCAAAATTGAAAGAAAATTATTCATTCAAAGAATTTAACTACCCATACTGAAGGTCAGCCTCTACAAACGTTGGGTACATCATACCTGAATAAAAGCATTAAAAGCTTAGTAGGGAAAGCAGACATATAAAAATAATTATAGCATAGTATGATAAACACTGTATTAAAAGTTATTGGGTCCTTGTCACTTGCCAAATACTATTCTAAATGCATGATATGGATAAACCCATTTAATCCCTATAATGGCCCTATGAGGTAGGTTTTATTCTTACACCTTCTCCCCACCCATAATAAGTGTGATGGACTTTTAACATGTCAGTTTTTCTAGGCTACAGTCTCCAGTTATCTAGATAATAATCTGGGTGTTGCCATGGTTGTACCTTATAGATGCAATTAAAGTCCATAATCAGTTGATTTTAAGTAAAGGGGATTATCCCAGATAATCTGGGTGGATATGGTTCAATCAGTTGAAAGGCCTTAAGAGCAGAGTTGAGGCTTCTCTAAAGAAGAAATTCCAGTCTTGTACAATAGTTTTTACCTGTGCCCCAGAGTTCCAGCCTGCCTTTCCTGACAGCCTGCCCAGTGGGTTTTGGACTTTGACAGCCTTCACAATTGTATAAACCAGTTCCTTTCAATAAATTCCTTACTGTATATCTCCTACTGGCTCTGCTTCTCTAGTAGAACCCTGACTTATACAATAGGTGAATAAACAAAGCCAAGGAGGCTAAGTAACTTGTCCAAGCTGATAGGGCTAATATGTGATAGAAGACAATTTTAACTCCTTAAGTCTGAGTGCAAAGCCCCTGGGTTGACACAACCATATTTGTGTATCTGATAGAATAACATGTTCAAAAGAGGCACAAACAGGAGATCCTTACTTCTAATTGATAGGATTGGTGGTGGTGAAGAAAGGCCTCTCCTAAGGAGATTGAAGGTGGAGGAAATGCTTAAACTGGGTTTTCAGGGATAAGTTGAGCTTTGCAAGGTGACTAGGATATGAAGACACACAAGATGAAGATGCTAGAAAAGCTCTGCATGTGGTGCAATGATACATGGAAACACACACATGCGGGAATCAAGCATTTCATGTCACTGCCTGGGATCTTAGTCTCCAGTCTCTCACCCTTGAAAAGTTGGAGTGGATGGCCTCTAAAGCTTACTGTAAAGAATAAATAGACAACCTGTGTAAAGAATCTTACAAGCTCCCTGGCACAAATAAGTGTCTATAAAATCACTTCCTTTCTCCATCACACCAATGTCTCCCTCCCCTCCAAAGTTACCTCCAAGTAGCACATGTTCTGATCCTGATGATAAATTAATATGGCAGACATGCCATTATATTCCACCCCTTTCTCTGTAGAACTAAACAGAATATACCCACTGTGTGCCAAGAGCTGGCTTGGCCATGGGAGAAGTCATAATAAAGAAAACAGATTTGGTCTCTAACCCCAAATTGTTTGCAATCTAGTCTGAATGGCATAATTTTAAGGGGTCTATAATAACTGATATGAAGAGAAAAATACACCAGGCTAAGACAGCAAACAGGAAGGGGCTTTAACTCAGGCTGGGGTTATCAAGGAAGGCTTCCTGGAGGAAGGGGCATCTCAACTGGAACTTGAAAAGCAAATAGGAGTCCGCTAAATGGCTGTTGTTAATTAGTAGGAAGAGTCCATGTGAAGTCATAGTTCATAGCTGAAGAAGTGAGTGGCGTAGGGAATTCCCAAAGCACCCCTTACCCACTCCCTGCTTAAAGATCATCTGTGGACCAACAAGTTAGTTTGGTCAGCCTTTTGGCTGGCAGTGCTCAGACAGTGAGAAGGACCCTTATATGGAATCTCTTTCCATCCTGTACAAGCCAGATGTGAAAATAAACATGCCTGCATTCAAGTTCACTCCATTGCACATTTTCCTGTACTTCTACTGAAGGTTAGAATGCTAACTCACTTGGCATTTCAACCAGACTCCAGCTTCTGCCTAGCTGGCTGGCTTCCAATGCCAATTTAATGGCCTGTGGTGTGATAACAAAAATTTAGCTTCTGTAGTAAAATGGAAGGTAATAATTTGAGTGGGAGGGGAAAGTGCAGCCATTTTCCTGTGATGTTACAGAAACTTTTCTAGCCACATTTGATCAATTTTAATCTTATTTTTCCCTTATAGGTCTTCTATTTTTTTCTTGTTATGCCAAAAGAAACATTTTATGAGAAAAGTCATAGGATTTATATGTTCTCTGAACTAGAGTTTTACTAGAAATTTATGTGAAATCGACCTATGTGTGGACTCTTGGGACAAGATCACGAATAAACAGTCCTGATGGAACTGAATATACCAGTCATTCAGAGAAAAGAGCAGAAAGAGGTCATAATCAGACACCTGAGCCTCATTTAAATAGGAAGCCCAGACCTCAGGAAGAGCTACAGCAAATGTTTGCTATTAAAAGAGGGTCCCAAGGACTTCAGCTACTTGGCATAGGCCTGCATCCCACTCCACACACACAGGGGAATGACATTTCCCAGAGGGTACTGCTGAGGGGGCCTTTGTCTCAGTTCTCACTTAGAGAGCTGAAAGTCAATATGGTGGGACACTTCTCAGAGGTCTCAGTAGCATGGAACATTGTGTCAAACTGGGTGACCATGTACAAGGAGTGGCCTGAAGTTATTTGACTGAAGGAATCCCTGCTCCCCGGTGAAGTCCAGTTACCACAAAGACAAGACCGCCCTGTACCAGTCTGGGGTAAATGAAAGGCATCAGCAAAGCTGGAGGTTGTAGGTCAGCAGCAAGTCCCA
Source organism: Homo sapiens (assembly GCF_000001405.40). NCBI lineage: Eukaryota > Metazoa > Chordata > Mammalia > Primates > Hominidae > Homo > Homo sapiens. Next base: position 42,513,113 of record NC_000007.14, on the reverse strand, counting down.
GGAAAATGTGCCTGGAAGTCACAGAATATCAGCAAGGTCAAAGGGAAGCAGGAGCTGGGCCTAAGCAGAGCTGTGCAGAACTAGAGTGGCTTCAGAAGACACAACAGCAAAGACCCAAAAGGACATCAGTATGCACCCACTGGTGGAAATGGGATGACAACTTCATTTGTGTGCAATGAAAAGGCCGTGGTCCTGCATGCATGCACCTGGGTGCACATTGTGGGGTTGGGGGGTTGTGGAGAACATTTATTCTCCCCCCATTTTAACAGAGACAAGGAGGTGGCAGAGGCCCCATCCTGGCACAGAATCAAGAGCCTGTGGATCACGTCTCCGAGGAAGGCATGAGGAGAAGAATGTTTTCTGTGCTTTGTCAGAGTTCACGCTCACTCCTTGGCCATCTTGAGCCTGAACTATTGTGGAATAAAATACCCGGAAAATGACGGAAGAGATTTTGCCCAAGGTTAAGGGGACATGCCTGCTCTGATCATATCTGGCCATGGAGGGAATGCCTATGAAACTAAGAGGAAAGTGACTGCTTAGAAAAGGAGAAACAAAGAGAGAGAGAAAGTGAGAGAAAGAGAAAAGGGATAGGATTCTCCTTTTAGATAAACCAGAATTACTAGGACAGACTTATATGAATTTCTAAATCTCAGCAGCTCTTCTATTCTTGCCTTAATTGAGTCTTTTCTTGTTACAAAGAATAAAGAGAAACTTCAATGACACTTCAGTTGAACAGACATGAGATAGGTAAGCTAGAACATAAATAAAGGCAACACATTTAGAACTGGGGTTCACAGAGAAATAGATGCACCTGCATTTGGAAATCAGGCCTTCTAGAGAAGTAGAATATCATGAAACATTCACCCAGTCCCAGTAACCTGGATATCCAGTGATCTCTTTAGCAGCTGTCAATCATTGCTGCTGCGTGCTCTCCCTTTCTGGCTCTCAGCTACTTGCTGGCCAGCACACATGGACTGATTGCTACTCACCTTAGGGCTTCTGCCAACTGTGGCTTCCACCTATTCGCTTCTCTCTGCTTCTCACTTGCTGTTCCTTAACTGTCTTCCAGATGTTCTTCCCCAACTGTCTTATAGGTGCTTTGAGATGCTGCCAACAGATGCTGTTGTGTCTATTCAAACTCCCTAAAGTGCAGATCTGAACACTCAATGGCAAAGTTTGGAGCCATCACCAACTCATCCTGCTCATTCACTGGGGGCCAGTCAGGACAGCAGGGTTACAGCATTTCTAGAGCTGTTTGCAGTTGCTTGCTGGAGCAGCAGGGGCCTGGGCATATCAGTCCATGGTCTCTGCATTAGGAAGACAGCATAATGCATGGGAATGTAGATATCATAGAAAATAAGCAGATCAGTGTCACATGCTCAGAAAACACTATTACAGTAAGAGAGAGTATCATCCTCCCATTAGAAAGAAAACACACACACACATACACACACTTGATAATAGAAGGTGATATTCCAAGGATCTTGGTGTGGATAGAATTGCTGTGTACACTACAGAAAGGAGAAATTTTCTGGTTCCTTCAGAGATGGAGGAGAAGGAAAAGAAAGAGGAGTAGAAGACATGAGTAGTATTACCAGACTCACAAAATGTTTAGCGTGAGAACTCTGTGAAACTGGTGAAGGACTTGAGTTCACTTGAATTCACACCTCATTTGATGAGAAGAAACACATACAGAACCAGAAATAGAGACAAAGAGAAAGTATTTTGAACAAACAGTGTTATACTTAACAATTTGACAAAGTAGAAGTCTCCATAAGACAGAATATTTTATTGAACACATACTGATTACTCATTAAGCATACAATCCTCTAGGAAATACCTTACATTCCTTGTCATAGGTAATTCTCTTAACCCCATGAGATACAGATCCTGAATTTACAGAAGAATCTGAGGCTCAGAGCAGTTACGTAACTTGCATGAGGTCACATAGCTGTAAGTGTTGGTGCTGTCTTTATTTGTGTCATTAAAGTTCTTTGGCATATGGACTCACTAGAGATGTCTTTTTTTCTTTGCCTTTTTAATGATATAAAATTTACAGCTGAGGCGCAGTGGCTCATGCCTCTAATCCCAGCACTTTGAGAGGTGGAGGCAGGCAGACTGCCTGAGCTCAGGAGTTCGAGACCATCCCAGGCAACATGACAAAACCCTGTCTCTACAAAATATACAAAAATTAGCCTGGCGTGGTGGTGCGCACTTGTGATCTCAGATATTTGCTGAGGCATGAAGATTGCTTGAGCCCAAGAGGTGGAGATCATGTCACTGCACTCCAGCCTGGGTGACAGAGGGAGACCCTGTATCTTAAAAATAAATAAATGAATAAATATAAATAAATAAATAAAACTTACTTTGAGTGAAATATGCAGATATCAAGTGAATGATGTGGCGAGCTTTGATGAATGTGTCAACTTTTGTATCCATCACCACAAACAAGATGTCGCACATTCCCACTACCTCAGAAGGTTTCCTCATGTCCTTGCCAGGGCTCCTCACTTCCCACAGGCAGCCCTAGCTCTCAGTGTCTATCCTGCTGGGTTAGTTTTGCCTATGTTTGACCTTAATTGGCCTTAATGGAATTGTACATTATATGTCTTGTGTAAGCACAAGCCTCTTTCAGTCCGCAGTACGTGAGGTTTCTATGCCTTGCATATATCAGTAGCTCATTCCTCTTTTTTTTTTTTTTTTTTTTTTTTTTTTGTGAGACGGAGTCTCGCTCTGTCGCCCAGGCTGGAGTGCAGTGGCGCGATCTCGGCTCACTGCAAGCTCCGCCTCCCGGGTTCACGCCATTCTCCTGCCTCAGCCTCCCGAGTAGCTGGGACTACAGGCGCCCGCTACCACGCCCGGCTAATTTTTTGTATTTTTAGTAGAGACGGGGTTTCACCGTGTTAGCCAGGATGGTCTCGATCTCCTGACCTCGTGATCCGCCCGCCTCGGCCTCCCAAAGTGCTGGGATTACAGGCGTGAGCCACCGCGCCCGGCCGCTCATTCCTCTTTATTGCTCAATAGTATTCCACTGTAAGAATAAACCACAAATTGTTTATCCATTTTTCTACTGAGACACATTTGCATTGTTTCCAGTTAGGGGCTATTATGGACAAATCTTACATAAACATTCATGTAAATGTCTATTGTGGACATATGTTTTCACTTATCTTTGGTAAATACTTAGGAGTGGGATTGCTGCTTCTCATGTAGATGTATGTTTAACTTTATAAGAATAGCCAAACAACTTTCCAAAGTGACTGTACCACTTCACACTCCCCACAGCAATGTATGAAACTGCCTGTTGCTCCATAATCTTACCGCATTTTGCATATCAGTCTTTTTTATTTTAGCCATTTCATGGATGCAAAGGAGTATTTCCTTATGGTTTTCCTTTGCATTTCTGATAACAAATGATGTTGAGCAAATTTTCCTCTGCTCATTTGCTATTCCTGTATCTTCTTTGGTGGGTGTCCAATTTTTTGCCCTTTTAATTGAGGTGTTTGTGTTTTATTGTTAATTTCTAAGAGTTCTTTATATAGTCTCCATTTAAGACTACTTTCAGAAATATGTATTGTAAATATTTTCTCTCAGATGTGACTTGCCTATTCATCTTCTTTTTTCTTTTCTGATACAGGGTCTCACTGTCACCCAGGCTGGGGTGCAGTGGCACAATCATGGCTCACTGTAGCCTTGACATCTCAGGCCCAAGCAATCTTCATATCTCAGCCTCTCAAATAGCTAGGACTACTTGGCTACTAGTAGACATGAGCCAACATGCCTGGCTAATTAAAAAAAAATTTTAGAGATGGGGTCTTGCTGTGTTGCCCAGGCTGGTCTTGAATTCTGGCCCCAAGAGATCCTCCTGCCTTGGCCTCTCAAAGTGTTGGGATTACAGGTATGAGCCACCACAGCTGGTCTGTGTTCATCTTCTTAATTCTGCATTTTGCTGAGCAGAAATTTTTTATTTTCATAAAGTCCAATTTATCAAAATTTTAAATGTTTACTACAGTTTTTGTCCTTTAAAAAATATATTTGCCTCCTCAAAACCATTGACTTATTTTCTTGTTTTCTTTCAGGAGCTTTATAATTTTAGACTTTACATATAGGTTTATGATCCATCTCGAATGGACTTTTGTGTGAGCTATGTTTCAAGGTTCATTTTTGCCCTCTACATTTATCTAATTGCTCCAATACTGATTATTGTAAAGACGTTCCTTGCCACATTGAAATGCCTTGGTACCTTGCCAAAAATCATTACAAGTATCTATATTGTTCTATTTCTATATTCTCTATTCTTGTACCATTGATCTATCTTTGTATATTTAATTTATTAGCATTCTATCTTATTTCATAGCTTTACATTAGGTCTTGAAAACAAATAAGGTAAATGAATCCTCTAATTTTGAAATTATTTGTCAAGCTTATTTTGGAAATTTTAGTTACTTTGCATTTCCAACTTTAAAGAAGTGTGCTGAGACTTTTATTGCTACTGCATTAAATCTATAGGTTAATTAGAGGATAAATGACTAGCTGTAACATTTGCACTATAATTCTTACTGGAGATCAAGGGCAGTCCAGAAGAAATAAGAGAGGAGATAGCAGAAAGACCAAGGTTGATATAAAATCACTGACAGAAGAGAAAGTGCACCCTAAGTTGTTCAGATTGAAAAAGAATCATGATGGATGAGTACAAATTACAGGGAAAGAGGCTTAAGAGACTCAAGGAAGCAGTCTTGCAAAGGCAATCCTTCAGAAGAGAAAAGAGTAAAATGAAAGCAATAGCAACCCTTTGAAAACTGTGCAGTAAAGAGAAAAAGAGGCAAGAAACATATTTAGGTTCTTTCAAAACGAAATAATGCCAAATATCCAAGGACATAAGACCATCCCCCATTTTCACTACAGAAGCCATTAGATAAGTAAACTGTACATTGCTCTTCTGGCAAGAGGGTGATTGTGAACTAGCAATCTTATAGACCACTCTATACTAACAGATCTGAACTCAAAATGCAGGCATAGGTACAAGAAATATTCATTTATTACAAAACTAATATAAAAATAAAAAATCAAACTGAAAATCAAATATAATAGAAATTAAAATCAAAACTTCTCTATTGGTAAACAGTTTCCCTCACACACACACAGAAACAATAACAAGGCAGAAGAAAACTATGACACAACACTTCAGATTTAATTAAGTACTCTCCCATAAGCATTTGGGAATATATAAAAAAAATCCCACCTTGAATCAGAAATCTAAAAACCAAGAAAATAGATATACAAAAAGCAGCACAAAAGAAAATTATATTTGATTAAACTTCTGAAAGATATAGAAGAAAAATCCAAAATCGTATTAAATAAAGAAGAAATTACAATGTTCCCAAGAAAGAATGAATTCCAATGAAAATTTAATAAAGGGCATAGGAACAAAACAGAAACATAACCAAGACATGAACATAGAATAGAGAGAGAAGTAAAGATGTTCATGTAGAAAGTGTTTGAAGTGGAAGACAAAGAAAGAGGATCCAGCTTATGTATAATTTGAATCTCAAAAGACAAAAAACAAAGCCATAAAAAAGAAGTAACATGTGAAACTATAATCCAAAAGCATATTATAAAAATAAAAGAAAAAATTACCAAAATATTAAAAGGACTCACCAGGTACCCGGGAAAATTGGCCCACAAAAGTCAATCCATAGATATGTCCCAGTAGACCATTAGATCTTAAATAGAATAAATCCTCAAAGCCTCCTCTTCATAAAAAGAACACATATGCAAGGCAGCAGTAAAGATGCATTTTAAAAAACTCAAGGAAAAAAGTATGAAGCAATAATTTTATATCCAGTCAAGGTGTATTCTAAGTATCAAGGCTATAGATAAGTAGTTTTAAATATGCAAAGAATTAGGAAATTCTATAACCACAAGCCCTTCATGAACAATTTTCTAGAGTATGAGCTTCCTCTAAACAAGAGATCACTGGGAACCGTTTAACAAAAAGACCAATGGTGATCATTTAATATGTATAGTAATAGATCTAAAATTAAAATAGAAACAAGGATAAAAGTAAAATTATAATGTTCTATGCTGTATATTATGTGTTATATGCTGTAGTAGCATCATATTAACAAATTACAATGGCATTTAATCAATTAATTAAAAAATATTTACAATATGGCTCACAGAATATAACCCAATATTATATAATGTATACATGTTACTCATTTAAACAAAGACTTTCAGAAAGACTAAAACTAAAGGAATGAGCTGCTGCCACTGCCACCTGTCACTAAGGCTAGCACCACAGAGCATCTCACAATTAGGGGCATGGGGAAGCTGTCCAAGAACCAATTAATTAATGGGCTACCTCTCCAATGCTCAGAGGGAGAAAGAAGAGGTAACACAGAATTAAACTGGCATTTCTTCAAGGTAAGGTGAAATATGTGCACTGCACCCTGTCTCTCACAATAAATGCAGCTCTAAAACCTAGATCAGCAGTGAGTTTCACATTTTTTTTTTCACCAGTATTCCACAACCTGATCTCAATATAAACCAAAACTCGAAAGTGTGTCCTAGACACAAACGGACATCTCCAGGAGAAGCCCTCTGGAACTCCTCTGCTTTGAGGTGTAGAGAAATAACTACTAACACATAGACAGTGTGAGGAAAAACACTGTTTTTTTCTCAAGTTTCCTTTTGTGGCAATGGTGGCAGCAACAGAAGTAGCACTGGATGCCATAGTCTTTATAAGAGGAGGAGCCTTCCTCTGTGATCCGAGGAGTTTTGGTTCCAAGACAGTCATGCAAACTCATTGCTCCTTCTCTTTCTAACCACTTACTGCCTGGTTTTGCATATGGATGCAGTCATGGGACATGCATATCAAAATGGTGAAACTAAAATTCAAGACTTTTGGCTGGAAGACTGAAAAAGGGAGCTCCAGGGAAGCAGAAGTTACCAGGAACAGAGTGGAGAGAGAGCACCTCAGAAATATGACCATGAAGTTGGTGCTGAATTCTTGGGCTCACCCCAGAACTGTATGTGTGTGGCACACATGGGACAAATTTGAACTTAAAGCTTTAAAAACTGAGTGGGTATTAAAACTACAATCCACAGGAGACTGGTAATAACTTGCAGCCTAAATCAAATAAGGTTGATTGCCTGCAAAAACAAAAAGTAACATTCTCTATAGGATTTGAATAAAGTTCAGGGTATCATAATGTAATATTCAAAGAAGGCAAGACACAATTAAAAATTATGCATCATAAAAACAATCAGGAGAATCTCACTCATATGGCAAAAGATAATCAACAGACTCCAAAGTGGAAGGACACAGATGTTGGTATTATTTGACAAAGACTTTACAAAGCTATTATAAAAAAATGGTCAAGAAGTAATGAAATGAATGGAAATATTTTAAAAGTCTCAGCAAAGAAACACTAGATATAAAGAAGAACCAAAGGAAATATTAGAACTTAAAAATACAGTAATCAAAATTTAAAACACTGAGTAGGTTTAAATAGGATCAATACCAGAATGGAGATGATGGAATAAAGAATTAGTGAACCTCAAGATAAATTAATGGAAATTATCCAGTATAAATGGCACAGAGGAAAAAGCAAAAAAAGCTTCCCAGGAAGGTGTTGGAAAATACCAAAAGGTCGACTTTTGTGTCATTGGAGTTTCAGAAAGAGAGGAGAAAGAAGACAATGCAGAAAATCACTTAAAGAAATAATAACAGAAAATTTCTCCAATTTGTCAAAAGACATAAATTCAAAGACTCCAGAAGCTGACTTCACTTCAAACAGGATAAACCCTGTGTGCACATGCACATACACACACACACACACACACACAAATAATGCCCAGACATATCATAATCAAATCAATGTAAACAAAAAACTTCAAAACAGCCAAAGAAAAATGATATATTACTTATAACAAAGTTTGAAAAACTGTGCTTTCTTCTATTCACAATAGCAAAGACTTGGAACCAACCCAAATGTCCATCGATGATAGACTGGATTAAGAAAATGTGGCACATATATACACTATGGAATACTATGCAGCCATAACAAAGGATGAGTTCATGTCCTTTGTAGGGACACGGATGAAACTGGAAACCATCATTCTGAGCAAACTATCGCAAGGACAGAAAACCAAACACCACATGTTCTCACTCACAGGTAGGAATTGAACAATGAGAACATTTAGACACAGGCAGGGGAACATCACACTGGGGCCTGTCATGGGGTAGGGGGAGGGGCGAGAGATAACATTAGGAGAAATACCTAATGTAAATGACGAGTTAGTGGGTGCAGCACACCAACATGGCACATGTATACATATGTAACAAACCTGCACATTGTGCACATATACCCTAGAACTTAAAGTATAATAAAATAAAAACACTAACCAAAAAAAAGAAAGAAAAATTGTGCTTTCTTGTAAGACACCATTTATTCCAGAGGAATTGAGATAATATTTTTGAAGTATTTAAAGAACAGAATTATTGACCCAGAATTCTATATCCACCAACAATGTTTTTCAGAAATGAAAGTGAAATAAATACATTCTAAGACAGTCTCAGCTAAGAAAAACTATAAAAATTCATTGCCAGCAAATTTGTTCTAAAATATTTACAAAAGGAATTTCTTTAGACAGAAGAAATTACACAAGAACATCAGTAATGAAGGAAGAGGAACAGAAATAGTAAGTACCTAGGTAAATATGACTGACTATACTTTTCTTCTAAGATTCCTTAAAATGTTTGAATTATGAGAGTAAAAACTGACATTATCTGATAAAGTTTTTGATGTATGTAAGTGTAATATATAAGACAACTAAAACATAAAATGGAGAGGGTATAGGGATCTATATGTTTGTCAAAATTTCTACATTATATTTGACATGGTAAAAATTGATTCTAAGTAGACTTGGAAAAGCTAAATATGTATATTGTAATCCCTATAACAAATACTAAAAATTATACAAAGAAATAGAGTACAATACAGATTTTTTTTAAATGGAGTACTGAAAATACTTCAGTGGAGTACTTAAAACCATTCAAAGGAAGATAGGAAAAGAAAACAATGCAACAAAAAAGAGAGGGAACAAACAAAAAATAAATATTAAGACAGTAGACATTAATCAAAACATAATAATTACATTAAATACAAATGATCCTACACACCATTTAAAAGATAGATTGTCAGAATGACTATATATTCTCTATAAGAAACTCACTTGAAATACAGCAAACTACATAGATTAAAAGGTAAAGGATGGGTTTTGGTGTGTCTTACACACACTAACCAAAAGAAAACTGCAGTGGCAATATTAATATAAGACAAATTAAACTTCAGAGCAAAGAAAATTACCAGAAATAAAGAAAGACATTACATATTTTTAAAAGGTTAAATTTACCAAGAAGACATCAAAATCCTAAACGTATCTGTAGAAAAGAGAGCTTTTAAAATTGAAAGAAAAAGCTAAAATAAATGGAAAAACCCATGGTTAATGTTGGAAACTTCAAAACTCCTCTTTCACTAATTGATAGAACTAAAAGGCAGAAAATCACAACGATATAGAAGATAAGAAAAATGCCACTAACAAGCTGGATGTATTTGATGTTTATAGAACACTCCAGCCAACAATAGCAGGATATATATTCTTTTAAGTGCATATGTAACATTTACCAAGGTAGATGACATAGTGGATCATAGAACAAACCTTAACAAATTTTTAAAAACTTTAATCATATAAAGTATGTTATCTGACTTTAAAATATTTAAACCAGATATCAATAACAGAAAAATAAAAGGGAAATCTTCAAATATATAGAAATAAAACAACACTTCTAAATAATCAATTGGTCAAAGAGAAGATCGCAAAGGAAATTTGAAAATATTTTGAAGTGGACAAAAATAAAATACAACATCTCAGATTCTGTGGGATGCAGGTAACCAATGCTTAGAAGAAAATTTACAACATTAAATGCTTATATTTGATAACCTAAATAGTAGATATATCGCTATATGAAGTGCTTCTGAAAAGCGTTATAGTCCTTTAATGAAAAAGGTGAAAGGAATTAACATTTATTGACACCTTATCTTGATCAAGACACTGTATTAAGCATTTACCCGTGCTTTCTTATTTCACTACCATGATAAACTGGAAGGTAAATATTCTCATTATATTCATTTCACAAATGAGGAAACTGTAGCTTAAAAAGGCTAACTTCCCCAAAGTCACACAAATCCATTGTCAAGGCTGATTTAGTTGCTCAGTAAAGCAGTGGCTAAATCATTAAAACACTAAACAGAAAAGCAATGCATGATGGAGGAATAGAGGGATAGAGGGATGGAGGGACACACTGATCGATGAAGAGATAAATAGAAATATGTAGATAAATTTTGTTTTACACGGTACAGCCATGACTCAAATGTACTGTATATAAATAAAACCGGTGGGAGAAAACACAGTCTTTCCACTATAAGGATAGTTCCAAAATTTAGTGCATCATAACCATTATCTAGAATGCTTGTTAGAGCTACAGATGCTCAACTTCCCTCTTAGGAGAGCCCAGTTACATGGGTCTATGAAGGAAAACAGGAATCTGTGTTTTTATCAAGCTCCTCAGGTGAGTATGCCAAGACAAATGGTGGAGATGCTGTAATACACCAAATTCCTAATAAAGACGTAGAGGATGTAAGGAACTGCCTCAGTCTTCTGAGGGATTAGTTCAGATCACATCAACATAGAAAAATGCACCAAAGCCCATACAGCAGGAATTTTATTATATAATTAACATAGCAGTACCTCATATAAATGGAGATGGGTTCAGTGATCAGGGGATGAACTGTGCTAGTCTGTGAAGATGTGAATCACTGCCAAGGTCATGAATCAGCTACAGGAAGGAAGAGGTCAGGATAAGGTCATCTGTTTGTGTGTCTCAGGCCCTGTGTGTCTGAGTCTGGGAGAAGCTTTGGGATACCTTTCATCATTTTATTCAAAAAATATTTTTGGAAATGTAATAATTTAAATTTTCCTGAAGCATGCATTTGAAGATTTTTGGTGGGTACATTGAATGAGCATTAAAGGAACCCAGTCAACCATGAAGAATTTGCTTTTCTTCACTCTTTATTCCTACAAAATGAATTTTGTGGAAAAATACTAATTTTGTGCCATGATGTAACCCACCCCCTGAGAGAAATTTCATCATCAAAGTCAAAATGTGGCTTACTTATATTTTAAAAATATGAGCAAGAAGCCCCAAGAAGTATATTTTAGAAACAAACCCAAAGATTTTATATTTAACAACGAACCCAAATAATTATATATTTCCAAATCACAAATGTCTGTATTTGTGAAAGGTCCTGGGTTCTATCCCTTGGGAATACTGAAGGTCTGTAGACTATACCTCTTTTCTGCATAACATTACACTTAAAAGTATTAATTACAATAGATGCATGTTGGAAATATCAACCGGAATTTGAGGGAAAATCCATGATTATTTAATATATAAAATTAAACTTTTGAAAGCTTATTAAGACTGCATTAGTTTCATCAGTTTTATGTGAATAAAATAAAATTTTGAATACAATGATCTAGCTTCAGACTAAGAGCATAGTAAGTATTATGTTCAATGGAGAAAATTTGCTCTGATAAAAAAAAAATGGGAAGAGTTAATCTGCAGTCTCAAGGGATGATGAGCGACTGCTTTGCAGTATGTTCTTTAGTAAGTGTGCCGACAATGGAAAGGGTCATTCTTCACTCATGTATTAATGGTGCAATTCCTACAACATAGAATAGGTCCAATAGATGTACATTAACTAATTCAACAGGGTCTCGTGGATTCAAAACTGATGATTTGCTTTCACATACTAAGAGAAAAATAATAGATCACATCACAGCTCCTTGGAATTTGGTAGTGGTATACTTTAAATTCAGGATGATACATATTTTGCATGTTTTGCAATATTTTTCCTTTTGAGCTGATGAAAAACATCATTAATCAATTATAGCTCTGTAATACTCCATTCAGGAAGCCACTGCCAAAATTCAAGAAAATGTTGATAGAAGAACCCCACTTGCTAAACCTGCTAAGAAGCTGCTTAATTATTTTGGAAAGAACTAAGTTCAAGGAGGAAGAGTCATGGTATGGACCAAGGACAAAAAAGAAAGAATACAACCACTAGAATGTTTAAAATTTTAAAGGCAATACCAATGTTGGCAAATAGGTGAAGCAGTTGGAACTCATTCATTGCCATTTAAAGTAGACTTCTCCCACTTTGGAAAGCTGTTTGGCAATAAAACAAATATATACTTACTTTTTGTTCCAACAATTCCACTCCTAGGTATATATAAGAGAAATGATTGCATGTGCCAAAAAACATGACTTGTACATGAATACTCAGAACAACTTTATTCATAATAGCCAATGTACAATTATATAAGAACAGGTGAATCAATTGTAGTCTTTCATATAATAAAATATTGCATACCCCACCAAATAGAACAAATTACTTACATATATAACAACATGGATGAAATATCAAAAGATTGAATACTACTGGAATCCATTTATATGAAGTTCAGGGAACTTTCTGGGGTGATAATAATTTTCTAGATCTTGATCTGGCTGGTGATGACATTGCTGTATACATAGGTAAAAATTCACCAAGTTGTACATGTAAGATTATTGTACTTTATATAAGTTATTCCCCAATAGAAAATAAAATAACATAAAAAAATAACAAAGAAAGAGCAGGATGTGTTCATGGCTTGGAGATTACTGTAGGAAGCTCAAAAATGTAACAATTTTCCCCCCCTCTTCGTTCCCTTCTTTGGCTTTTGTTGCTCACTTCTGTAGCTCCTATGTAGCTGGTGTGTTAAGGGAATGAGCCTCTTTCTTGGAAAAAGCATTCCCTTTGTTTAGAAGTTCCAACAGGACTATTCTGGGGCAGGAAAATGGAAGACTAAAGCAGGTTTGTCAATCAGCTTCTCAAAGTACAAAAGTAGCCCAAACTAAGTAATAAGTAAAGAATACCATTTAGGCAGGCATTGACCATTGCTTTGATTTTTAATGGGTATTCCTGGAGTTCCTGGAGAACTCTCTTGAGAGTGTCTCAGGGATCTAGTGGGGAAAATATAACCACAAGCAGCAACTGGTAAGGATTTGGGGATTTGGGGTTCTATAATCTGTTTTCTTAAGCAAACACACAATCTTCTCAAGGTTTTTATTTGTTTGTATGTGTGTGTTGGGGGGGTTTGGTAATATTTTGGTTACAAGGAACAGAAGTATATATAAGCTAACTGAAGTAAGAAGGAAGATTATTAAACCATTGAAAATGAATCTCACAGAATCGAAACATAAAGTATAGCAGGACACCACAGGAAATAAAGTGGGAACTGGAAAATAAATCAGAAACAGAAACAGAGGTGCGTTTTCTACTCCTTTCTCTCTGTGTCTTGTCTCTCCATGTCCATTATTCTCCTACCACAGAGCTGCCTTGTCAGCATACAGATGTGTTGCTCAACATGACTGTGCTAACATGGGTGACAACATGGCAACTTCAATCCCTAAGTGTGACTTTCCATATGTAAAAAGTTTACTCTCTGTCATTGTAGGTTCAGTTAATTAAAGCCTATGAAAGCCTTTTAAGCTTTCAAGATCTGTTTGTTGGGCTAATTCTCAGGGGCTTCTGAATCGAAATGCGATGTTGAACACAGGATAAAATTTTACCAACTCATACAAATGCTATAAAAGCAAATATATGTCTATGTACATTTCAAAAGTATGCATACACACAAAAACCCAAACACAAATAGCTACAGCAGTTTTATTTATAATTGCCAAAAACTGGAAGGAACAAAGATGCCCTTCAATAGGTGAATGGAAAACAAACTGTGGTACATCTATGCAATGGATCACCATTCTGTGATAGCAAGGAATTAGCTATCAAGCTACACAAAACTAAGGATGAATCTTGAACACATATTACTAAGTGCAATAAGCCTGTCAAAGAAGGCTGTAGACTGCATGATTCCTTTTATGTGACATTCTGGGAAATTATAGAAATAGTAAACAGAGCAGTGATTGCCTGCAGCTTGGGGAAGGGAAAATGTTGAGTAGGTGAGGCACAGAGGACTTTTTAGGATGCTAAAACTATTTTGTATGGCACTATAATGGTGGATACATGGATCTATGAATTTTTCAAATCCTATAGAACTTTACAGCACAAGGAGTAAACCTTGAAATTGTGAAAAGAGTGGACTTTAAGTGTTCTCACTACAAAAAAGATAAGCATGTGAGAGAATGCATATGCTAATTAGTTTGTTGTAGCCATTTAATAATGTATACATGTATCAAAACATCATGTTGTGTACCACAGTATATATAGCTTTTATTTGGCATTTTAAAATAATTTTTAAAGCAAACGAAAAGAGAAAACAGTGAACCTTAATGTATACAATTTTTAAAAAGTCATTTAGAAGGTCTAGGATTCCAGGTCTGGGATGCAAACTGCGACATAAGAATCTAACTGTGCTACCTGTGAGTATATAAAATAATATCATTGAAGAAGATGGGAGAAAATGTGCTGACCTTAGTAACTTTGGAAATGAGTAGAGATTGTAAGACTGAAGGCAAAGAAATTGCACATAAGCTCTGTACTATAGTTGATAAAGTTATTTTCCATGGGGATATGGATTAACAATTCTAAAACTACACTATACATGTTTACTGAAACTATACAATTAAGTAAATTCATGGTGGATGGTAGGATCCAGGTAGCAGGTACAGACATGTAATAGGATGCTAGAATGATCCACATAGCAATGGATTGGAGTTGGAGGCATTCAGTATGAACTTATGTTAGTGTAACATAGAGATACATTAAATATAGAAGTAGTTATAGGTAGGTACATGTACATTAATGGATTAATATACACACATTTTCTGTAAGCTAAAATGGCTTAGAGGCAACAAACTCCATTAGCAACACGCACATCTAGTGCCCCAGATCTTCATTTCTACTACTATTATCCAATAATAGGAACAATCTACATTTGGGGAAATGGTTGATTCTAGGACTAAGAGAATATGCAACACGAGTCTGAAGCATCTTGTGTTGCAGAATGTAAGTAAGCGCTCAAAACCAACAACAAAAAAGTATATGCACACAATGATGGGGGTATGTCAAAGAGACACAGGAGCCAATTGAAAGTGCTCCCAATAGCCAAAATTGTAGTGTTTTAACAATAAAATAAGCAATGAGAGTATTCAATGATAATCTAAAGTATAAAATAAATATCCATGAGTCTATACTGATATGATTGAATTAAGAAATCAATAAACAGGGAAGAACAGACAAAATTTTCTGTGCAGAAAAATTCCAAATAATTTATGTAGATTCTTTCCCTCAAGGAGATGGAGCACAGTTCTCCATTCCTTAAGTGTGAGCTGCACTTAGTGGCTTTCTTCTCAAGTAAGCCCCAGGATATTTCTTACTTTCCATATCCCCTTATGAGACATGCTACCTCTATCTCTCTGGTCTTCTTTCCAAAAACTCATGACCTCAGTTTAATTATGAGAAAAATATCACGCAAATTCCCAGCTGAAAGACATTCTATAAAAATATCTGACTAGTAGTCCTCAAAACTGTTAAGGTAGCTGGGCATGGCAGCACAACTGTAGTCCCAGCTACTTGGCAGGCTGAGGTGGGACGATCATTGAGCCTAGGAGTTCAAGATTGCAGTGAGCCGTCATCATGCCATTGCACTCCAGCTTGGGTAACAGAGCAAGACTTTGTCTCAAAAAAAATTTTTTTTAAGTTTTTTAAAATTAAAAACCTGTTAAGGTCATCAAAAATAAGAAAGCCCAGAAAAGCATCACAGCCAAGAGAAGCCTAAGGAGACATGACTATATTTGACATGATGCCTGATATTGTTCTCATAATTAAACTGAGGTCATGAGTTTTTGGAAAGAAGACCAGAGAGATAGAGGTAGCATTAAGAAAAGCCCAGAAAAGCATCACAGCCAAGAGAAGCCTAAGGAGACATGATGACTAAATGTCCCGGTACAGAAAAAGAGCATGGGTAAAAACTAAGAAAATCAGAATAAAATATGGATTTTAGCTAATAATGACATGTCAATATTAATTCATTAGATGTAACAAATGTAGTATACTAACATCAAATATTTACAAGAGGGGAAAACGGGCATAGGGTATATAGAACTCTGCATTATCTTTGCAATTTTTGTAAATTTGAAGCTATCTATAATAAAATTTTATTGAGAAAATACATGTACTAGCTTAAGAGTACCAAAGGGATATTTCCAAGTAAGAAAAATGAAGGGGAAATCTACATAGTACAAAGAAGCAAAAGATGTGTTGCCAAGGTGAGTGGTGCAGAATGTAAGTAAGTGCTCAAAAAAGAAATATTAATAAAACACACACACACACACACACACACACACACACACACACACACACACACAAAATAGGGGTATGTGACAGGCCCAAGAATTGGACATGGGGATGCCCAATGACAAATGCCAGCTGAGGAGCCAGAATTGGGCTCCCCACGTGAACTGGGGAATATATTGTGAGTTCACAAATAAAAATCCAGATATCCTTACCCTCCAGATTGGAAATTAGCCTTCTGCCCCAGGTAATGGCTGTGAAACATGTTACTTGCTTGAGCTCAGAACACCAAGCCTATGTGTGGCTAGATACAGACCCTGAGTCGGAGCTGTGTGTGTAGTATAAACCTTAAGAAGATGCACTTACATAAAACATCACTGGGAGCCGATGAAATCCACAGGACCAGGCACAGGCAAGTGTGAAAACAATCCATTAGGAGGTCCTTATAACCCAAGGCACAAGATGCAAGATGAATTCATAGTCAAAAATTATAAAGCTTTTGAAGAAGTTCAACATCATAACAGTCTACAGACTCAACTAATGAGGGAATTTACATTTTAGGAGTTAGAAATAATGGAGCAATCTAAAAGAGATCTAAATATACCTGTTTGAAATGTCCTATGGAAGAAATAGCATGATAAAAATAAAAACAGAGTTTATGAAAGAAGAGTCAGTGGATTTTTTTTTCCAGTAGAAACGCTGAAAAAAATACAGTCACTGAGAAAAAATTCTAAAAAAAAAAAGTTGTAATCAATGGTTTTTAACCTTGGTTACGCATCATAGTTATTGATGTCCATCTCCTGACCCACACCGATTAAACCAGAAATTCTAGGGGTGGGACCAGGCATTGATATTTTGTTAATCTGCCAGGTGATTCTAAGCTACAGCCCCTATGTGAGGTACTCTGTTAACATATTAGACATAACTGAAGAGAGAAGTATTAACAACAGCAACAACAAAACTAGACATAGCCTGAGACAGAAAAGAGGAGAAAAAAAAGAGAATGACAAGATGATAAACAAACAAGTTAAGAAACATGAAGGATGTAATAAGAAAAGTCTGATTCATACACATAATATGCATTCCAGAAGGAGAGAATAGAGAGAATTGTGGAGGAGAATTCGTCAAACAGAAAATGGTTACATCTTTTCCAAAAATGATGCAATATATCAAAAGCTCCATTGGATGCTGAGTAGATAAATAAAAATAATCCAGACCTAGACACATGATAGGGAAATGTAAAGAGGAAATGCTGGAAGTAGGTGTGGGTGGAGGGCAATGAGGCATCTCTAATACTGATGTAATTGTTGCAAGAAAAAAATTAAAATGTAGTTGTAGTATCGGAGCCTATTCTAATGTGCACTCATGCGCAAAGTAATGCAAGGTTGCTTAGTGAATACTGACTACATGCCATGTGCTGTCCTAAGAACTGGCAGACAGAAAGATAAATAAGACATGGTGGAAGAACTCCAGGGAAGAGGAGAAAGGCATGTATACAACCATGGTGGATCGTATTAATAGCACCAATACTTCAAACCTCCCTGTGTCCAGTGATTTTTTTTGTGACTTTACAGTTCTTTCCAGAGTTTATTCTCCCATTGCCTTAAAAATTGGCTGACCTTGAACTTTCTTTAGACTAGAATTCACTGGACTTGATGGTAAGTTAATTCTGAGACTAGGTCTCAAGAGACCGCGAGTATTTCTGCTGTGCTTCTGCTTTACTCTGATGACATGCCCAGGCTAGCCTGCTGGAGGATGAGAGGCGTGGGAAGCAGAGATCAGTCACCCCGGTCACCCCAGCCAACAGCCAGCCATGAATGTAGGTGATCTCAGCCAAGATCAGTAGAGCCAACCATCCTACATGTCTGATGAACAAGTGGCTATTATTGCAGGCCATACAGATGCCATTGATACGCCAGCTCCCCATAATTCAATGTGACGGAGCACACAGAAACAATCAGCAGGAAAATAACTCCAAATTTTAATTTTTTTCCCCCTAAACCATATTACACTTGTTTCCTTGGTTTCACAAAGTTCCAGCTTGTTCCGTCTGGTAAATGTGTTGGTGGCAAAAGCTGTGAGACATGGTGGCAGATGAAATCTCTTGCCCTTAAATAGCTGTCAGCTCAAAACTATAAACAGTAAATACTGTGAAGCCTGTCTTAAACCGCAGCCCAAGGGAGCCGCAGAAATTGGATGCCTCATAGAAATGATCTTTAAGTAAAGGTTGAATACAATAGCCTTGGGGATATTTTCAAATGGTGGCTCCAGACAGAGTTGTCTGATGGGAAGCGTTCGCCAGGCTGGGCTTCCTGGAGTTTGCCTGCTCTGAGACACATAATGAAAAAGAGAGCTTCAGGGTTCATCAGGGGATGGCACAGAGGCTAGGAAAATCCAAAGTATTTTATAATGTCCAGGTAAATGCTCTACTTGTGGATTCATTAATTAGACTTTCAAAGATAAGAGGCCAAATAAAAAGCTGAACTTTTTCCTCAAAGCTTGCCTTCATCTCACTGAGCAACATGCAAAATGCCCCTCACAATAAATCGTTTCCCCTTCCCAGGTAGAGCCACCTGCATTTGGTGTGTGTGATTTGGGGTGTTGAAAGCTAGCCAAAGCAAGCAGGAATGAGAGGACTGGTTAGCAGCTCTGCTCCGCAGTGTGGGAAGTGGTTAGGCTGCAGAGGGGGCACCCTAATGCATGCCTTTTGAAATCAGAGCAGCTTAAGCCCTTGAGAGGGGATGTAGGGACCCTGGGGTCCCAAGGGGAAAGATCTTGCAGCCCTGATAAGAATGGGTGCCTGGCAAGGCTAAGCTGGAATGGGAATCTCCAGGCGTGGAGAGCGTCCACTCTTGCTGTGGTCAGAATCAGAACGGAGAATGCGGAGCATGAGACAGAGGCTTTCCGTAAACACGGCTCATTCTCAGAGCACTTCAGGGCTGGGTTCCCAGAGGGCGGACATTCCTAGAAATGGTGCAGATGCACAGCCCCTCCTTCCAGGGCACCGCCCCCGCAGCCCGGCAGAGCAACCGCAGACATTTATTTTCCTTCTCCGAATAACACCGCCGCGCTGGGTGGAAACGAACCCGAGAGCCCACACTTGGCCAGCGGCCGCGGGGAGTGGGCGCCAGCAGTAGGTCCCTGCTGGGGCTGTCGCTCAGCTTCTCCCTGCGGACCTCGGACACAGCCCCCACCAAGCTGCATGCGTCCCGGCCTCCTCCCTTTCCAAAATCCGGCTGCTCCTGCTGTCAGGCACCTGAGAGGGAGCTTCCCTTAGCCTTGGAATCGCTGCCAAGGGGTCGAGCAGACTTTTCAAATTCTCTCCCCCTCCCCGGAGCCCCCACCTTCACTTAGACATTTGTAGGTCACTATTTGTTTATTTATAATTTATTGATTGATCTTTAAAATTTAATAGGCATTAGAATCACATGACATCATGCTAACAGTTCCTGATGTGAAATCTGTCTGTTTCAAGATTTTATATAAAATATTCCATTATGTTATTACACTTGTAATCTGTAGACTCCCTGCGTTTGCATAGTAGCATCCTCAGCAGGGCGATGCAGACCCGGACTTCTTGTTGAAGAGAGGGAGGAAGCTTCCTCATAAAAGGCCAGACTCTCAGTGGGCTCCGTGTGAATCTGTCTCCACACTCACGGCTGTCTAATACTGCATGCCTCAGCGTTCTCATCTATGAAATGTGAATATTAGTAGTACCTATCTTATAGGATTTGTGCTATCAAAACGTAATCCATATTAAGTAGATAACTCAATGCTTGGCACATAGTGAGTACCCACTGTTAGTATTAGAATTGTTTCTGTAAATACTATTACTACTATTAAAATTTTTCTGAATCAGCTCTTTATTTGTGGATGACATGAAACCTTTTCAGAAGTAATTTAATGTATCTTATTACAAGGCAAATTCTTTTGGTTTTCATATTTTTCTAATAAATACAAGAGAAGCTGACAAAAACAAAATGATAAAGCAAAGAGAAAAGCGAAGGCAGGGAGATCAATTTTAATATCAAATAAAGCAAAGATATTGAGAGAGAGAGATTTTTGTGTTCATTGCAGACAACATTCCCATTCAAGATATAGCAGCAGAAAACAAACAGGCATACTAACAATTTCGTGCTTCTGACTTTGTACTCTTTGTCTAAAAAGTGACTCCTAAAATTGTATAAAATTCAGGGCCACAAATCTGAACTGCACCTGAAAACATGTAAAGCAAAAACTGTTAGGAGTGTAAGAAAATTAACAGCTTCCATATATTTGATTAGAAACAGTTGTAGAAGAATATTTAACAACACAGGAAGATGTTCGTGATATAGTACATACTAAAAGATTAATAACAGTTTCATGTACATATGTCCTGAGGTCAAGGACCAGTTTGCCAAACAGACCAGTTCCCCTTGGAGAGTCACCTTAAAGTCCTAATTAGCCTATTAAAGGCTCTGAGAAATCCAAACACCAAGTTTAACTCTTAAATATAGTGTTTTCTACCACTTTTATTTGAGAATGCAGAACTTTTTCACAATACTCATATTAAACTTCTTTTGAACAATTTTTAATATACACCTTTTTGGGATATGCTATCCTAGAAGCACGTCCATTAGAATCAAATTAAAAAAAAAGAAAAGCCAACTCTATCAGGTGTGAGTGTGTGTGTGTGTGTGTGTGTGTGTGTGTGTGTAATATAAATTGTATAACTATGTAAATATGATATAAAAGGCTACTGGAAAGGATACCAATTATCACTTTTACAGATGACATGATACAATTTTCTCCTTAAACTACCCAAGATTAAGATTGAAAAAATATTAGAACCATATTTTAGTGTATATACAAAATAAATATATTAGAAACTGATTTGACTTACTTTTTATCTGCTACCTATCTACACTGCTTGAGTTTTTGCTTTATCATAATATTATTTTTACAATTTAAAAAGTCTTCTTTAAATTCATGAGGCGTTAGGCTCTTAGAATGAAAGATACTGCCTCATTTCTTGATAATTAGAAACTGTTAAAAAGTCACTTAAGGAATCAGCAGTATTAGTGTCTGATAAAATAAGAACTTCTCAAAATTTGATGTATTGCTGTGTGCAGGGCTCACTCCAATTTCCTGGGAATGATCTGGCACTAGAGGTCCCATCTCCCTGGTCTCCCAGGGGCAGGGCTACACACAGCTCAGTTTCCCTCAGGACTCTGGATCTTCCACGTCTTCAGACTCTGAGCTGTTGGCATTTCTCAGCATCCCTCTAGACAGCTGGCATCTGAACTCAGACTGCCCGATGCTTAAGCTACAAGTGTTAATTCCTGCACACCAAGGTCACTGGCACACTCGTTCCATTTGAAGGAGTGAGCAGCAGGGGAAATGGGGTGCCTATTCTGACTAATACCCTGGGCACTTGGGCCCAAACTCTCATGGACAGGACCTGCATGCCTGCTGGTTTTCTGCCCACAGTTCTAGCCTATCTTGGGATCTTGCCTGGTGTCCACCCCAAGCTGTGCCTCAACAGGTGCATGGGACAGGTCATTCACATGGAGTCTCATGGAGTGGATGTGCAAATGAGTTAATTTTATCTCAGCAAAAGTGATTGGGTGCTTTATGACACCATTGCCTCAAAAATTAAACTTTACATCTGGTTGTAGGTACACTGAACTCAAGGCATTTGTTTTGTTTTGCTTTATTTCGTTTTGTTTTGTTAGGGTATGCATTTTGCACTAACTCAGTAATTCTCAAGTGAGAATTTAAAAGGGACTTTCAAAGTGATGGAAATTGCATTGCCTTTATTTATGGGGGTGGGGAGAGGAGGAACAGATTGGCTCCAGGGCACTGACTTAGACATTATTAGCTACTGATCTGGGTGCATCCGTTGTCCACTCCATATTCTCTCTTGTAATTTGTTTCATAGATGAACAAGGAGCAGAGCCTTGGAGTAGAGTCTTCCTTGATGGATCAGTGAGTGGAAAATAGTAAATCTTCTTTTTCCCAAAGCTAATGCTTTACGTTCTTACCAAGAGCATTATCCTATAATAAATACAGAATTAAATTGTTTAAAAACTCAAGGTAAGCAATTCTCCCATTTGCAGCTATTTATTAGGTATATTTAAGGGATGAATAAATTCATTTTCACCACAAGTAATTTGAAAACCAATCTACTTATTTGTGTGAATTCAGTGATTCCCTATGAACTTTCAGAATATATATATATATATATATCAAGATCAGCTACTTATCTGTGAAGGGTGACATATTGACCGAACAGCTCATTATTTTTAAGCTCTACAAATATATCTCACCTGCCTATTTACTCAGACTAAACCATGCATTTCTTAAGAATATTGTGTGGGTCTGGTAATAGCTTGTCCAATGAATGCGCAAAAGTTATTACAAGCAAGTTCAATAAGATCAAAGTAAACAGTTATAGGGCTAAGCATGACAACAGGTGCAGCTGAAAGCACATGACTGAAAGGAAAATGGTAATGAGGGGTGGAGTTAGGTGCCTCCACCCTGTGGATCAGACACATGTCTATCACACAGGCACCCAGAGGAGTTTGGCAGGAAGATATTCAGGGCTTGGGGATATGCCGTTTGCTGTCTCTAAGGGATGAGTCGATACAGATCTCAGGGGCGATTTGCTAGCTCTTCCCTCGCACATTTCCAGGGCACAATAATTGGCCCAATGGCTTCTAGAAAAACCCCCTGAGAAAAGTTACAATTGGCAAAGGGTTTTAGACTAATGGAAACCTGGATGGATTTTTCTTGTATGTTACCTTATATTTTATATTATAGAAAAAAACTAAGAGAATATACTATTTATTGAAAGCCACTATTTAGCTCTTTTTAAGGCAAATAATTATCAAGAGACCATATTTTTTTGTCATTCTAAATCCAATGAAACAGATGCTCACATGACCTCTGGAGGCTGCACCAGCTGAGGCTTGGCATGGCAAGGCAAGTGAATCCTCCCATTGTCATAACCTCTGCCTGTCCTTCAGTTCCTCTCCCAGGCCTGGGTCCTTACCTCCTGCACACATGCACACTCTTAAAACAGCTTCTTAGCACAGCTCCAACCACTCAACAGGAAGCTTGTCCAAACTAAGAAACCAAGATCTTGTCCTGCATTCCTTCCTAACATAAAAGTTCCAAACCTTTTTTAGGAAGGCAAAACTTGTATCATAGCCAGATGTACACACTAGTCTAGCTAGATGGATACCAGGCACCTACTACCCAATGCCTTGCCAGGGATTTCTATAGTGTTTTTCCCTTTTATTTTTTTCATTTGGATCTGTGTCCAATGAAAATGTTTTCATAATCCCTTAATGTTACTACCAAATAAGTATGTGAGAAATTAAGGATTTCTGAAATTATGTACCTCACATATATAGCATATATATGTGTGGGTATTATATATATAAGCTTATATCTATATGTATATAAAGTTCAAAATGCTATCTTAAAGCTTGAAAATGAGCCACTGGAAATGTATTTTCACTTGAGAAATGACTCATGCAAGAGCCCACTTATACAGAGAACCCACCCAGCAGAGTCACACAAGAACAGAGATGATGGAGTAAATGAAGACAAGATTGACGTAGAATTCCCACACGAAGTATCCTCAGGACAACCGTCCTGTCCTCCATTCAGCCTCAGGCTGTCATTTGTAGGGACTTCAATAAACGATCATCTTGTGGAAAATGTCAAAGTGTAGAAGAGAAGGGACATAGCTCTTGTATTATTGATTTTAAATGGTGGATTTGACTCTGGGGTTTTGAAAAGCAGCAAGAACAAGATAGTGTGTGTCACCATCATGATGGGTAGGGTTCATGGCAGCAAACCAAGTGAGCAATCATTCCAGTGGGATCCAAGGGCTCAAACCTAGGTCAGGCAAGCCAGAAATGCAAGGAACCAGGAGGTACAGGAAGGCACATCCTCAGGAACACCAAGAGTGGCTGCTCTGCCAAGTCCCAAGGCAAAGAGTGGATGCAGAGAGGCAACAAGACCAGGAACCCCAGGAAGCAGGGGCTGCAGAATCGAAGCAGGTTGTGAGGTGAAAGGAGAAAGTTGAGCACAACAGCATGAAGACACAGGAGTGTGAAGCCAAGTACTTATTTTGATTGACACCCAAACCATGGTACTTGCATGGGTGGTTTGGGCTGATTTAAATCACATATCATGGCAAGCTGGTGATCTGTCAGACTCTGCTTTGAGTTTTCATCAATTCTTGCCCAATCCTTGCCAATAGAAGGATGGAGTGCCTTTAGGATGCCTGGGACTACTTTGGAATGGTAAAGAGAAACCCACAGGAGACATGCACAAAGGAAGGTGAGAGGACTAGGGAGAACACCTGGACCAAGAGGACAGGAACATGGCTAAGGTGCAGCTGCAATGGGCTGTGAGGATGAGCAATGCAATCACCCCTTCCCTGCTGCTGTTGACTGCCCCTTCCTTTCAAAAACTTGTAAGTGAAAGGATACGAAATTTCAGTCAGAAGAAATAAGTTCATATCTATTGTACATGACTGTAGTTAATAAGAATATATTATATTCTGGCCAGGCACGGTGGCTTATGACTGTAATCCCAGCACTTTGGGAGACCAAGGCAGGCGGATCACGAGGTCAGGAGATCAAGGCCATCCTGGCCAAAATGATGAAACCCCATCTCTACTAAAAATACAAAAATTAACTGGGTGTGGTGGCATGAGCTTGCAGTCTCATCTACTCAGGAGGCTGAGGCAGGAGAATCGCTTGAACCTGGGAAACGGAGATTGCAGTGAGCCGAGATTGAGCCACTGCACTCCAGCTTGGGCGACAAAGTGAGACCGCGTCTCAAAAAAAAAAAAGAAAAAAATATATATATAATATTCTTCAAAATCACAGTGGATTTGATAGTGGATTTGAAGTGTTCTTCCCACCAAAAAATGGTATTTGAGGTAATGCATGCTACTTAGCTCAGTTTAAGTATTCTACAACATACACGTTTCAAAAGATCATGTTGTATATGACAAACATATAGAATTTTTTTCTCAATTTAAAAATAACTGATTAAAGCTTGTTCTTTTGGTTAGCATGTAATGCTACTCTCCCAGTCATGTAGCCTTTCATGCATTCTCTCTCTTTACTTTATTGATTCCAATTTCCCTACCCAAGCCTTGTATTTTAATTTTTTCCAGAGTACACTGCTAGGCCTGCTGCTTTTCTCATTCTATGTACTCTTGCTACTTACTCAGTCAAAATTTTGAATGACTATATCACTCATGGGATAAAATCTAAGCTCTTTTGCAACAAACCCAAGACCCTTCAAGATCCAGGTCCTACGATTTGCCTTACCTCATCATCTCTACACTTCCAGCTCCACCCCAACATGTAACTTAGTCAAATTACACAACTCAGTAGATTTTACATTTCCCATTCTTTCACATTTCCATCTCTTACTACTCCATTTGCTTAAGAAACTTTCACCCACTTCATCACCTAGCTCGGCCAGGACCAGCTACTGCACATAATTTTGGGGGTCCAGTATAAAATGAAAATACAGTCCCCTTGTTTAAAAAGTATGAAGAATTTCAAGATAGCAAGAGTAGAGCACTGAGCTAAGCATGAGATGCTGTAGAAGCTGGCTTTAGGTGACATGTGCATGCCATGAACCCAGCCCTGTCCTCAGCTCAATTTTTCCTTCCTTGTAAATTTTTCCCATTTTCTCCCTAAGAGATGTACGTTTCTTCTCTATTCCCCCTTCACCCCACAAAGTTTCCATGTTAACATTTACCCTGTGCTATTTTTATTTTTGTTGTGCATGTTTCCTCATAAGGCTATAAGTTCCTGAGGACAAAACTAGGCCTTGGTTAATGTTGTATAGTCAGCATCTAGCACAACACATGGTACACAGGAGGCCCTCAAATATGTCTGTTGAGTGAATGAATGAACAACTGCAGCTTCTGTAACTTGTTTTCTGTGTGATGCTGCTGTTTTCTCATGGACATTTTATGTCATTGGAGAATCAGCTATTTTGTTTGAGAAACAGTTCTAGAAGACTACAAGTACCACAATGCCTCAGTAATAGAATTTCTAGAGGTTTGTACATAAAAGGCCCTTATCCAACACGGAATATTTTTAAAAATCATTTAAACATGGATGTTGATAGGCCAGATGCAGTGGCTCATACCTGTAATCCCAGCACTTTGGGAGGCCAAGGCAGGAGTATTGCTTGAGGTCAGGAGTTGGAGGCCAGCCTGGGCAACACAGTGAGACTCCATCTGTGCAAAAAGAATTAGCTGGATATGGTGGCACGCACCTGTAACCCCAGAGACTCTGGAGGCTGAGGTGGGAGGATCCATTGAACCCAGACCCCAACTCAAAAAATAAAAAGAAAGAAAAAGATGTTGAAAAGAAAATTAAATAACAAGTCATAAATCCTCTTATCACTTATATTTCTCTTTATGTATTTTGATACATGCATTAAAGTTGTATTTTTAGAGAGTTTGAAAATGGATTGTTCTTCAAACAAAGTCATGGGACTACAGTAAAATTAAGAAAGCAGCTAAACGTATTCAGCTTCTCTTTTACAAACCTATATTGAGATTGGTGCTTTTGAATTCCTCCCACCCCCTCCCCCACCCAGCTCCCAAGTACAATTTCTTCAAAAGGTAGTTCATCCAGAGGAAAAATATGTAGAAGGTAAATGCAGATTTCTCTCCTAGAAGCAGAGGTGGGATTGGGTCATGCAGAGCTTTTTCTTACCAGTCCGAGCTCCTCTCCCATCTCCTGCCACACAACTGGTCTTGAAGATGGAGGGGGCTATTTTATATGGATGCATATGTAAACACTTTTGATACATATTTTCACTTTTAATAACAATCTCTTTAGGACCCAACACAGAAATCGAATTCATCTAACTCTTACTTGAGGTGAGCCAAGATTGCTCATCTAGTCAAAGTTTCTGAGTAGAAAATCAGGCTATGACTGTGTGACATTTCCAAACCACAAAATTTGGTAGGGGTACAAACAGCCTTAGTCATTGGAGCATCTGACATCTTGGTCTCAGGATAGCTATTCAGCCATCCAGTGTTCATGATAGTTGGTTAGATGCCATAAAGGACAAGCTGTTTAATCTCAACAGCCTCTAAGTTTTCTCTTAAAAAAAAAAAGAGCCTTTAAATGGCCTTATAAATGCTAAAGTACACTCTTTCCCAGTGGTTACACATTCAGAAATCCATCTGAAAACAATCATTCAAAACATGGACTAAATGTCCATTACATAATTATTTATATTAGCCTAATATTGTAAACAAATGTTTAACACTGTGGAATTATTGAGTATATTGTAAGTGATGAAATTCCATTTGGTGGACTGTTGTGCCATGATTAAGACTAATGTTTACAAAGAGTTTTTTAAAGCTTGGAAAGATGTTTATACTACGGTGCTAAGTAAGTTATGAGGCTTCAGCAACATATATCCCCTACGATCTCAACTATTTCTCAACATGTACAAAGAAATTAGGATAAAACAATACATTTTAACCATGATTATTTTCCTCTAAGTATAGATGATTTTTTTCTTTTTACTCTTCTGCTGTCTCTTATTTTTTTCAATAAGCGTATATAACTTTTATAATAAGAACACTAAAAACATTTCTTTGGAAGGTGACAGTCACAAGGCAGCACCTGACTTCACTGTGGTCCTTTTGCACATGAGTTAACCTGTCATTGAAAACAGAGGGACTCAGAGCTATCTTAACAAGATATGTGGGCCAGCTAGGACCAGAGCTGAGAAAACTCATAGGGAAACTTGAAACGATGAAGCCAAATTTGCAGAAGAATGGCAAAATGGGGACTACAATTTGTGAAAAGCCAAAAAACTCATAATGAATTTCCAGTTACTATTTCGTTATGCTACTTTCTAGAATCCTAGGAAGCACCACTTCTTCATTTAACACAAAGAGGCAAGAAGAGTTCAGAGCCTAAATCTGTGATAAAATTCAATATTCGAATGTGGAAAAACACATGACTGAGAAATAAAATAGAGCTAACTTTTGTGGTTGCAAGTTTCAGAGACTCAAGTTAGTTCAATTAAAAGGGCTGCTTATTAAGAACACACATAGAGTAAGAAGGAAGATAAAATCTCATGAGGGTGCTAAGAAGAGGAGTGGGTGAAGCCATGAGTTATAATTGGAGCCAGCTCCTTGTGGACACTAGATTTGAAGGGTGACCTTGAGCCTAAGGATATTCTAAAGACTTCAGTAGCAACAATCCACACCTCTGCTCTACTGCTCTTGTATTAATACAACTGAAACATTCCAGGCATCTGTTTTTTCCTGTTCTGGTATCAACTGATTTCTGTGTTTTCTACTCTGTTTTTTGTTTGTTTGCTTGCTTGTTTGCTTTGCTTATTTTTTACTGCATCTCTTTTTTCTGTTCCTGGCCCACTTCAGTGCCTATGGCTCACTATGGCCACCCTAAATTCCCTCTATACATGCCATCCTGTGAGTCTCAACTCTCATTGTCAACTGCCTCATTCTCTCTGTATTCCTAGTTCAAGAAGGAGTTGAAGTGTCTCAGTGGTTCTGTTTACAGTAAACCACTTTGTAAGCCCCTGATAAGCCTATGTAACAGCTGGTCTGGGTTCGCATGTCCTCTTCTCGGCCATGAAACAAAACTTCTCCCTGTGACTGCCCACTGGGAAGGGTTCCTGGGCTAGGTGATTTCACTTAGAATAGAGAGGAGAAAAAAGTGAATAACGTAGGATGGCGCAGGACACTTTATGACTAAAATCTTGTGAACAGCTATTGATTGAGGAATAATTTTTTCCTGATGAACATTTAGGGTGAAGAATCCTGGTTCTAGCATGTTGACATGTCTGCCTCCAGTTAAGTCAACATCATCAAGCCCACAGAACAGGATGGCTATATAAACTAGTTTGTGCCCTTTTGCTAACAGATGTTTAATGAATGTTTTCAGGTACAGAAAAAAAGTATGCGGTTAACATATTTAGCTAGAAAACAGACTATATTCTTGATAATTTATTATGTTTCACATAGATACATCATTTTCTATGTTGGTCATATTAACAAAGGGGGTGGTAACATCCAGACTGCTGTATATTTCAAGCACAATTTTGCCTAAACACGTTACATTAATTACTTGAGATATTGATGCCTATTTGTTCAGAATCCAACATAAAATAATGAGCATTCTCTTTCTCATTTTCACAACTTACAGGCAAAACTGTAAGCAAAAAAAAGAGTGAAAATCTTGCCTTTGGTATCTATATGTGTTTGTCAAACTAAGAGTCTAGGATGAAAATAGTTGAAACAATGACCTTAATGGTGGGGCAATGCCAAAATGTGCCCTAATGGCTCTTCTATGGCAGAACTGGCTGTTCTCAATGTCCCTCAGCCCCTATTAATCTATTATTTCCATAGATTGATAAGAAAATGTTCATATTGTCATTTGCTGCTTGAGGATTTCAGGGACAGACTTTAATATTTATGGAGTGTGTACTATACTAGGTACAGTACCAGGTGCCTCACACACACTTTTCATTTCAGCCTCGCAAAAATGTTGGACATTAGGTATGATGTTTGCAAAGTCTCAGAAAACAGGCTTGGAGGGTTAGCCTTTAAAAAGCCTCATCAGATGAGCTAGGATTACTCCTCTTTGTCTCCACCTTGATCATTGTAGATTAATCCTAAATATTACAATCATCATGTCCTCCCAATAGAGGTGGCATCAAGCTGTTCAGAATGTGGCCTGTGCTAGCAGGGATTGGACCTTCCTGGTGACAGGGAGCAAGGCTGGAGCCTGATGAGAAGCGAAGAGGGAGGTATTAAACACCACAGGTGGTAAGATGGCAACACATTCACGCAGCAACAGGCTTCCTGTCTCACTGCCTTCGGTTGTGCAGGTCTTCAGCTGCTTCTGTCCTTGGTTGCCAATTTTACCCAGTCATCAATGCCTGTTTGTTCAGAATTCCCAATAGAATAACAAGCATCCTACCATATTTGAGAAATGCATGAGCAGTGGGGAATGTAATTTTCTTACATTATGGTTGCTCTCTGTCAAAGGAGAAAAAAAATTTTTGCTTAGAAAAGTAAAGCCTTCTCTGCAGTTACATGGTAGAGAAGACTTAAAAATAACCTTGGTTTTAGGCAGGAAAGAGCTAACTTCAAGGTTGAATGCTACTAGACTTTCCCCTTTTTTCAGAAATCCTTTATTCAACAGTTGCTTCCTATACTTGCAGTAAATGCCCCATGCCGGGAGAAGACAAGGTTAACATTTTCTTACTTCCTGCCTTGTTGGAATTTTGATGTTCATTGTTTCATAGCTCCTTACATGGAAATTTCCTGCATTTGCACACCCACATGAGTGTTCATGAATCTCTTTCAGAAGTTTAGCCAGGTGGTTGTATTGTGTTTCACTGACCTTTTACTCAGATGTCTTGCATTAGAAGTGAAGCCTGTTCATACTTTATGGTAAAGTTCAAAATCACAGGAACTATGAATGACAATATTATAAATCAGCAGGGCCACCAGGGAAGGAATTACTGATGAGTGGTACATAGAAATGAAAAATCCAGTTGTAGCCTTAGTAATGTGTAAGTTGAAGGAAACAGGCAAATTGCTGAATCCAACAAGATACTTTAGGTCAGTGTCTAATCACTTGGGCCAAGCAGAAGGAACACAGGGAAATGACCCCTAAGTGGATGAAAAGAAGCTAGTGAGACTCAAACTGAGCAAGAAAACACAAGGGGAAACAAACTTGTATAAAAAGTACCTGGAACATCAAGGTTCAAACTGGGCAGAAACATCAGGGAGGAAGTTTCTCTAAAGGTCTCCATTGACATGTAACATATGGGTTAGCAAGTGGTTCTCAGACTTGAGTGTGCATCAGAATCCTCAGAGAGCTCAGTACACACAAAGTGCTAGGCCTCTCTCCAGAGATTTTGATTCAACAGGTCTGGGGTGAGACCTAAGAATTTGCATTTTTAACAAGTTCTCAGATGATGCTAATCCTCCTGACCTGAAAGCCATACTTTGAGAACCAAGAGATTAGCAGGTGCACCAACCAGCATGCTGGAGAATGTCTATTGTCCCTGGGCAGAAGCCGTGTGTCTTCTTACTGGAGCCCTCCTCCTGCTGTGCACACACTGTGCCTACAAGGGGCCAAGGCGGCCCATAGCAAGATATCACACCTGCTGTGCATTTGGTGGAGTTGATTTCTGTAGCTGACCTAAGGGTCAGCTAAGTAAACCATATCCTGTTATTGTTTTTGCTTTATTTCTCCTCTGCTTCCAATTTTAAAAAATGTAAGAAAGCATATAATAAATGATTCACATATTAAAACTTAAAATGGAAATAGGAGAAAACATGTAGAAAGAAAAGAAAGCAAACATGTCAACAAAAAACTAAGAGGCCAAATAATATGCATTAGTTTTAGCCCTGATTTTTTTAAGCAACCAAGGTAGGAATCGGGAAAATAATGGGTTACATAGTTCTCAATTTATAGAAAACACATGCAGAATTCTTCAGGAGAGACTAATGTAAGTGAGATTTTGAATAATAAGGAGGAGCGTAAAGCACAATTGAGGAGGGTGGTAATCTGTGCACAGTTTTTTAAAGATTGAAGGTGGAGTTAAGAAGGGCATATGTAGGGGACAGTATGGAGGCTGTTTGAGGATGAATGAGAGCTAATTTTGAGGATGAGTGAGCAAGAGTCTCAGCCCCCAACAGACAGACACTCTGGTGGACAATGTTAGCTCTAGAAGACCTCGGGCCTTCAGACATTTTGCAAAATCAGACCTGAGCTAAGCAGAAACAAAGACTCTTGAGCTGTCGCTTGGTCACTAAGAAAACCAAACCAACTTACCCCGAGCCCAGGCACCAGTCAGTTCTACTCATAAAAGCAACAACTTATCGATAGACTAACAGGGGAGCAGCCATGTCTGGAAAAAGGCCAGAAGGGATTCTCCAGGAACTTGAACAAGGTTACCCGCTATAAAACAAGCATCAAAACATGTAGAAAATGCCCAGGAAACACACACAAAACAAACTCAACCCCTTTCCTCTGCCCACAGGGTTTTGTGAGGTGTCTCGTGGCTCCAGTTCAAATTTCTGTCGTATCGTCAGACTTTCCAGACTCCTAGGACATTTGGCTAAGGCAGGTGTTACATCTTCTGTCGAGGGACTCTCTCCTGCCAGAAAGGGTGGAGTGGCTGAAAGGGAATAATCCAGTCGGGTCTTTTCCATTCCCACTTCTGTGGTCTCCTTTTGACTCTCATCACATCATCACATGAGTCAAAACAATCTTGACACACATAGCTATGCTAATGTCTGAACATGCCTTTTGTCCCTAGTGGCATCTTTCTCAGGAAAAGAAAAAAAGACAGAAAAACAGAGTACCCTAAATAACCCCATTTGCTTGGGAATGATCAGGAAGGATCATGAAGGGTCATTTGCACAGTCCTGTGGTACTTTGTTTATGCTCAACTATTAGGATAAGCATCTAAAGTAAAGGTATGTGAACCTAACTTTTTCTAGCCTGGGCTTATTGTTTACTTTTGCCTTACTGTCAAATCCATCATAAACTTCTCGTATTATCTTTCCCATAAATACACCAGACTCAGTGGAAAGGAGAACATTCCTCTGGGCTGCTTAACAAGCAAATTATTTTTCAACTGCTTCATCCCCTTCCTCCCCCACCCTTTGAATAAACATTTGGGAGACACAATCCTGTGGCCTGGCAATTTGCAAAGATACTCTTTGTCCTCGCAAAGGCAAAACAAGACGGACGAGGTTAATGGAGGATATGAGTTATCTTGGGTAATCAGTTGAAACAGCCACATCTCTAATTCAAGGCTTCCTTTGATTTATCAATGTCATATTTCACATTAAGGCCCCCAACGTCCATTTTCTTCATTTCCTTTCTAATTATTGCTTCCCAACTCAATAATTTGCTGTTAAATAGTTTCTGAAGTCTTGCATCTAGTTTGTTCAGCATCTTGGAATGTGATGAGAAAAATGGTCTCTCTGTTGGAAAAACCATACGGACTTTTTGTTCTTTTCATTTACACTTTGTATCCTTTCCCACTTGTGAGTAAGTGGATCCAGACTAGTGGCTAATGATGCAGGAGAATAAGAGTAAATAGCTTTCACCAGATCCTTGGGGGAAGGGTCGGCAGCATTTCCACCCAGTGGAGGATGGGATTCTATGAATAAGTGCCCAACCTCCTACTATCAGGTGGGATAATCCAGAGGTGAATTCTACATGGATCCTTAGAGGCCTCAAAGAAATTGAACCCACTGGGCACAGCAGTGAGCAGCTTGTGGATGCACCTTCTCTCCCCCATCTCACTCTTCCCCACTCATTTACTTCTGCACTCTGGGATTGTCTTTCCAATCTCAGCGCTGCATTCCTTTATAACATTTTAAGGTGGAAACCAAAAGGAAATATCCATGTCCCCTTTCAGTTTGATTAGCAGAGGAACTAGAAAAAGGTACTCTGAATTCTTGAACTCAGACAAAAATGTCACCTCCTCCCTTTCCCAACTGTAGCTGATTCTGAGAATAGACACCCAGGGATATCTCTTACTAACAGCAAATATGGGGGCAAAACTGAAAGCATGTGTCCCACAGGGTAAGCAATATGGCTTTCTGAAAGTATTCATGAAATTCCTTCCTGTTGTTAATTCCAGAGTCGGACATTGTTATTCTCAAATCAGGTCGTGCTTCCCTCGGTTGAGTACGGCTTGCCGCCTCCCCTGGGGCCTGACACTTGGAGTTCTGCGTTCACTCTGCAGACTATGAGGAGCTGGAAAGAGATCAACCATTCCCCTGGGCATCTCAGAGACTCTGGAAGGAAAGGGAGGAAGCTGGTCTCATCATTGTTTGGAATAGGTCTTTTCTCTGGGAAGGAAATCTCCTTTAGGGTTTAACAGAGAATCAGGAGGATGACTCCATGTATTGGTTTGCTAGGGCTACCATAACAAAATTCAACAGATTGGGTGGTTCAAACAACATAGGTTTACTTTATCATAGTTCTAGAGGCTGGAAGTCTGAGATGAAGGTATCAGCAGGTTTGGGTTTTCCTGAGGCCTGCCTTCCTAGCTTACAGACGGCCACCCTCTCACTGTGTCCTTTCACGGTCTTGCTCTGAATGCAACAGGTGTCTAGTGTCTCTCCACCATGTGCCCAAACTTCCTCATCTTTTAAAGACATCAGTTAAATTGGATTAGGGCCCACCACTATGACCTCATATTACCTTAATTACTCTTTGAAGGCCCCATCTCTCATGTGCCAGACCCCTATTAACCTCAGTAGGGAAGGCACCAGGTTCAAGAGGTCAAAGAAGAGACTCAGAGCCAGCCAATGAGACATGGGCTTTTGTTAGGGGCTGACATACAGAAGAGAGAGTCCAGTGGTGGTGGGTTGGACAGGAGAACCACCTTACATACAGAAATGGTCCAGCGGCTGTGGGCTGGGCAGGAAAATCACAACTGCTTGCAAATTGCAGGCAGTTTCTATAGCATTCTCACTTAACACCCTCCCACTAACAGCCTTCCCCTGGCAACCCTCATTTAACCCCAAACTCAGGGCCTCAATCCCCTGTATGGCCCATGTTCCATAGGATCAGCCTAGGCTCAGATGTTCCTCATAGACAAGTAATGAATCTCTGGGTTGTCCACTTCCAGATTCCCTAGCTTGAAACAACATTCAGGTGCATATGCCATGCAGGGTCATTCTAAGGGTGTGCTTAAGAATAATCTCCAAATACAGTCACAATCTGAGGAATTAGGGTTTAGGATTCCAGTATATGAATTTTGAGGAGACACAACCCAGCCCATATCAGGTAGAGAGAGAGAACTGTTGAACTCGACACGGCATTGTCTGGCTCTCTCACTCACTCCCAACCTTAGAGTCTGCCCCAAACTCAACCTTTTCCAGAAAGGTATCTTAGGATCATGAGCATCCCTGGATAAGTCTTTCCACCACAGCATGGTGTCAGACACCCACTTTGTCTTCTGTCCTGATCTAGCACCCTTTGGCTGGTCTGGCCTCATGGGCTGGCACATGGGCATGTTTCCATTGTCCCCACTGCTGCCTCCTGTGGGGCACCCCTGATCTTTCTGTATCCAACATGTATCAGGCCAAAGCCACTCTGCTGGAGTAGGCAGAGCCCTGTCCTTGCCCTGTGGTCCCCCATCCTGGCATACTGGTCCCAACACCTCACAGAGATGGTGAGTGACATCCACCCTGCCATTACTGCTTCAGGCAGTGCTCTAAGACCCACTCACAGTCCTCGGAGTAGCCTCAGAGACAGGCGCCATGCTATCTTCAAAAACCCTCCCTTCAAGGGCACACATGCTCTTTTGTCAACAAAATCCCTCTCTTCTCCCTCCTTCCCATCACCTACAAACCCCCCATGGTTTGTAATCAGCCTGTTTTGAAATTTCTCCTCACATGAAAGGGCCCTGAGTTGCAAGATCTGGATCAAGTAGTATTTCAAGAGTGACTCCTTTAGCAAACTTCCAAGTATAAACCTATTGAAAACTTTAAAAGATAATTAAATACTTCCTTAGATTTGTGTAGCATTTCAGAGTTTATTAAGATATTTGATATATTCATCACATTGATCGTTCAAGAGACCTAGAAAGAGGGCATTTCTTCATCTTCACTAGTAAATTGAGAGGCAGAAGTTGGCTTGATGTGGCCATTCTCCACAAACCATGAACTAGAGCTTGTATCTTCACATGCTCATTTCAATGTTCTTTCAAAATTCCTGTCATTCTCCCCAAGACCCCTTAGGACATTGTGCAAAACCCCTAGGTTAATATTTATCCAAGATGAATGGGAAATACCCACGTGAGAGTGGACACCATGTGACAAGTAACTAAACAAGCACTTTTCACCTTCTTAAAATGTCAGCTGTTAGCTTCTAACTGAGGTCCAAGGGGAGTTGGTGGGGCAGCGGGTAGCTGGAAAAACCCTAGAGGAATCATAGACAGTTTTGACATGGCTTTTACTCTCTCTCTCTGGGTATGAGAGAGCCGTGGACACAAGCAAGATGTGGGCACAAACCCAGGGTGTGAGCCTGGGTGCAAGGTGACCTGGGTGCAAGCCAAATTACAGCATCAGCAGGGTAATTATACATTTTACAGGCAATAGTCATGCCAAGCCAAAGATGAGCTCAAGTGAGTGGTTAAAGTGTCTCACAAGGCATGCTTACATAACATGAGGAGTTGTACACCTGCACTCCAAACCCACTGAGTCACACTGCACCAGAAAGCCGCCTTGGCCTACTCCTGACTAAAGCACAGCCATCTCCCTTACACTAGCCATGCTGAACCAATTTACTATTATGACAATCCAGGTGGCTTTTTTACATCCCCAAAAGGTATTGCATGTTTTTCCTAGGGCTGCTATAACTACATACCACAAACTGAGTGGCTTAAAATAACATAGAATTTATTTTGTTACAGTTTTGGAGGATGGAATCTGAAATCTAGGTATCTGCAGGGCCATGCTTTCTCTGGAAGTTCTAGGGGAAAATTCTTCATTGCCTCTTTTAGCATCTGGTCCTTGTAGGCAATCCTCGGTGGCCCTTGGTTTGTAGACACACCACTCCAATCTCTTCCTCCATCTTCACGTGGCTGCCTACCCTCTGTGTCTTGTCTCCCATTCTTATAAGGTCACTAATCATTGGATTAAGGCCCATCCGAATCTACTATGACCTCATCTTAACTTGATTACTTATGCAATGACCCTATTTTCAAATAAGATTACATTCACAGGGATTAGCATTTGAGCATGTCTTTTTGGGAGACACAATTCAATCCACACTTGTATAGAATGCTATCATATCATTATCGATATCCTATAGATGAGAACATTGTGAGGCTTAAAGCAGGTCAATCTCTCTAAGCAGGTTTCTCCAAGTTCAGTCCAACAAGCATCTACATCAGAGCCACCTGTGGGATTGCTATATTGCAAACGCCTGGGCCTCACCACAGAGTTGCAATATCAGAATCCAGAATCTTTGCATTAAGTGAAGGCCACAGGTGGCTCTTAGGCACACCTGATTTGGGGAAACCCCTAGATTAGTAAGAGCCACCAGGGACTTTGTGAATAAGTGGTAGAAACTGAATGCAAGCCCAAGCATTCAGACCACAGAACTTTATTTCCTTAATTGAGCACTTCATCTTTTATTCCCTAATTCAAGAATCTGCTTGATTCTTTGCCCCCAGACTCTTGTGAATGTCAGTCTTGCTTGCTCGGCATGTGTGTCCTTTCCAGGCCTGTGAACCTTGTGGTACAAGTTGGCGCTACACAGACACACATGGGAGCCCCAGCCTTTCACCAACCCTTTGGTGTGCCTCACATTAGTCTTATTCTTTCCGTATCACCTAACGTTACTCTGACGTCACACTCATGTGGAAGAAAGCTAGTCCATGCTTTGATGCTTACAGCATATTCATGTCTTCAGATTTTTATACCACATACATTTTTTTCCTAAGGATTATGCCAATTTTCTCTTAAGAAATGTTTTCAAACCATTGGGCAGTTTCATTTCAGACTCTCTTTCCAAGATATGATACTTATTTTGTCATGTTCATCCTCTTTTCAAGGAAAAAAAGGACTACTAATTATTCTCCTCTGGAGGGATACTATTATTGTACCCATTTTATGCATGAGCCAAGTAGATCTTAAAACCAAGGTCAGAACCAGGATTTGAACCCAGATAATATGCCTCCACATTATATTAATCTGCCTAGGTAAGTCAGCCTCAGCTCTTTGTCTTGCATTCCAGGAGCTCCAGGGTAAGGCTCCTCCTTCCCACCTGACACTGTCTGCCATCACCATCTTCTCTTCTTTATTAAGCTACCCCAGCTACATCCTTCCACTCTCAAACACTGCCCATTTCCATGGCCTGATCTTCCAAATACATCCAATTTTGGCTATTAGCATGCAGTGTTTCATACTGTCATTATTTACAAACAAGGACAAGGTTATGTTCTCATCACTCATCCGACTAGGAAGACAGTAGGCACAGAATAACCACATCCCGAGGAACGAAGCCAGTCCATCCTGGGAGTGACACCTCTGTACACAGTGGAAACTCTGTTCTGAGAATCAAAAGCTTGCCTTCAATCCTTGACTCTGTTACGCCTTAGAATTATGTCTGGGCGTGTCAGTTCATCTCCCTGGCCTGTACAAAAAGAGTTGGGCTACACATCTTCTAAAATTTCCATCAGGTCTAACACTCTCTAAATCTAAGTCCTACTTCCTCCATAAAGACACCCCTATAACTTCAGCTGATACTGATTACTTCGATTCTTAATCAAGTCTACATTTCATTCCAAAAATTCAAGACCCAATTTGACAGAAATATTTCGTACTACTTCTGGATATGAAAAGCAAGAATGCTGCTATGCCTGGGAGATTTTGGTAGAAACAAAGGGGCAGAATATTTAAAAACGGTACTGTCCCTAAAAATACAGAATGTGTGTTTAGTCCTCACAACATATACATTTTTATTCCTCATTGAATACCTTTTTTTTTGTACCTTTACGTATACTTTTCTTTCTTCTTAGCTCCTCTACCAGATAAATTCCTTGAGACTAGAACAACTATCTGGTGTTCTTTTCGTTTTTTCCACAGCTCTTAGCCCAATGCAGCCTCCTAGTGAAAGTCCAATATATACATATATTCTTGAAAACAATAAAGCTAGAAATACAATATAAAGTATAAGGATTAAGCATTAAATATGTGATACAGATGGTTAGTAAGCTAGAACTCCAAGAAAGGGATAACTTCATTCTGGTAGAGTTTGGAAAGGAGTCAACAAAAAGGTAGGGCAAATGTGTCACCTTAGGTGTTCCATATTCATTCATTCACAGCCACTAAAAGCTTGCTGTGACTTTTAATACCTCATCAGATCTAAACCATAATTTTATATTCACTTCATTTTTTCCTTTCTTGATGGCCATAATCAACTTGTATCCAAACCTAGATGAATTAGGGGGTACAAGAAAATTACCTGTTTCTAACCATGGATTCACACAGACATAGAAGGCTCCTGTGTGAAGAGATAGTAAAGACCATCTGGTTCTAGAATTTGAGGATTAAAAGGACTCTTAGAAATGACCGAATTTACCTTCTTCATTTTGTCTATGAGGGGAGTGTGTGCCAGGGTGAAAAGGCAAATTCGTCTAAGGTCCCAAAGTAGGTCAGAAGTTGAGGTAGAGAAGGAAATAAGCCTCCTGACTTTTAGGCTGGTGTCTTTTTCACTAGGTATATTGAGATTTCCTTTTAAACAGTACCATAAGCATATTTATTTAGCTGAAATTATTTCTCACTATTACCCTCCCGCACTCCCTGATTGAGCTTCCAATTATGGTTTAAGACCAAGGTAGAGGCCCCTAAAGAAAGATTAGTCTTTTATTCCAGAGTAGGGTGATCCCGACATCCTGGTTTTCCCAAGACTTTCCAGGTCTTTGCACTGAAATTCTCACAGCCGGGGAACTTCTTCAGTCTCAGACAAACCAGGACATTGGGTGCCGTATTCCAGAGAAAGCATGTATTCCACTCTGTGCAGTTTCCCATGCTGGTTTGCCAAAGAGAAACTGTCGTCCATGAGCGGCAGCAGGAAGGTGTTGCAAGCCCCACTGTTCTGATCTATTTAACACGTGGGTTTCAAGTGTGCGGCTGTCACCTGCTCCACACATGACAGGCTCAAATCCTGGTCCTGTCATGAGTATTCAGTTACCCCTTGCTTCAGGATCTTTCCTTTAGGTCAGGCGTTGGCATACTATTTGTGGACCAAATCCAGTCCTATCACCTGTTTTTCTTTGTAAATAAAGTTTTATGGAAACATGGACATACTAATTTGTTTACATATATTGTATACCGCAGAATCAAGTAAATGTGACAGAGACTGCAGGGCCGGCAAAGCCTAAAATATTTACTATCTGACCACGTACAGAAGAAATTTGCCAACCCCTGAGCTAAATCACCATGATCGTGGATAAAATACTCATTACTAGTGGAATTTTCTATCACTATTATCAAATATATTGATATGACTTTTTAAGTTATAATTGTTGCTTTATTTTGAGATACACAGATGATAAAGAATGTCTAGCTTTTGACAAGTGAAGAAAGTAAGTCAAGGGTCTAATAGAAAATGAGAAGCCAAGGGGGAACTGATATTCCTGCTTAGCACTTTGGTAAGAAGCTCCTCCTCCTGGTCAGGGCTGGATAAAAAAGAGACAGATCACAACGAGGAACAGCCACAGGGCTATTTTCTTGTCATTGCCAACAAAACATCCCCGGGAACACCCCTAGCCAGAGTACAAGGATTAGGTTGGTTATGATCAGATGGACTCGATATCCCAATAGATTACTAATTGGTCACACATAGGCAACCAGATCTTTTAAAGGGGCAAATGGTATACCTAATAGAAAACAGCACATTAAAAAAAAAAATCTATGACTTAAACAAGATAGACATTTGTTTACTTCATTCTCAGGCAAAAACCCAAAGGAAGGACTGATTTGGTGAAACCACAGTCTTTAGGGTCCCAGGGTTCTGTGTTCTGCTTTGTCAGCCCAGCATGTAGCTTCCAGCCACAACATCGTCTCATGGCTCAAGGTAGATACTGCAGCTCCAGCCATTGTTTCCCACTTGCAATCTAAAAGAAGGAAGAAAGTGACAAAAAGGGTATTTCCCCAGCTGAGTCAACACACTTAAAGAAGCCTTCTAGGAAATAACACCTAACACCTCAGCTTCTGTATTAGTCATGGTTCTCTAGAGGAACAGAACAAATAGGAGATGATAGATAGATAGATAGATAGATAGATAGATAGATAGATAGATAGATGATAGATCGATACATGATAGATAAATAGATAGATGATAGATTGATCAATCGATTGATAGATAAGGAGATTTACTATGGGAATTGGCTCACATGATTGAGAAGTCCCACTATGGGCCATCTGCAAGCTGGAGAACCAGGGAAGCCAGCACCATGGCTCAGTCCAAGTCCAAAGGCCTGGCAACTAGGGAAGGTGATGGGGTAACTCTCAGTCTGAGGCACAAGACCTGAGAAACTGAGGGGCATTTGGTGCAAATCTCAAAGCCAAAGAACCTGAAGTTCTGATGTCCAAGAATGAGAGAAGATGGGTATCCCAGTTCCAGAAGGGAGAGAATTCACCTTCCTTCTGTCTTTTTCTTCTATCTGGATCCTCAGCCGATTAGGTGGTACCCACCCACATTGGGGGAGGATGGATCTTCCACAGTCAGTCCACTGATTCAAATGCCAATCTCTTCCCAAAACACCTTCATAGACATATCCAGAAATATAGTAGGTCCCCCATACTCACAGTTTCACTTTCTTCTGTTTCAGTTACCCACAGTCAACTACAGTCTGAAAATATTACATGACTGCTCTAACCGCTTTGGGGTCATTATTAAGCAAAATAAGGATTACTTGAACACAAGCACTGCAATATTGCAACAGTTGATCTGATAACTGAGAAGGCTACTAAGTGGCTAATGGCCATCCAGGTGGGACAGAGCAAGACTGCATGAGATTTCCTCACACTACTCAGAACATCACACCATTTAAGATGTATAAATATTTTGGCCAGGCATGGTGGCTCACGCCTGTAATCCCAGCACTTTGGGAGACCGAGGTGGGCGGATCACGAGGTCAGGAGATCGACACCACGGTGAAACCCCGTCTCTACTAAAAATACAAAAAATTAGCCAGGCGTGGTGGTGGGTGCCTGTAGTCCCAGCTACTCAGGAGGCTGAAGCAGGAGAATGGCATGAACCCGGAAGTCAGAGCTTGCAATGAGCTGAGATTGTGCCACTGCACTCCAACCTGGGCGACAGAGCGAGACACCCTCTCAAAAAAAAAAATAAATAAAAAGATGTATAAATATTTTATTTCTGGAATTATCCACTTATATCACAATGTTTACATCACTCATTTCACTCTATCTCATCACATAGGCATTTTGTAATCTCATATCATCACAAGAAGAAGGATGTGAACAGTACTATAAGTTTCTTTGAGAGCAAGGGAATCACATTCACATAACTTTTATTAGAGTACATTCTTATGGCTGTTCTATTTTGTTATTAGTTATTGTAATTATCTTACTGTAACTAATTTATAAATTAAATCTTATCATAAACATGTATATATAGGAAAAAATATAGTGTATACAGAGTTTAGTACTATCCATGGTTTCAAGAGTTCACTGGGGGGTCTTGGAAGGTATCCCCCATGAATAAAGGGGACTTATTCTGTAACGCTGTATCAGCTGTCTAGGTTTCCCTTAATCCAGTCAAGTTGACATCTAAAATTAACCTCACATCTTCCATCTCATTGGCCAGGACATAGTCATGTGGTCATACCTAGCTGCAAGTGGAGCTGGGAGCTATAGCTTTTTACCTGGGTATGTGGACTTTAGAATACAGGTGGAATTCTGTCATTGAGGAAGAGGTGGAGGGCAATTAGATGTCTCTGCCTCCTATTGGCACTTGGAAACTCCCAGGAAGAGGCTCACTTCCCTAGATTTACTTTCAAAAAGAATTTGCTCTGACTTTTGTGCTTTGTCCAGTGAGAATGAAATAGCTAAAAAATAATAGCATTTGCATTTCATGTTCCTCATTTCGCCATGTATTTTTTTCCTAGGAGGCTACCACCTGAGGGAATGTGATCAAAGCCAATGTCCATCGCTGAGAGAGGGCATTGTTCCCTGCCTTGTTTTCATTCTCCAGAGAAAGAAAAGTCCGAAAAAGTCCGAAGAAGCATGTTGTGGGTTTGGACTCCTCCTATCCATCATGCTTCAGTCTCATTTGAACTCGTTTCCCTCAAGGGAGAGGAGAATTAGTCTCTTGTCAGTGCCTGGGTATGTGGCTCTGCCTGAGTTGCTGCTGCACAAGGAGGAGCACAGCCTTCACGTCCTCCCCAGCCCTCCAAAACGCCACTGCACGGCATGCAGCGGAGGGCGAGCATGGTTCTTGCCGAGTTGCACTTGCTGTGTAAATATGGAGCTAAAATAGATCCTCAGCCAGGGCAAGGGTGTTATGAGGTGAGGCGCCCTGAAAGGAGGGCTGTCTTGAAGAAAGGAGAGACTAGCACTTCCTCAAATATCTGCATGGTATTCCAAGTGTGATTTCTAAGTCCTTTTCCCTTTCGAACTTCCCTATGCAGTCTTAAAAAGAAAGAAAGAAATAAAGAAAGAAAAAGGAATAAGAAAGTACAAGGCACTCAGGATAACAAGATGCTGGGGGAAGCCACGACATTGGAGAGGACACAGAGGGTCTCGTGGTGTGGTCAGGACAGACATGGCAACATCGTGAGACAGTAGCCTCAGGGTCGCTAACCAAGACTGTGACCTCCCACCCCCAGAGCCTGCTTCTTCAACTCATATTCCTCAGACTTAAAAGTCTGGCCTTTTAGAAAGAAGTGAATAGCAACCCCTGCTGCAAAAGAGGGACCTGATTAGCCCCCTAGAGCCAGGGGATTCCACGCCTGGCCAAAAGTCACCCCCATCTACCTCCCTGCAACACCTTAGCCACTGTGGTGGTCTTGCTTTCTATCGCTGCACTTGTGATCTGGCTTTCCTGCCCACTTAAGAAGAATTAAAAGAAAATGGGAGATAACTATACAACGTTTTCCCCAGCAATGTTAAAGGTCACTTTTCAGGGAAGCTGAGTGTTCTGCCCTGATGGGCTGCAGGCTCCATGACAACTGTCTCTTTCCCAGGTGGCCATGCACCATGTGTTGAGCATACTTTTTCCCCAATTAGAGGCTGTGCCACAGTATGTTGACAGAAAATGCTAGATTGATGACCTATGGGTCCCCAGCCCAAAATCTTGCTGTATTTGAAGGCATTTTTCTGATGTGTCTCATCTTTTGGCAAATGGCCTGTGCCCCCAGCCTTCCTCCCACCCTGCAGAATCCACAGCACTGCTCTCCCAGGACACATGTGTGCCGGCCTCCAGAGAGACACAGGCCTGGTCCTGACCGCAGATGCACTGAGCCATATTCTCATAGCGCTTCACCACGCTCTCCAAGGCCCGATAGGTTTAGACTGAAGAAGCACAACGACCACATCTGCACCATGGGCCTCTTAACTGCAGGTTCCAGACCATTAGCAGGCAAAGAGTGTGAGGCTGTTCCCGGCTGGGCTGTTTTGTCCTAAAGGATGGGCCCTCACTTATAAGAGATGTCGAACCCTAAACAAGTTTCAACTATGCTCCAATAATGTTGGCCACCCGGTGGTTAGCACAGAGAGCTTCCATTTGATGTTTGACTCCTCCTAAATATGAACTAAGA
The DNA here is from genome assembly GCF_000001405.40 of Homo sapiens. Lineage (NCBI taxonomy): Eukaryota > Metazoa > Chordata > Mammalia > Primates > Hominidae > Homo > Homo sapiens. Next base: position 42,468,330 of record NC_000007.14, on the reverse strand, counting down.
ACACGAATCCTACCAGTAAGTAAATTGCCACATTTGGATTATAATTGAACTGTTTTGCTGCCAGCATTGCACTTGGAAAATTACAGCTCTATCGCAATAAGGAGCCAGAAGGGGTTAATTCACCTCCGAAGCAAGCATAGTTGGTTCACTCCTTCCTCTCCAGAAGGAGCAGATCAAGAGGTAATTATAAATGACTGACAACTTTATTTATAGTTTTATTGAGCTGTAATTAAACATTAGAGTATTCATCCTCATTATTCTAGCGATTCTACTTTGGATGCATCCTCAGAAGGAGAATTTGGAAGTAATAGACTAGAATCTTCTTACGAAGTTTAGCATCCTTTAAAGAATAAAGACTTCCATTACTAAGGGGTGAAAATTTGATCTAAATTAGCAAGACCTGTTCCCAGAGTCCAATGTCATTTCCAGTCACTGCTTACCCATCTCAAGGTACGAGGACCACAGAGAGTTTACACTGTCCCACAGGCTTTCCTTGGTGGCCAGGAACTAAAGACTCATTTGCAGGGCTCAAGAGCTGTTTTCAAATGGATATAAACAAGCAGGTCTAGACCCTCAAGGAAAGAACATTTAAGTTCATATTTAAGGACTTCTAAACAAGGAGGTTCTCTGAAAAATGTTGGCTATTCACTCACTAATACATAAAACAGACCTATGACCTGTCCTTGCATAGCTCCCAGTTTGAGTAGGAAGAGGGTAAGTGCATAAAAATCATGTTTTTTAACTATGGCAAGTGACATGATTGAAGGAACATGACATGGGAATAGAGGATAAAGGGGGATGGGAACATGCTTAGTAAAGGGAGTCAGCTGCAGCTTTTCTGAAGAGGTGATTGATTATCCAGACCTGGAGGCTAGAGGGACAGGAGAGAGCCTGTGTGAAAGCCCAGGGTAGAACAAAGAGATTTGTCCCCTTCTGATCCATCTGGGGAAGATGAGTTAAGAAGGAAAATCCCAGGAGTTAAGGCTGAATAGATATGTTTCCTTTTTTCTTTCTTTCTTTCTTTTTTTTTTTTTTTTTGAGATGCGGTCTCACTATGCTGCCCAGGATGGTTTAAACTCCTGGGTTCAAGCAGTCCTCTCGCCTTGGCCTTCCAAAGTGCTGGAATTACAGGCACAATCCACTGCACCCGGCCTGGAGAGAGATGTTTTCAAGTAGCAACTGGTCAACCACTTGTTGGAACTATTATATTGGAAATGTGTATGTAGAGGATAGAACTAAACTTTATAGACTTCCCCAGTTTGGGGATGCTTAATTTGCCATGTAACAGGGGCTTACCTCATGGTAAGCCACATTCTGGCCCAGGTAGCAAGAGAGCTAGGTAGGCTACCCCATGTATTTGCTTGGTGTTACAAGAACACAAACACATGTGCACACTCTGAGCCCAGCCTGAGCCTGTAGCTCTTGCCCGCAGATCCTGCCTAGCTCAGCGGACCCCCACTTGTCTCCCAGCCATTCCTTCACCTCTCTAATTCGTTCTTCACACTGCACTAGAAGAGGTCTTTCTAAGGCCAGATTTGATTAGATCCTTTCAATAAATAACGACATTTACCATAATCGACACAATAAAGGACAAGCTAATGGCCAAATTCTTTCTTACCTTCATCTCTTGCTAGTTTGTGCTCTAATAATCTGAACTACTCTCAATCTTCTAAACTCTGTTTCCCGAGCTCTGTTTCCTTCGGCATTTTTTGCAGGCCCCCTCATCTCCAAGTTGGACTTTGCTCTCTACAAAAGATGCCCACAGCCTGCATCTGACTGCCTCTGAGAATCTTCCTTGGCTCCACCCGTCCTGCAAATGTGAGATGATAATAAGGCTTTCCTTTGCTTTCTTGGCCACTCTCCTCATAGATAGATTCACTTCCTCATGGCTGCATGGACCATGATTGCAAGCCCACTATATTTCCTTACAGGCCCACCCAGACTGGGCAGTGTCCTGGAGGATCGTAGGCAAATACTGATGCCCATTGTGAAAGTTGGGGCTCTTTGCCTTTGCTGTTCCTTTTGCCTGGAACACCCATCCCCCATTTCTTCACAAGCTATCCTGTTTTGACTAGTTAGCAATGAATTTAAAGTGTGTTGCCCTCAGGGGCCATCCATAAACAATCAGCCTTATCTAATTATTCCTCCTCTCTTCTCAGTATCTTATATATACCAAATATATTCAAATTATCTGTTAGTGGGTGCATGTTCCGCATTGTAAATTATGCTCCTTAAAGTTAGCTCTGTGTCTCATTCTATTCTCCATATACCTATACCCTATTTCATCCTTCTCTGCCTGGCATTCAGTGGATGCTCACCAAATGCTTGTGAGACTTTTGAACTGAACAGAGAAAATAATGAAATAGGGAGCCAGTTGTAAAACAAAATCCTTGACTCCCCAGTCCTACACAGTGGCATGCACTGGAGACTTTCAAATTGTCAGCTTAGCCCATCTAATCCCTGAGCATGTGCATTAGGGGCCCAAAACTATTTAGGTTGGGTGCCTAAAAGTCTTCTAGGGTTGAACTTATTCTTAATTCTCATAGTTATTTATCTGAACTTCTCTGAGGGCACTTTCTGCTTTCTACCCGTACATATTCTTTTCTTTATAACTTTATAGCTCTTTATAGCTAAAGTATAAAATAATTAATGGTTGTACCTAGCACCTAGTAGGTACTCAATACATCATTGGTGAATAAATGTCTTTTGCTGCATCCACATCCCTTCTGTGTCCCTAATGATTTATATGTTGAAATCAAATTCAATATAAATTCCAACCTGTGATTATCTAACATGTGGTGAATGCTAGTATGTGCTAGCTGCTACTGAGGACACCAGTACAGATCCTAAATCTAATACTCAAATCATAAAAAATAAAAGCCTAGGAAATAGAGAATTTCTCAAACACGTCAGAACTATATCATTTTAACATTGGGTTTGTGGCTATATTGGGTTAAATGTTTGCACATAGAGATACACTTTAGACCACTAATATTTTTTTTAAATAATAAGACAGATTACATTCAAATAATTGATTTCAAATAAACAATGGCAATAAACACTCTCACACATACATACAATAGGCACTCTGAGATTCAGATGATGTAAGAATCTGTTCGGCCTAAAGGGATGATCTTAAGACAGAAAAAAAGGGTAGAATGTATTATATATGAAATACTAACTGCACAATTTGCTTCACATCACAATAATATTAATGATGACTGACATTTCGACTTCCGTAGAACTTTTTGTCTAACATGATTACATCATAGGTGCAAGTAACCATATAATTGCTCTAATGTGGGCTTAGTTTTAGTCACAAAGCCAAGGTTTGATCTTGCACAATTCACCAGACCATTACCCAAAAGAGAACTTATAAAATGATAAATTCAACTACTAGAACCCACTTCACTCTTGGTCATGGGCAATAAAAGTTGAGTTTCAGTTGATGAGACATGAAGAAGGCTGGAAATCTTACTTTCAAGGAATTTCATATTCTTCATCTGTGGGATACAGAATATAGTGCATATCAAAGAAAATCGTGGTCAATCTTGATTTTTTTAATACAGTACTGATTGAGTGAGAAAAGAAAACACTCATTATATTGTAGTAATGGAACAGTTACATTTAAAGCTTGAATATTTTCTAAGCATGTCCCCGAAAAGTTTTCTGATTCACAAGTTATCCTCTTACTTTTATTTTTATTTAAAATTTTATCAATTTTTATTTTATTTTTTATTATGCATCCTATAATGATGCATAATAAAACATCCCATAGGATCCTATAATGATGCATGTCAACGTGTGCCCACTTTTAAACGTAATCCATTTACATTTATTGTACTAACTAATGATGTGTAGTACTTCTCCTGTTATCTTGCTTTATGCTCTATGTGTTTTATTCTTCACAACTGCTCCCTTGATGTTTTTCAGTCTTCTGTTATGTAGGAACTGTTTTCTAACCTTCCTGAAACCTGATAATTTTGAAGATATATATTATTCTGGTTATACTGATAGTTAACATAAACTTTAAAATGCTCCAGTGTACATTTTCTCTCAGGAAGGAAGCAGGATGACCATTTGCCCCTAATAAATAAGTGGAAAAAATAAGCATTATTTTACTGTTTTTCCTTTTTTCCTCCTTGCTAGTTTCCCTGGAATAGGGGCTTCTAATATTTATAATGATCTTTACAACACGGTCAGCCACACTATTTATATGTTCCCTCCATTTTTAAAGCATTTCCGTTCAATGTTCTAATCACATTTACAACCACAATTATTTAGACTTAATATTATCTGGCTTCCATAAAATGACTACTTCCCTAGTTTTGGATGTTTAACGTTAACTTGTTTATTGGTCAGTTGCCACATGTCTTTGAGCATTTTTCAGAATGAGTATACAGGTGGTTTATTGACGAGCTTCTCCTACAGTACAAGTAAATCTTTATTCAGAAGCCCATCTTCTTTCTATATCTCAACATTAATGATGCATTTCTTTTACTTTTCCATTGGCTCTATAGGTGACTTTTTTTTTCCAGTTTACTCATGCTTGAATGATCACAAGGTTCTTCATACCTGAAGCTTGCCAATATTTACAATGCAGGGAGTCACATGATTCCCAGCAATGACCATATGAACACTGTCAGAATCTTCCTCTAAAATCATGGAAGGCTGCCTCCTTTGCAGAGCCCCATTTGAATGTTTAGTCTTTAAAAATCAATTGTATATTATGGTCACTTTGAATTGATGACGGGTCTGCCTCCCCCGTCTGATCATCTTATAGTGAGAAGCACAATGTATTCACAAATGATTTGATAGTCTATTTCTTTCTTTTTAGGATGCAGGCTTATGCTGCAATTTCCACAGCATGCTCTTTTCACTATTTTCCTGTCCCCTCTATTTATCATTGTCAGTATCCCATACCTGCATTCTGACTATTTCCGACCTATTGCATTACCCAGACTGTACTCCCCAGACAGATATCAAAAGAAAAAAAAAAAAAGAAGTGCCCGTGAAAGGGTTTGGTTGGGTAAAATGACCTTAGCCAAGACAGAAAGCAGTTGCTTCACCATTTAATTGGTGAAGTCTCCAGATTCTAGAATACATAACTCACTAAGATGGGGTGAAAATTTCCTAACGTCTTTCTGCTTGATCCAGCTTGCCTATCTCAAGCACCATCCAAGCTTTAGTTGGTAGAAATTCCTCCTGGCATCCAGCAAATCATTAGACTGTATTCCTAGCTTTCAGTACCTTACAGGCTTTTATCTCTTATTCCATTTCCATAATTACTGCAATGAAAACTTGAGAAGGTATATAACATGCCCCTACCTAACTGCCATCTGACATGGGAAGTTCATCTTTATATGGACTGGCAAAAGGAAGGTCAGTCTGACCCCATGTTGAAAGAAAGTTGTGCCCCCTTGATTTTTCTTTACAGTGGTGACAACCTATATAAAAGTGGCATACAAAAATAATCACAAGCAAAAACAGGCCACTGATTCTATGACCCTGCCTTTTTCCATGACCATCAAAGTAGGCAAGGGTCAGTGCCCGGGGAAAACAAACATCTCTCACCATGGGCATTTCTCAACAAGGAAGAGTTAACCAAAGCAACAGCTGAACTAAGAAACCAAGGCTGCTGAGGACAAAGCAGAGGGGGCTGCTGCAAGAGAGTCTTTGTTTGAGAAGGAGTGCCAAGTGGGAATGCAAGGCTACGGAGCAGAGCTGAGGATACCGGCTCTGGCCTCTGACTGCTTGCTTTCAAATCCTGGCTCTCCTGGCAGATTAACTGCAGGTCCGTAGGCTAGGCAACATGTCTACACTTCTGGTTCCTTATTTTATAGATGGTACCTATCTCAAAGGGTAACTATAAGAAAAAAATGACATTATACCTGCAAAATGCTTGTAATATCATTATAAGCATTACAAACAATAGTACTTGGCCCATGATAAGGGCTCATTAATGTTAGTTATTATTATCATCCTCACCCACATGTCTTGAACATAGAGAGATCAGATATAGACAAGGCAAAGAACGGCTAGTAGATACATCCTTGAGCAAAACATGCAGGTAATAGAGAGGGTTGTTCTTTCCCCAAGGTCCTGGTGGCTCTGGAGGGGGAGCAGCCTGGACTTGGGAAAGGGGAACTATTGAGGCTGCAAGGACAGGAAGCCCTGGGCTAGAAGTCAATGATCTATATACTCCCTTAGGACAGTAGTGTTTCCATAGTTTCCTTGAAATCTCTATATTCTCTGTATCTAGCCTAGAGATGCGTTTTAATAAAAGGCATTTAATAAAAAATTGTTAATTGAATGCAGCAGCACAAACCTGGACCAGAGAAGACTGGAGGCAGCATGAATGCCAAGACAAAGCTTCAGTGGATAGTCACAATGTTAGTGTCCTGAGTGATAGGTTATGCTATTTATTCAGCACCTTCAATGGTCCTGGAAAGGCACTTTACACATATTACTTTCTTTTCAATTCATACCAAAAATTCCAGTTTTTGAAATGAAGAAACTGAGCCTTTGGGAGCTAAGTAATTGGTTCAATCACTGTACACCAGGGTGTGTCCAAGCCACAGTGTGAACCCAGGCTGGCCTGAAATCAAAGCTCACAATCCTTCCCCAAGCCACAGCTTTTCTCAAAGTCCTCAGGCAAGAGAGAAGCTTCAAGTCCCTGGGAAAGGAAGCCCAGCACATAGGGTGCGGGGAGGCTCCACCAAACAAATATCCACCTCAGAATATGGCTTGAGATAGAGGGAAAGGAAGAGCATTGAGCCCACCTGCACCTGAAGATTCATCCCGGAGGCATAGAAAGGACAGATGGCAGCTTGAGACCCAGGGAATCCACATGGGACCGCCAGCTGTGCCAAGCCTCACACTGTTTTGATCAGATCTTAGCTGTTAGTAGAAATTGAAATAATTGGAAGAATAAAATATTCCAAATATTCCACTTTGTCTTTTTATTAGCCTACTGCAGCATCCAAAGGGCAATTCTCATGCCAGTCACAAGGAAAAACTGTGCATTTGGAAATTGCTGGGCCACTGTAAGGAGGGAGATGATGGACATCCTGAATGTGACTATTATTACCATATGATTTGAATTCACTCCAAACAAAAGTCATATATTTAAAAAAACTGTGAATGTTGCAATAGAATAAGTACTATACATCCTAAATTACTAACCTCCTACTTTTTTAACCTCCCAAACGACCATGATTATGAGTCTGACATTTTCAGCTGATGACTCAAGAAAGAAAGGCCAACATCTCTGCTGCTACAGGTCTCTGTGAAGGGATTCTTATTTGCATTTTGAAGAAAGTCTTCTTGTAACAACTGGGACAGCTTGGAAGTACTCTAAGGCTTTCTGTGAACAGAAAGGTGCCAACCTGCAGGGCCCTCCCAGCCTTCCTCGCACTGGGCCTGCAGCACCATCGTTTTCCCGATGAACCCAGACTGGAAGCCCATGGGGAATCAGTTGTCCCTGAAAGTGATGCTTTTGGCATACCTCAGCCAGTGGGTTCTGCCATGCTCTAGGGCCACCAGAGGTCCCACAATTGCCCCACAGAAGGAGAGACTTCCCAGTTGTAAAACACGTGCTGCCCACTGGTCAGAGTCCCTGCCCATTGTCAGAAGAGGAATGATGGTGGCCACCCTCATGTCAAGCCTGCATGGCTGTCCAGCTGCCATTGCAGGAGAGATCCTGCCAGCTCACTAGGACTTGCCCCTATGTCTCTCTGCAAGAGAATGTATGGACAAAATCAGCAATGTCTAGGTCAGAAAGCTGGATGGGGTAGTGCCTGCCTCCTCTCCTGTGAGTTGATAGATGGGTGTATTCCTTAGATTAGAGGTTAGAAACAGCTAGAATCACCATTGGGTGGTGGGCAGGAGACACAAGAGGAGGTTCAGGGAACTATAGACCCTAAACCATGTGCCCAAATCCACCACCTTTCACAGGACATGTGGGGACTGGAGCAACTTGGAAATAGGGTTTCACAAAGATGTCTGAAGCCAGGAATTTTCACTTGGGGTGACAGAGGATGGCACAGGAAGACATTCAGAGTCTCATTATCCAGGCAACCAGACTCGAAGATGTCACAACATGTCAGAGGCCAAAGCATCCTCCTTATTAAGGTGGCCTCAGAGCAGGGCTCAGGGAGATGAGGACAAGGGTAAGCCCCCGTAGGAGGAGGGGACCAGAACCAGGGGCTGCAGCCAGCCCATGTTAAACAGTTCAAGCCTCAGAAAATATCAAATTGTGGCCCAACTGTATAAGAATTACCTAAATTGACCAGGCATGGTCAGTTACCTAAATTAACCAGGCTCACACCTGTAATCTCAACACTTTGAAAGGGTGAGGCAGAAGGGTTGTTTGATTCCAGGAGTTCGAGGCCATAGTGAGCTATGATTGCTCCACCACACTCCAGCCTGGGAAATAGAGTAAGATCCTATCTCAAAAAAAAAGAATTACCTACATTACAAGTCAAAAATGCAGACTCCTGTGTCCCACTCTAGGCCTATGCAGCTGAGGCCCAAGGGTTTATCCTGGAGGTTAGCCTGACTTGGAGGTTAGCGAGATTTGAAGGCAGAGGGCAAAAAAGGGAGGGAAGACTGATCCAAACTGATCTCAGCAGAGGTTTCCTTTATTTTCCCAGCCTTTGCCCAGGTCACCACCACTAAGTCTGGTCTCTTGGGCTTGAGCACACAGGACAAAGTAGCCTCAAAACTGAGACTTGACTTGGTTTCCTACAAGGTTCATTACCCCTTGGTGCTAATCCCCAGCTTCTCACCTGCTGTGCTAATGAGCCTGGCATCATTTGTCCATTCCGCCAGGGCGACGAGCCCAAACTCACCCGTGAACACAAACAACAGGGCTCAGAGCTTCACCTGAAGCCCAGAGCCTAAGCCCCACTGCGTTCCCCCAGCCTTGACTTTCCAGCTCCCTGGGGCCAGAGCTGCTGCATGGAGCCAACCTCAGGCCACATTTGGTACAGTCAGGAAAACAGTGACAGGCCCAGAACAGCTTCTGTCTTCAGCAGTTCCAAGAGGATCAAAAAACTACCTGCGGCCTCCACCTACTTTCTGGTGTGGTGCAGAATTAAATTCTCCTGACGTTCACCTGGAATCTCCTGGCTGTGGGGCCTATGATGGCAGGCATATTACAGACACTCAATAAAAAGTTATTTAATGCCTAAAAGTATGCTACTCCGAGTCACAGACTACCTCCCTCCTGCCTGCTGTGGTAGCCCAACGCATGGGATGGGCGTCCACCTTCCCCTTGGGTGTGACCTGCCCAGTTACCTTTTCTCAGGAATAGGTAATTTCCCCTAAACCATAGGCTACTTCATTAAGGCCCTGATCAACTGTTTCTCTTCTCCTAGAAGCTGGTCTTACTCCGTGTGCTCCCTAGACTAGACGTAGATTCACATAAAGCAGGTATCAGCACACTTTTTCTGTAAAGGGTCAGGGAGTAGATATCTTAGGCTCTGTGGACCACATAGTCCCTCTCATACTGACTCAACTCTGCTGTTGCAGGGCCAAAGCAGCTATAGACAATAGGTAAACTAGTGAGCATAGCTATATTCCAATAAAACACTAGCTACAAAAACACAAAGTGCTCCAGATTTGGCCCATGGACCATAGTTTGCCAACCCCTGGCATAGAGGTGAAAAGGGAAAGCTCTAAAGATGGTTGGGTTCAATTTCAGGCTCCAACAGTTACCTAGCTGTGCAGCCTCAGTCAAATTACTTGACTTCTCTAAGATACATCACTATTATCTATATCATGACCTTCCTACAAGGTTTAAGTGACATTTATGCATATGAAGTGTGTAAGAGGGTTTCCAAGCACATAGTAAACAATCAATAGCTCATCGCTCTTTCAATCCTTCAGACAGTGACGATTCTGCCCAGCACTTCCTAGCAATTGGCTGCTGCTTCCCCTGCTGCCTATGGGGTCCCCTGTGCTAGCCCTTGCCCTACCTATGCCTGAGTTTACTCCTCTCTGAGAATTGTTTTATTGATTGCTCGGCTGTCCTGGCTGCAGCCATCCTCTGTAAATGGATTGCACTCCATGGCCCACTCCCCTACACTACTGAGCAGGGCTCCTCTTAGCTCCCATGCCCTCTATCTCCCCAGTGCTGCCACTTGGTTCTAGCATACCTAATGCAGAGCCCTTGTGGCCCTCTTAGCTCCCCTCACAGCTCACAGGCCCACTGGGTGCCCAGAAGGCAGGGTAGATGCCTCAGCTAGCTCTGCAAAATTGCAAATCCTCACAGAGAAAGAGGGATGACCTCATGGCTGCTGCTTCTGGGAGAGGCGACTTCTAAGAAGCTCTCCCCTGGTCTTCCTTTCTATTCTAAAATATGAGTGCAGCCTCCCAGTCTCCTATTTCCCAGCACCCTGCCCTCTACTAGGCCACATTTGACCAGGTCTGTGGAGAATGACACATCCGTAGAGAATGACATCTGTCTCCAAGTTACCTTCTTAAACCATCATAGCTAGATAAGCTATGACATCATCTTCTCATATCAGTGCTTCCCAAAAGTGTCCTGAGGAATAGTCATTCTGTGAAATATTAACAAGTGCTTGCAAAAGGGAAAATTGTTCCATGGCCAAATACGTTTTGGGAACACACAGGGAAAGACAGTTTAAAATATTTCTTTCCTACAGGTCTTCTCAGGGTGGTTCATAAGTGAGTATGCGCTGCTCATCTTCAGGAGAAGAATGAAAAACTCTGAAGCATTTCCAAAATTTATTTCAGTGTGGAACAATTTTCAAGGGCCACCACACATGATCAGGATTCTAAGGAACCCATTCTGGGAATTGCAACTGTGGACAAAGGGCTATGTATCTCTGCTCTCTGAGTTGATTGATGGCAAAGGTTAACAGAGTGTGCATGGTAGAGAAATCTTTAAAATCCTTCCTGTTCATTATACTTGTGTTCATTTCTCATCACAACTTGCTCAGCACATTTGTACCACGGGCCCTGCTTGCCTGCCTCAGGGAGGTGGGCTTGTTCCCTTCTGTCAGCCAGACCAGCCAGATCTATAAAGAATTCCCTAAGTTAGTGAAATACAATGCCCCTTCCTTCCTGAAGCCACCCAGTCACCCCAATCTGGATCTTTCCAAATGTTATCCTCTTTGACTCTTAAAAGAAGTGCAAAGCAGCCCACGATTCATGTCAAATGAACTGGCCTGCAGTTTCCTAGTTTGTCCCCATGGGATCCTTTATGAAACCATGGCTTTATTGGTCTTAGTCATCCCATTTCCTTAGAGGCCTTTGCTGAACTCAGTGAACTTATTTAAACATCCCCGGGGCTTCTCCTATTTCCCTCAGCCCCCTTTCTGTGTGCCCAGAGCCTGGTGGCGCTGACCTAAGGAGACATTGTGGAAATACTAAATCTTTCTAACAATTCCCAGATTGTAGGAAAAACTGCTGTTTGCATTCTTCACCCTCCATCTGTGTCCACAGAGTCACAGCCTCTGTCCTTGTTGCCCAAGTGGAGTCTCACTTTGTCTCGGAGGGAGATGGAGCTAAGACCCTTGTCCCAGAGGCAATCCCCACTCCTCCCTCAGGGTTAACCCTGGTTCATTGACAAGTGACTTCTCTTTCCTTCTTTCTTTTTTTAATTGCAAATCTGTAGTAAAAGAACTTACAGTCAAACAATGTCTGGGAAGTACCTTGAAGTCTCCTGATGAAAGGTGCTACGGAGGTCCTACATATTATTATTTCTGCAAACAAGGGAAATAATAGCTTGTTGCTTCATCTAATTCTCCTGAGTGGGCTTGGGCTCTGTAATTACCTGGGTTATAGGGCACTTGCTCAGAAGGCTGCATCCGAAGACACAGGCAGCCAGATGGCCCCGACAGGGTTTCACAACATGGTCCCTGAGTGCTCACTCAGGCGTATCTTCTGTGAGGCCGACTTGGGGATGAGAGAGTTAAGCCAGATTTTTAATATGTGGAAATTGACTTTAATGGGAGAATCTACAAACCCGTGAGGCAAGTTAGTGCCAGTTCCTCCCTAGGTCTGAGCACCCATGCAGAGGGAACAGATGTCTGTCTTTCTCTAGTTGGGGCTGAGACACTGAAAAGATGGTCTGGGAGGGCCTGAGGAACTCTCACCAACTCAAGGTGGAAGGTGGCCTCTAACTCAGTTTTCTTCCTTTCTCCTTGGCAATCCTGCTTCACTCCCCTCATTTTCAAAATGAGAGGGTTGAGAAAGCCCACTGTTTCCAGAATGCTCCTCCCTGGCTCCGGTGCTTCAGGGGACCCCCTGTGACCACTCCATGGCTCAGAAAGAACCCCACTGGGGCGAGAGGTCTTAGGCATCTGGCCCCCATTTCAATCAGATCTGCTCTCCCATTCTCCAGTTATGGTTCCTCATGAGATTTTGTTTGGGAAGAGAAAGGGTTCTTGCATGTGAAAATGATCAGGTTAAAACATCATCAAGGTCTTTTTAACTCATAATGTCCTTTGATCCCCGTTCTAAGCATCTCCCACTCAGCTGCTCACCTCACAGCCCAGATTTTCACTCCCCATGTTTTCTCTCCTAGTCACTCAACTGCAGGTGAAAATTATGAGGATGTATTTCTGGGAATAAATTAAAGGTATGTTTTGCTTTTGAAAAAATCGAGTTGCCTGGCAGAAACGGAATTCCATCTTTCAGCTTGGTAGTTGTCAGCAGTATTCATGGGGATTTTCCCCATTCCCCTTGTTGGCGCAGTGCTTTCTGCAGTCCTTCCACTTTTGCAGGTGCTCCCACCAGCCCAGCAAGGATGTTGATGCCTCGCCCAGCATCAAGCCAGAAATTGCTGGCCTCACAGAGCTTCCATCCCTATTCTTACAGCGTATCCATATGTTTCTGCTCTGCACTGGGTTTCGCTTATATCAGGGTTCTCTGCACACATAGCCTGTGGCAAGGGGCCTCCCTTTTACACTTTCCCACTCTGGCAGTCTTGCTGGCAGAGAGACCCTGCACCAGCTCGGGGCTCACACACGCATGCACACATGCCTGAGCGCCGCTTCTCAAAGAAAGCACAGAGGACCCATCTATGGCTCTCATTCATCTGCTCTGGTGCCTAACCTCCACCTTGTGCCACTGTCTCTGTGAGCTGCTCGCTAAGTGCTTCTATCTAAGCCTTAAGAAGTCAGACCTGCCAGCCTTTTTCTTCCCTCCTTGGAGCCAGTCTGACCTGTTTGGATCCATCAGAACTTTCAAAAGTACTGATTGGCCCCTCCGTAAGTGTCCATGAGAGTCAGTGGAGAACTTTGGAGTTGGTGAACCCCATGGCACTCTTGAAAAGGACAGAAAAGGGGCTGAAGCTGGGCGCCTCATGCCTGGGTTTACCAAGGACTTTACCTGGCTCTCACAGATAGTGCCATTGTTCTCTTGTCTCTGACCTACGGAGTCTCTAGCTATGAAAGTCTTAACCTTTAACTCCTTCCACTGAGACCCCAAGGGTCCCATCCATCCCCTGTGGCTCTCTTAGTTCCCCTCACAGCTGGCAGGCTCACTCGGTGCCCAGCAGGCAGGGTAGATACCTCAGCTAGCTCTACAAAGTTGCAAATCCTCACAGAGAAAGAGAGATGACCTCAGGGCTGCTTCTTCTGGGAGAGGTGACTTCTGAGAAGCTCTCTCCTGGTCTTCCTTCCCATCCTAAAATACAAGTGCAGCCTCCCAGTCTCCTACTTCCCAACACCCTTCACTCTGCTGGGCCACATTTAACCAGGCCTGTGGAGAATGGCATATCCGTTGAGAATGACATCCCTCTCCCAGGTACCTTCTTAAACCTCATTTGGGCTGAGATTTCACTCAGTTCTTGGGTTCCTCCTTGCTAAGACCTGTGCAACAAGGCCATTGGTTAAGATGTTTCAAAGCACAGTCTGACCCCACATTTCCCTGACGTATCCTTGCTTTCTTCTTCTTCTCCCAGCCCCAGGCCTCCCGCAGGTAGACTTCTCATCAGAGCCGGGAGGCTGAGAGCGGAGCTTTCCTCTCTGATCCCTTCCCTTTAACAGGGCCCACCATGGCCCATGGCAGCGCAGAGTCTGAGCAGCATCTGGCTTGGGCTGGTCTGTAGAGATCTGGAATCCAAACAGTCTTTAAAGAGTTATGACTCCAGGAACTGCGGATGGCAACGTTTTCTATTATTAACAGTTCCAACTTTCCCATCTGGCTGTTTTCAGAATGAAAGCTGGAGATTACTGTCAGCATTAATTACAATCAGGTGTACTTTTCTTCTACTCCATTTTGCCCCAGTGGTTTCTCACACAGCGAGAAATCCTTAAAATGCATGTCTTTTGAAATGTGGCACATAAATCCTTGCTGCTGGTGAGAGCGGCTGTCAGCCCGTTGGGCTCTTGCTGGATCTAGGGGAACCTCACGGAGTTCATGGAAGCTTCCTTGGGTTTAGAAGCTCGTCTGAGCCCCTCGGACCTTCAAGACAGGAAATGTCAAGAGGATCTGCTTCCTTGCAAGATTTCTGGCACTTCCTGCTTCTAGTTTAACCAGAGCTACCTCAGAAACAGTTGTGTGAAATGTCTGTGTTGAGGGCCCCAGCTAAATCACTGAGGGCAAAGTTGCAAAGGAAGAAAACCAAAGAGGCTGAGCCGCGGTCCACACAGTTCCTCCAATTCCCCACCCAAGTCTCTTTCCCATGTCATCTTTTTCGCGCCCTCTCTCCCTACCCCTTGCCCTATTTTTAGTCAATGTTTGAAAAATATTGTCTCATTTTGAAATATTTTGTCTCTCTCCATGTTTCTCCCTATATGCATATTTACATATATGCTACTTGTCTTATATTTTCTGGAAGTTACTTTCCATTACTCTCATTATTTTCCTCCATAGACATCCCACATATATTCATCTTTAGAATTAATGAAACATCAGGACCATCTTCCTTTTGTAAAGACATTTGAATTTAAATCAGGTAGGCCCTTCTAGTATTTGTATTATTCTTTCATAATAGTAATGCTATTTAAGCCACAGCACTACCATTACTATTTGAGGGACCCTGAGTAAGCTGCTTAGACCCCCTGAGTTTCTGTTTCTTTGCCTGCAAATGACAATACTATGTCTTTATAGGGATGCTTAGGGGATTCAGGAAGACAATGACAGCTCCACACAGGCAAATGGCAGGTGTTACCTGCTCACCTAGTGTGTGCTCCATGATTCCAGGCACTGGAAGAAGGGACAAGGAAATGACTCTTAAACATTCTTTAGAGGACAGCTCTCATCTTCTTGGAGGGTGAGGGAAGGGTTGTTGACATAAGACTGCAAATGTGTAAGTGACATAAAGCCATTACTGTTATACCCCCATATTTTTCATCATAGAGCACAATCTTCATGAGTTTCACTTGTCCCATGTGGCTTATTCCATTTTCCAACAGAATGAACCACCTTACCTAGTCAGCCTGTGATTTGATTTTATCCCTGAGCAATTGCAATATAAATTTCCAGTGTTTGAAAAAGAAAACCATTAACCTAGAACTTTGTCCCATCCCTGCCTTCCCCAGACACACTACCCACAAACTAATAAACTTGGGGGAAAAGGGGAGGGGAGAGTGGATAACTTTTAAAGAGCTAAGCAGAGTAGGGCCTATTTCCTTAATAAAAACTGAATAGAGGAACTTACCACAACCACTTTGGTTGTACTACTAAATCAGTCCTGGCCATAACTTGACCTAATTCACTGCTTCCGTCACTTGCCCCTTTGAGCTCCACAGTGGTGCTGGCTCTCCCTCATTCCGTTCACCATTGGCTTCCTTCCTCAGCTGCCCCAGAGACCTTCTGCGGTGGGTATTTACCGCAAATCCCCTCTGAGTTCCTGCAGCCATCTTTCAGATTCATTCTCCAGCTGCATTTCATAATCTCAGTAGAATAAATGAAGTTTTTGACAGTTAATTTATTTCCTTGATATATTTCAGATGTCTCTTTAGACAAAGCTCTGGCTTAGTCATGTTGGTTGTCTTGAATCGGATATTAGGTGAGAACACTTCCTGGACACCCATTATTGAGATGTGCATTAATTGTATTTGCATACAGTCAGAGGGCTCAATGACCTTCCGAACTCCTAATTTTTCTACTTCATTAAACTCAATGAGTGTGCTGAGATTCATAAATGAGACAGTTATGAATGTCGTTGCAACCGCGTGGGTCTGCTTAAAATGGGTATGCTCATCCCTGTACTTGTGAATATACAGAAATCATCCATTATAAGCAAAATTAAGGGAAATATGTTATGTAGACAGATGGTTTAGTCAAACACTCTGTTTTCCAGATTTTAAATGTTTTTTACAAGTGGTTTTTTATTGTTAAAGTTGGCAAGTCCTATTTCTTTCTCTGTGCTATAAACTTCTCAAGGCAGTGTCTCCACTTCAGCCCCTTTCCCAGACACAGGCTTTAGGAAATAGCAAATAGCAAGGTAAATTACAGATACCCTGGGGACAAAGGAAAGATTGTGGGTTGAATGAACATGGAATTCTGGGTGTGGCTGTTAATTCCTGTTTCCCAAACCCATGACATAGGTAGCTCCTGCATGAGGAAAGCCACCATCATCACTGGGACACTGTTGTCATTGGGGAACCCTGGGAATACCCAAGCACATGGCCTTCACTTCAGGGTGGTATCCGTGCGCCAGTGATCAGGGTGTAAATTTCAGTCATGGCCCTGCTACTTACTAACTCTGGGATATCAGAATGCTGTCTAACCTCTGGGACCTCCATTACTTCATATGTGCAATGAATTTATAGCTATGTCAAGGATTCAAGAAGACAATGAATATAGAACTCTCAGTACAGTTTCGATGCCTGGCACAAAGAACATGCTTCATACATGCTAGCTTTAGATCCAAACTGAAAAAGGGATATAACCCACATGGGATCCATGGACTCTCCTCTTGCCAAGGGTTACCGCTGTCTATTCCAGTGCCTAGAATATCCCATTGTGTCAGTCTCTGTGCTACCTAACAAGTGACAAAAAGCTTAGTTGCATAAAATGACAAATATGTACTCTCTCACAGTTATATGGGTTAGGAGTCTTGGCACAGCTTAACTGGATCCTCTGTTTAGGGTCTCACAAGGCAGTGATTGAGGTATCAGCTGACCTACATTCTCATCTGGAGGCTGGACTGGAAATAAATTCACTTCCAAGCTTATTCAGGTGCTGGCAAATGAAAACTCCTTGCAGCTATAAGACTGGGGATCCCAGCTTCTTATTGTTTGTCAGCAACTAGAAGCCATTCTCAGTTCCTGAGGCTGCCCACAGCTCCTTGCCATGTGGTCCTCTCCATACCTCCTCACCACCTGGCAACTTGCTCCATCAAAGACAGCAGCAGAGGAAAGGAGTGAATTTTCCAGCAAGACAAAGTCTTGCATAACATCATCTTAGAAGCAACTTCCTGACACTTTTGCCATATTCTATTGGTTAGAAGCAAGACACAAGTCCCATCCACACTGAGATTGTACAAGGGGACACTAGGAGGAGGAGATAATGGGAGTGACCGTAAGTCTATCTGCCACAACTAGAAAAGGCTTCAGAGGGTAAGAGGTACAAGTAGGGTCTACATCAGTGGTTCTCAGAGTACAATCCCCAACCAGCAGCAGCATTGGCATCTAATAAAAAATGCCTAGTCTCAGGTCCCACTCCAGCCTTCATGTATTAGTATTCTATTGCTGCTGTAACACAGAACTAAAAACTTCATGGGTTTTTAAAACCACAGTTTTATTATACTACGGTATTGGCAGGCTAAAGTCTGAAATGGATCTCACTGGATTAAAATCAAGGTGTTAGCTTGGCTGCATTCCTTTTGGAGGCTCTAGGGGAGAATTCACTTTTCCTGGCCCTTTGGAGCTTCTAGAGGCCTCCCTTCATCTTTGGCTCTTGGCCAAGTCACTCCATCTTCAAAGCCAGCAATAGTTGGTTGAGTTTTTCTCACATTACATTACTCTAATCTCCTCTTTACCCTCCCTCTTCTACATTTAATTATCCTTGTGATTATATCAGGCCAACCTAGATACTCCAGGATAATCTCTGTATTTTAAAGTCAGTTCATTAGCAACCTTAATCCCACCTGCAAACTTAATTCCCCCTTGCTATGTAAGGTAACAACATATCCACAGGTCATAGAGATTAGGATGTGGATATCACTGGGGACCTTTATTCTGCCTTCTGCAGATACTGTATCAGATGAGGGGGTGCAGGTACCTCTGATTTAAAAAGTGCTCCAGCTGACAATGATGTACCTTCAAGTTTGACAGCCCTGGTCGACATCAATATATTTGAATCAACTAATTCATAGATTAGAGATGCCAATACTTGGTCACTGGAGAGAATTAAGAATCAGGGGATTGCTGTGATGGTTAAACTGTGTTAGAAAAAAATACAAAAGAGTCCACCAGGAATAAGTGACAAGGGTTCTTTTTCTGCTTAGAGTTTCTGAAGTCTGTACTCTATCCACGAAATCTTAGGTGCAGTAAGCCCCCTCCCTTCGTGTCAATGAAGTGGAAAGAGAGCCCCAGAAGAGATGGCATTGGGAGATTAGTCGTAGCCACTGATGTCTTGCAGAGATGATGTACAAGAGGGAGAAACATCTCATGCCATTGATGATGTAAACCATGAGGCACTACAGATAGAACACTTCAAAATTCTTTGTTGTTAGTAATGAAAGCCCATGGGCAGACAAAGAGGAGAAAATTCTAACAATGTGACTCTGAACAGGGTAGGGTACAAAACAGAGGCTATAAACAAAGGACGCTTCTGTGGAGAGAAATATTCGCCTCAGTGGTACCTGGCTGAGGTGTTACTAAGTACCTTCTAGGAATGATTTGAAGTCAGTCATATCGGATACTGCGTATGGTTTGTTGCATATTGTATGAGCTAAGTGGCTAGGAAAACAATGAAGGTGCTTTTCTTTTTTCCTTTTTAAGATTATTACTTTCTTACTAGCCCAGGATAGTCGCTTATTTAGGGGGATAAAAGAAGATGTAGAGAGGTTAGGATATGTTGCAGAATTAGCTCAAAATTTGATCTCTGGCCCTCAACATATAAAAATTATGCAAGATAGTTTTTTCCTGCCCTTTTAATACATTAAGGGTTAATCATTCATTTCTCTTTACAAGGAAAAAAACATCAATTTTTTATTAAAGCCTAGCAATGAATGAGTAAGGAAGACGGAGGAGATGACCTCAGTCAATTGTTCTCAAACATTAGCTGCATCAGAATCATCTGGATAACTTGATAACTTACAGATCCCTAGGCCCTACTCCAGATATTCTGGCTTTGGAGAGGAAAATTTGCCTTTTTTCCATCCTGGAGTGTATGGGAAATAAGAAGGGCAGAGGTAGAAAGTGATAGAGCTGCAATATATGTCCCAATCTTCCTCTTTCCTAGGTTTGACCCAGAGAAGCAAAATGAATTAGACAAATTAGGGCAAGTCAGAGGGCAGAGGGAGAAACTATGTCCCCAGATTCCCCACTCATGATGTTTTAAGATCTGTGCTCAGAGCCCCATGCCAATAAGGTGCATCCCAGCCTAGATAAGAGAGCACAACAGCAGGGTAGGGGAGGCAGATGCCTTAGTTGGTGCCTCACGCTTCCTGTAGCCCCTGTAGTGGGGTTTCAGTGGGCCTGCATAGCACAGAGGGCTGAGGCCAACCACCATGGTGGACTACTGGGCTTGGGACTGGATGGGGGTGTGGCAGAGACTTGGTATCCACAGCCATCTGAAGAGAGAGGAGACCCTTCAGCCATAAGAGCTGGTTGATGACTCCAACAGAGCTTCACCTGAGCCAAAACAGCAGACCACAGGTTTCCTAGTCATAGACTTCAGGCTTGGGTGCTAACAATGCCAGGGCCACCCAAAGACAAAGGATGGGTGAACAGCGAATGGAGGGGCCTCTAAAGACCTAATTCCACACAGTCACACAAGCCAGCCCACCTCCCCAGACACACAGACACCCCTCCAAACACAGCCAGGGAAGGAAGGAGACAGAAGACTAAGAATCAAGAGTGTCTCAGTGTAAGGATAACTGAAATCACTGACTCATGCTGAGTTTAAAACAGGTAGTCTACAAGTTCATTTATTAACAGTAATCAAGACTTTATTTTATATGCAAATGCCGGTAAAATGGATGGTCCAGCTTGTGTCAATGTCTAGACAGCAGTGGCTGCCTGAAGATTTGAAAGTCTCTAGAGGGGTTGGTCACTTAGCATTGACCACCTGAGTAGGAGGGGCAGGGGACAGCCCCTGTGCTCCACAGTTGCCATCCCTCAGATATGCTACATTTTCCTGTTTTAGTTAATGAATGTAAGCACAAATTCACAAAACATGGTCAAACAGTCTTCCTTTCCCAGGCCCTAGAAATGTGTCTGTTAATGATAGAGATAAAGTGAAACATCCAACTTTAATTTCAATCCTTAGCAATTTGGCCATGTAATTGTCATTATCCTGTGGAGACTATGGCTAAAGTGATGCACCCAATCTCTTTCTCTGCTTCGATGGACATGGACAGCAGAGAAAGAAAAAGTTAGCAAATTTTCTACAAATTTGTGCTGAAGACCTTCATACGTGAAACTCCATGCTAGGTTCTACGTGTAACGCAAAACAAGTATGATGTGACATTCTCTAGGAATAGTGCTATGTTATTCTGACCAGCAAGCTTTTGAAATGTGGGCTGCTTATGTATTTGTCAAACAGGTTAAAATGGCAAGAGCAGTGGCAAAATACCTTCTATTCCCCACTGTGATCGGAATCCAAAATCCCTGAGAGAAATGCATCCCCAGAGAAGAGCCAGTATGCAACATGGTTGACTAGATGCAGCCAGGAAGAGCATCTCCCACTAAAAGACCAGACCATCAAGAAGACTGGTACACTCTGAGCAGATCTTCAGAAGGAGGGCATTGAGAGGGAACAGAAGGAGGAGAAAGATCCTGGGCTAAAAGAGCAGGAAGTTGGGAAACCTGCACCAGGCTGCCAACCACCAGGGATCATTTCTGGCCCCCAGCAGCTCCTGGGAAGTGGTGAGTTAAATAGGAAGGGAGTAGCCCACTACTACCACGGACCTCCTGAATTCTAGCTGCAGGAGACCCTATGCCTCCCACAGACATTTAAGCTGACAGGGAGAGCTTCCTGGAGGAGTGGTGGGAACAGGACTCCAGCCTGTATGGTGCCTAGAGGATTTGGCATAGGAATGGCTACAGTGGAGCACAGCCACAGACACCCATCTCCCAAGGCTGGCTGTGCTCCTTGAAGTCGCTTTGGCCCTTGTTGACCATCAGACCTGAGCATAGCAGGGCTGTCTTGAGATGGGGCCAGACTGATCTGAGAGCCCCTTGCCTGCCAGCCTCTCCTAGGGTCCCTGCCTGGCCATACCTGCTTGCAGCACAGCCTTGGATGCCCAACCAAGGCACTTCCTGACAGCCACCGCCATAGCTCCTTCACTGGCAGACCCCACCTGATGGCTGGAGAGCTTTAGCAGATGAATCCCCACAGCCTCCTCCCACCACTTTGCTGGTGCACACATGCAGACCTCATTGCTCCACTACCAGTTGTGCATGTGCATACAAACGCTGCTGCATCACTGCCACCCTGCCATTGCCAGTGCACACATGCAAAATACAGACGTGATGAAGCACTTTTCCAGCATCCCCCATCAAAGTGTTGTTACCAGCAGACTGGAAAAACTTCAGCCCCTCCAGTGCAACAGGTGTTTAGCCCCAAGGGGCTGGAGAACAAAGCTGTGGGCCTGGCCCCAGACCCTGCAGGATTAGAGAACCCAGCACTGGAGTGCTGAGCTGATCCTTGGCCCCTGAAATCATCCAGAAGTGAAACCAGTCGACTAAAGCCAACTTATATCACAGAGAAACTCTCAAGAGCATCAAAGAACATAAAAGCAAAAGCCACATCCAAAGAACAGCAACTTCAAAGGCTAAATGAACATCAACCTACAAAGATAAGAAAGAACCAGTGCAAGAGCTCTGGCAACTCAAAAAGCCAGAGTGTCTTCTTACCTCCCAACAACTGCAGTAACTTCCCAGCAATGGTTGTTAACCAGGCTGAAATGGTGGAAATGACATATAGAATTTAGAATCTGGATAGCAATGAAGATCATTGAGAATCAGGAGAAAGTTGACACCCAATCCAAGGAATCTAAGGAATCCAATAAAATGATACAAGAGCTGAAAGATAACATAGGCATAAAAAAAGAAGCAAACTGATTTGATAGAGCTGAAAAGCTCAATACAAGAATTTCATAACATAATAGGAAGTAACAGCAGAATAGACCAAGCTGAGGAAAGAATATCAGATCTCAGAAACCAGTACTTTGAATCAACTCAGTCTGACAAAAATAAAGGAAAATAAATAAGAAAGAATCAACAAACCAAATTGAGAAATATGGGATTATGTAAAGAGACCAAACCTATGACTCACTGGCATTCCTGAAAGAGACCAAGCAACTTGGAAGACATATTTGAGGATATTGTCCATGAAAATTTCCCAAACCCTGTTAAGGAGATTGATATTCAAATTCAGGAAAATCAGAGAACCTCTGCAAGATACTATACAAGATCTCCAGCCCCAAGACACATTGTTGTCAGATTCTTCTAGGCACATGCAAAAGAAAAAATATTAAAGGCAGCTAGAGAGAAGGGACAGGTCACCTACAAAGGGAACCCCATCAAACTAACAGTGGACCTTTCAGCAGAAATTCTGCAAACCAGAAGAGACTGGGAGCCTATAGTCAGCATAATTAAAGAAAAGAAATTCCAACCAAGAATTTCATATCCAGCCAAAGTAAGCTTCATATGCAAAGGAGAAATAAAATCCTTTTCATTTTCAGACAAGCAAATGCTAAAGGAATTTGTTACCACCAGATCTGCCTTACAAGATGTTCTTAAGGGAGTACAAAATGTGGAAACAAAAGACCATTATCGGCTACCAGAAAAACACACTTAAGTACGTAGGCCGTTGACATTATAAAGCAACTACACAATCAAGTCTGCATAAATAGCCATCTGCACACATCAATAGTAACCTTCAACATAAACAGGCTAAAACCCCACTTACAACCTACAGTGGCAAGTTGGATAAAGAAGCATGACCCATCCATCTGCTCTCTTCAAGAGAACCGCCTCATATACAATGACAACCATGGGCTCAAAGTAGAGCAATGGAGAAAAATTTATCCAAGCAAATGAAAAACAAGAGCAGGGGATGCTATTCTAATTTCAAACAGAAAAGACTTTAACAATGATCAAAAAACACAAAGGGCATTATATAATAATAAAGAGTTCAATTCAACGAGACAACTTAACTATCCTAAATATAGATGTACCCAACACTGGAGCACCCAGATTCATAAAACAAGTTCTTAGAGACCTATGAAGAGACTTACGTAACTTAATAATAGTAGGAGATTTAAACACCCCACTGACAGTATTAAACAGATCATCAAAGCAGAAAAGTAACAAAGGTATTCAGGATCTAAACTTGACACTTGGCCAATGGAACCTAACAGACATCTACAGAACACTCCACCCAAACAACAACAGAATATACATTCTTCTCATATGTACATGGCACACACTCTAAAACTAACCACATGCATGGCCATAAGACAATTCTCAATTAACTCATAAAAACCAAAATCATACTCTCAGTCCAGGGCAGAATAAAAATATAAAGCAATACTAAGAAGCTATCTCAAAGTCATACAATTACAAAGAAATTAAACAACCTGCTCCTAAATAACTTTGGGGTAAATAATGAAATTAGGCAGAAGTCAAGAGATTCTCCAAACTGATGAAAACAAAGATACAATATACCAGAATCTCTGGGACACAGCTAAAGCAGTGTTAAGATGAAAGCTTATACCACTAATATTCTACATCAAAAAGTTAGATCTCAAATGAACAACCTAACGTCACACCTAGAGGAACTAGAAAAACAAGAGCAAAACAACTTCAAAGCCAGCAGAAGAAAAAGTAACCAAAATCAGAGTTAAACTGAATGAAACTGAGATATAAAAGCCATACACAACCACAAAACCAAAAGTTTGTTCTTTGAAATAATAAACAAGATTAATAGATCTCTAGCTAGACTAATACAGAAGAGAAAAGATCCAAATAAACATATTGAGAAAGGACAAAGGGGACGTTATCAACAACCCCACAAAAATACACAAATCTCTGAGACTATTAGGAACACTTCTATGCACACAAACTAGAAAACCTAGAAGAATAAATAAATTTCTGGAAATATACAGCCTTCCAAGATTGCACCAAGAAATTGAATTCCTGAACAGATCAATACAAATTCCAAAATTGAATCAGTAATAATAATAATAATAAAAATCAACCAGAAAAAGCCCTAGACCAGACAGATTCATAGCCAAATTCTATCCGATATATAAAGCAGAGTTGGTACATATCCTACTAAAACTATTCCAAAAAATTTACAAAGAGGGACTCCTCCATAACTCATTCTGTGAGGCCAGCATCATTCTGATACTGGTATCTGGCTCAACACCCAGTGAAAAAACAAAACTTCAGGCCAGTGTCCTTGAAAAACATAGATGCAAAAATCCTCAACAATATATTAGCAAACCAAATCCAGCAGCCCATCAAAAAGCTAATCCACCATAATCAAGTAGGCTTCATTCCTGGGATGCAAGGTTGGTTTAACATACACAATTCAATCAATGTGAGTCATCACATAAACAAAACCCAAAACAAAAACTACATGATGATCTCGGTAGATGCAGAAAAGACTTTTGATAAAATTTAACATTCCTTCATATTAAAAAAATTCTCAAACTGGGCATATAAGAAACATACCTCAAAATAATAAGAAACATCTATGACAAAGACATAGCCAATATTATGCTGAAAGGGCAAAAGCTGGAAGCATTCCCTTGAGAACTGGAACAGGACAAGGATGCCCATTCTTACCATTTCTATTCAACATAGTACTGGAAGTTCTAGCCAGAGCAATAAGACAATAGAAAGAAATAAAAAACATTCAAATAGGAAGAAGAAGCCAAACTATTGCTCTTTGCAGGCACTATGATTTTACACCTAGAAAACAGCATAGTCTTTGCCCAAGGGTTGCTGGATCTGATAAATAACTTTAGCAAAGTTTCAGAATACAACATCAATGTACAAAAATCAGTAGCATTTCTATACACCAATAACACCAAAGCTGAGAGCCAAATCAGGAACACAATCTCATTCACAATAGCCACAAAAAGAATAAAATACCCAGTAAGAAAGTTACCCAAGGATATGAAAGATCTCTACAATAAGAATTGCAAAACATTGCTAAAAGAAATCAGAGATGACATAAACAAATGAAGAAACAGTCCATCCACATAGGTAGGAAGAATCAATATCATATTAAAATGGCCATACTGCCCAAAGCCATTTACAGATTCAAAGCTATTTCTATCAAACTATCAATGATATTTTACACAGAATTGGAAAAAACTATTCTAAAATTCAGATGGAACTCAAAAAGAGCCTGAATAGCCAAAGCAATCCTAAGCATAAAGAGCAAATCTGGAGGTATCACATTACCCAATTTCAAACTATATAACAAGGCTATGGTAACTAAAACAATATGATACTGGTAAAAAAAAAAAAAAAAAAAAAAAAAAAACAAAAAACAGATACGTAGACCAATGGAACAGAATAGAAAGACCAGAAATAAGGCCACACACCTACAACCATGTGATCTTTGACACAGTCAACAAAAATAAGCAATGGCGAAGGACTCTCTATTCAATAAATGGTTTTAGGATAACTGGCTAGCCATATGCAGAAGATTGAAACTGGACCCCTTATTTTCACCATATACAAAAATCAACTCAAGATGGATTAAAAACTTAAATGTAAAACCAAAAACTATAAAAACCCTCGAGTGAAACCTAGGAAATACCATTCAAGACATCGGCCATGGCAAATATTTCATGATGAAGATACCAAAAGCAGTTGCAACAAAACAAAAAATTGACTTATGGGACCTAACAAAACTAAAGTGCTTCTGCACAGCGAAAGAAACTATCAAAAGAGTAAACACACAATCTACAAAATGAGAGAAAATATTTGCAATCTATGCTTTTAACAAAGGTTATTAGACCTCCAGAATCTTTAAGAAATGTAAAAAAATTAACAAGTGAAAAACAAGCAACCCCATAGGCAAAGGACATGAGCAGACACTTCCCAAAAGAAGACATACATGCAGCCAACAGACATGAAAAAAATGCTCATCATTAATCATTAGAGAAATGCAATTCAAAACCACAATGAGACATCATCTCACACCACTCAGGATGGCTATTACTAAAAAGTAAAACAACAACAAAAACAACAAAAGATGCTGGTGAGATTGTATAGAAAAGGGAACACTTATACAGTGCTGGTGGGAATGTAAATTAGTTCAGCCACTGTGGAAAGCAGTTTGGAGATTTCTCAAAGAACTTAAAACAGAACCACCATTTGACCCAGCAATCCCACTACTGGGTATATACCCATAGGAATATAAAACATTCTACCATAAAGAGACATGCACATATATGTTAATTGCAGCACTAGTCACAATAGCAAAAACATGGAATCAACCGAAATGCCCATCAACAGTGGACTGCAACAAGAAAATATGATACATATACATCATGGAATACTATGCAGCCATAAAGAGTAACAAAACTCTGTTCTTTGCAGCAATATCAATGCAGCTGGAGGTTATTATCCTAAGTGAACTAACACAGGTACAGAAAAACAAATACTGCATGTTCTCACTTATAAGTAGGAGCTTAACACTGAGTACATATGGACACAAAGAAGGGAACAATAGATTCTAGGACCTACTTGAGGGAGGAGGGTGAGGATCAAAAAGCTACGTATTGGGAGTTGGATTAAGATGGCAGACAGAAGGCAGGACTAGCTTGCAGTGCCCACTCAGATGAACAGAGCAGCAAGTGGAGACTCACATCATGAACTTTTGCTCTAAGAACTACCAAAGGAACATACCAGGAAAGCCAAGAGAATCCACAGACCCTTTGAAGGAACTGGATCACCACTGAAGGCACCTTGAGACACCAAAAAACTGTGAGTTGGCCTACTTTCTCAACGGAGAGGCATGCGGTCTGGGACAAGCTCTCAGCCTTAGTCACCAGCTGCCTGGAAATAGACTCAGTGCTATTGTAGGGGGCATGGCGGAAGTGAGACTGGCCTTTAGGACTGCGGACTGCATGGGAACGAGGTGAGGCCTGTAGCTGCCAGCTTTCCCCCACTTCCCTGGAAACCTGTATGACTCAGCAGAGGCAGCCATAATCCCCCTATAAATATAACTTCATTGGACTTGAAACCATACCCCTATCCCCCACAGCAGCCACAGCAAGACCCACTCAAGGAGAGGCTGAGCTCAGACATGCCTATCCATGCCCCAACCTGGTGGTCTTTCTCTACTTGCCTTGGTAGCTGAAGACAAAGGTCATAATTTCTTGGGAGTTCTATGACCCTGCCCACCACCTGAGAAAGCTGAATACTTAAACAGGTGTCGTTAGGGCAAGTTTGCATCCTCCCTATAGGACCATAGCTGATGCGATCTTGAAAGCGCCATCTCCTGACTGGAGGCCAACCAACAACAAAACCAGCACACTAAACAAAAACACAACCAAGGATCCTCACAGAGTCACTTCACTCTCCTGCTACCTCCAGCAGAGCAGGTGCTGGTATCCACAGCTGAAAGATCTGAAGACAGATCTCATCACATCACAGGACTATTTGCAGACACTCCCCAGTACCAGCCCAGAACCTGGTAGCTCTGCTGGGCAGTGAGACCCAGAAGAGCAAAAATAATCACTACAGTTCAGTTCTCAGGAAGCCCCATTTCTAGGGGAAAAAGGAGAACACGACATCAAGGGAGCACCCCATGGAACAAAAGAATCTGAACAGCAGCCCTTGAATCCCAGATCTTCCCTCTGACATAGTTGATCCAAATGAGAAGGAACCAGAAAAACAATTCTGGCAATATGACAAAACGATCTTCTTTAACACCCCCAAAAGATTATATCAGCTCATCAGCAATGAATCCAAAGCAAGACAAAATCTCTGAATTACCAGAAAAAGAATTTAGAAAGGTCTATTATTAAGCTAATCAAGGAGGCACCAGAGAAAGGTAAAGTTCAATTTAAATAAATCAAAAACATGATACAGGATATGAAAGGAAAACTCTTCAATGAAAAAGGTAGCATAAATAAAAAACAATCACAACTTCTGGAAATAAAGGACACACTTAGAGAAATGCAAAATGCGCTGGAAAGTCTCAGCAATAGAATCAAACAAGCAGAAGAAAAAACTTCAGAGCTCGAAGATAAGATTTTTGAATTAATCCAATTCATCAAAGATTAAAAAACAGAATTTTGAAAAATGAACAAAGCCTCCAAGAAATGTCCAAACCTAAGAATAATTGGTGTTCCTGAGGAAGAAGAGAAATCTGTAAGTTTGGAAAACATATTCTAGGGAAAAATCAAGAAAAACTTCCCTGGCCTTCCTAGAGATCTAGACATCTAAATACAAGAAGATCAAAGAACACCTGGGAAATTCATTGCAAAAAGATCATCACACAGGCACATAGCCATCAGCTTATCTAAAGTCAAGATGAAGGAAAGAAACTTAAGAGCTGTAAGGCAAAAGCATCAAGTAACCTATAAAGGAAAACCTATCACATTAACAGCAGATTTCTCAGCAGAAATCCTACAAGCTAGAAGGTGTTGGGGTCCTATTTTTAGCCTCCTTAAACAAAACAATTATCAGCCAAGAATTCTATATCCAGTGAAACTAAGCTTCATAAATGAAGGAAAGATACAGTCTTTTCCAGACAAACAAATGCTAAGAGAATTTGCCACTACCAAGCCAGGACTACAAGAACTGCTGAAAAGAGTTCTAAATCTTGAAACAAATATTTGAAACACACCAAAATAGAACTTTCTTAAAGCATAAATCTCACAGGAACTACATAACAATAACATAATTAAAAAATAAAAAACAAGGTATTCAGGCAACATATAGCATGATGAATAGAATAGTATCTCACATCTCAATACTAACATTGAATGTAAATGGCCTAAATGATCCACTTATAATATACAGAATGACAGAAGGAATAAGAAACCAACTAAGTTTCTGCTGTCTTCAGGAGACTCACCTAACATATAAAGACCCACATTAACTTAAGGTAAAGGGATGGAAAAAGATTTTCCATGCAAATGGACACCAAAAGCTAGCAGGAGTAGCTACTCTTATACCAGACAAAACAAACTTTAACACAGTGGAAGTTTAAAAAGACAAAGAGGGACATTATATAATGATAAAAGGACTAATCTAACAGGAAAATATCATAATTCTAAATTTATATACACCTAACACTGGAGCTCCCAAATTTATAAAACAATTACTATTAGGCCTAAGAAATGAGATAGACAGCAACACAATAATAGTGGGGGACTTTAATACTCCACTGACAGCACTAGACAGATCATCAAGACAGAAAGTCAACAAAGAACAATGGACTTAAACTAAACCCTACAACAAATGGACTTAATAGATAATTACAAAACATTCTACCCAACAACTGCAGAATATACATTCTATTCATCAGCATATGGAACATTTTCCAAGATAGATCATGTGACAGGCCACAAAACAAGTCTCAGTACATTTAAGATAATCAAAATTATATGAAGTACTCTCTCAGACCACAGTGGAATAAAATTGGAAATCAACTCCAAAAGGAACCCTCAAAACCAGGCAAATACATAGAAATTAAATAGCCTGCTCCTGAATTATCATGGGGTTAACAATGAAATCAAGATAGAAATATAAAAATTATTGAACTGAATGATAATAGTGACACAACCTACCAAAACCTCTGGGATACAACAAAAGTGGTGCTAAGAGGAAAGTTCATAGCACTAAATGCTACATCAAAAAGTCTTAAAGAGCACAAATAGACAATTGAAGGTCATACCTTTCGAAACTGGAGAAACAAGAACAATCCAAACTCAAACCCAGCAGAAGAAAACAATAACGAAGATCAGAGCAGAACTAAATGAAACGGAAATTAAGCAAACAAACAAACAAACAAAAAAAAAAACAAAAGAAAAGATAAATGAAACAAAAAGCTGGTTTTTTAAAAAGACAAATAAAATTGATAGACCATTAGTGAGATTAACCAAGAAAAAAAGAGAGAAGATCCAAATAAGCTCAATTAGAAACAAGATGGGATATATTACAACTGATACCAAAGAAATATGAAAGATTATTCAAGGCTGCTATGAAAACCTTTACATGAATAAACTAGAAAACCTAGAGAAGATGGATAAATTCCTGGAACTATGCAACCCTCCTAGATTAAATAAGGAAGATATAGAATCTCTGAACAGATCAATTATAAGCAATGTAATTGAAATGGTAATTTTAAAAATTGCCAACAAAAAAAGTCCAGGACCAGTCAGATTCAAAGCTGAATTCTATCAGATATTCAAAGAAGAACTGGTATCAATCCTATTGACACTATTCCAAAAGACAGACAAAGAGAGAATCCTCCCTAAATCATTCTTTGAAGCTAGGTAATTTGGTATTACCCTAATACCAAAACCAGGGAAGGACTTAATAAAAAAAAAAAAAAACTACACACCAATATCTCTGATGAAAATAGATGCAAAAATCCTCGTTACAATATGAATGAAAGAAATCCAACAACATATCAAAAAGATAATCCACCATGATCAAGTGGGTTTCATACCAGGGATGCAGGGATGGTTTAACATACATAAGTCAATAAATGTGATACACCACATAAACAGAATTAAAAACAAAAATCACATGATTATCTCAATAGACACAGAAAAAGCATTTGACAAAATCCAGCATCGCTTTATGATTAAAACCCTCAGCAACATTGGCATAGAAGGGACATACCTCAAGGTGATAAAAGCCATCTATGACAAACACACAGTCAACATTATACGGAACGGGGAAAAGTTGAAAGCATTCCCCCTGAGAACTAGAACAAGACAAACATGCCCACTTTCACCACTTCTTTTCAACATAGTGCTGGAAGTCCTAGCCAGAGCAATCAGAAGAGAAAGAGGCAAAGGGCATCAAAATTGGTCAAGAGGAAGTCAAAACTGTTACTATTTACTGATGATATGATCATATACCTAGAAAACCCTAAAGACTCATCTAAAAAGCTCCTAGAACTGGTAAATGAATCCAGCAAAGTTTCAGGATACAAAATTCATGTACACAAATCAGTAGCTCTGCTACGCACCAACAGCGAAGAAGCTGAGAATCAAATCAAGAACTCAACCCCTTTCACAACAGCTGCAAAAAAATAAAAATAAAATACTTAGGAATATACCCTAACCAAGGATGTGAAAGACTGCCACAAAGAAAACTACAAAACACTGCTGAAAGAAATTACAGATGACACAAGCAAATGGAAACACATCCCATGCTCATGGATGGGTAGAATCAATATTGTAAAATGACTATACTGCCCAAAGCAATCTACAAATTCAATGAAATTCCCATCAAAATACCACCATCATTATTCATGGAACTAGAAAAAAACAATCCTAAAATTCATATGGAACCAAAAAAGAGCCTGCATAGCCAAACCAAGACTAAACAAAAAGAACAAATATGGAGGTATCACATTACCTAACTTCAAACCATTCTGTAAGGCCATAGTCACCAAAACAGCATGGTACTGGTATAAAAATAGACACATAGACCAAAGGAACAGAATAGAGAACTCAGAAATAAAGCCAAATACTTACAGCCAATGGATCTTTGGCAAAGCAAGCAAAAACATAAAGTGGGGAAAGGACACCTTATTCAACAAATGGTGCTAGTATAATTGACGAGCCAAAAGTAGAAGAATAAAACTGGATCCTCATCTCTCACCTTATACAAGAATCAACTCAAGATGAATCAAAGACTTAAATCTAAGACCTGAAGCCATAAAGATTATAGAAGATAACATCGGAAAAACCCTTCTAGAAATTGGCTTATGCAGACTTTGTGACCAAGAACCCAAAAGCAAATGCAACAAAAACAAAGATAAATAGATGGGACTTAATTAAACTAAAAAGCTTCTGCACAGCAAAAGAAATAATTAACAGAAGTAAAAGACAACCCATGGAGTGGGAGAAGATCTTCACAATCTGTATATCTGACAAAGGACTAATACCCAGAATCTACAAAGAACTCAAACAAATCAGCAAGAAGAAAACAAACAATCCCATCAAAAAGTGGGCTAAGGACATGAATACACAATTATCAGAAGAACATATACACATGGCCAACGAGCATACGGAAGAATGATCAACATCACTAATTATCAGGGAAATGCAAATCAAAACCACAAGGCGATACCATCTCATTCCTGCAAGAAGGGCCATAATCAAAAAAATCAAAAAATAGTAGATGTCGGCATGGATGCAGTGAAAAGGGGACACTTTTGCACCGATGGTGGGAGCATAAACTAGTACAACCACTATGGAAAACAGTGTAGAGGTTCCTTAAAGAACTAAAAGTAGATCTACCATTTGATCTAACAATCCCACTACTAAGTATCTACCCAGAGGAAAAGAAGTCATTATACAAAAAAAATACTTGCACACACATGTTTATAATAGCACAATTTGCAATTGCAAAACTGAGGAACCAGCCCAAATGCCCATCAATCAACGATTGGATAAAGAAAATGTGATATATATATATGTGTGTGTGTGTGTGTATATATGTGTGTGTGTCTGTAATATGTGTGTGTGTATATATATGTGTGTGTGTGGATATATGTGTGTGTGTGTGTGTGTGTGTGTGTATGTGGAGAGCTATCTCTCTCTCTCTCTCTCTGACAAAGGACTAATATCCAGAATCTACAAAGAACTCAAACAAATCAACAAGAAGAAAACAAACAATCCCATCAAAAAGTGGGCTAAGAACATGAATAGACAATTATCAGAAGAACATATATACATGGCAAACAAGCATACGGAAAAATGATCAACATCACTAATTATCAGGGAAATGCAAATCATATAATCATTATATATATATATTTATATCCACACACACCACACACACACACACACACACACACACACACACACCATGGAATACTTCTCAGCCACAAAGAGGAACAAAATAATGGCATTTGCAGCAACCTGGATGGAATTGGAGACCATTATTCTAAGTGAAGTAACTCAGGAATGGAAAACCAAACATCATACGTTCTCACTCACATGTGGCAGCTAAGCTATGAGGACACAAAGGCATAAGAATGATACATTGGACTTTGGGGACTCAGGTGAAATGGTGGGTGTAGTGAGGTATAAAAGACTATATATTGGGTACAGTGTACACTGCTCGGGTGATGGGTGCACTGAAATTTCAGAAATAACCACTGAAGGGGGCCAGGCGCGGTGTCTCACGCCTGTAATCCCTGCACTTTGGGAGGCCGAGGAGGGAGGATCACGAGGTCAGAAGATCGAGACCATCCTGGCTAACACGGTGAAACCCCGTCTCTACTAAAAATACAAAAACATTAGCCGGGCATGGTGACGGGTGCCTGTAGTTTCAGCTACTTGGGAGGCTGAGGCAGGAGAATGGCGTGAACCCGGGAGATGGAGCTTGTGGTGAGCCGAGATCGCCCCACTGCACTCCAGCCTGGGCGACAGAGCAAGACTGTCTCCAAAAAAAAAAAAAACAAGAAATAACCACTAAAGAACATATTCATGTAAGCAAACACCACCTGTTCCCCAAAAACCTATTGAAATATAAAAAAAATTTTTTTTAAATTTTAAAGTGAAAAAAAACTACCTGTTGGGTACTATGCTTATCACTTTGGGTGACAAAGCAATCTGTACATCAAACCCCTGTGACGGCCAATTTACCCATGTAGGAAACGTGCATATATACCACCTAAAACTAAAATAAAAGTTGGAAAAAAATAAAAACTAAGAACTACATCCCACTTGGGAACCAGAGCGATCACACCACAGGAATTTCAGGGGCACCAGGTTTCTTTGCCAAACACAACATGAAGTTTCTGCAAAGCCGCAGGGAAACATTTGTTTGGTAATAACAGTAGTTGTTTGTTTGTTTGTTTGCTTGCTTGCTTGCTTGTTTGTTTTGGAGTCCACCTATTTAACCTATTGAATCATCCCAGTGAAGAATAGAACCTCTAAGCACTGGTGACTGGCAGAGTGGATAAGTGAAGCCTTTTTCTGCTGGTCATACCTAGTGCAAACATTGCAGAATTGTCCTGCCAGTAGTAACAACTGGGTGAAAATGTGTTTTTTCCTGTGTATTTCTTCCAGTTGTTAGATTACTTTTTCCACATTTCCTAGGTTTCAGATATTTTTAAATTTCCTGAATGTATGCTTTTACAAAATAAATGGTGTTTGCTGAAATGTGTATGGTCTAAGTGCACAGCTAAACTCTTGGTACCTAGAATCAAAAATAAACTCCTTTTGTAAATAGGTCCGACCTATTTACAAAATGTATTCTGGGCCTTTTTTTTTTCTTTTAGATCTACACAAAATCTGTTATTAAATCATGTTGGAATTTTAGAGATTATTTACAAATAACTTCTGTTCATGCTATGGTTTAATTAAAAAATATATAACATTCGTGTGTATTAAACATTAGATAGAAAAACTGTGGTGATGAAACTTTAGTTTGTCATGCCCATTTTGAAGAAACTGTTCTTTCTGAATATGTAGCCCCCTTTAGTTTGGCTCCATGTGATAATTTGCCTTTTCTAGAGGATTCAATAAATGCTACATGATTATGATTTCATATTTAATGTACATGCACCAGAATCTAATGAATGTGCGGCGCACCATCAATTAATCAAAGTGCTTGAGAGAAGGATATTCCTTCCAGATAATTGAATTTACTGGTAAATTCAGGCTTAAATGGCAAATCCTTTTACTTTTATCCTTGTTAAGAATCTGCCTAAAATGCATTAGTTCACAGTACAGTGTACCAAGGATTAACATCTGATATTCACCAAAAAATTGTCCTTTACGTGCCTTATTTTTGTCAGTCTAAACATCAGTTCTCCTTACAGAGTATTGGAAACGCAGAGATGGCTGTGCTTTGAGTCTGGGATGTATAATTTGCTTCTTTCTCCTTAACAATGAAGTAGAGAAAAATATCTCGGTTAATTGGAAGTCTTTATTAATTGGATCACTCTTTATTGTCTTTGCTAGAATAGTTTTTGCAAGTTCCAAATTGTAATAGGGAGTTCTTTTTTCAACAAAAAGGAAATTCCCAGGTAAAAGCATTGTGCCTAATGAACTTTCAAACAGGTGCTTCTGTCAGGAGAGAGCCTCATTCTTGAAAGCTTTATGGCCCAGGCTAGAATTACAACCAGTGATAACTTGAGCCTCAGCCCAGTACAGTGTTGTCATTCTTTTCAGATGCTTATCTTAACATGGAGTAAAGTCGAGTCTATAAAACAGGGGTGGGAATTTCACTAGGGCAGATTTGGGCTGGATCATAAACTGCCAGTCCTGTGCCCACACTGCTTGTGTGTGAGCCCTCTAGAGAATCTTCTAGAAATGTGACCAAGAACCTCAATCTCCCTTGTGTATGTATGGCAGGGGGAGGGGATGTGCATTTTTAATATGTCATAATGGATTAAAATTTATGAACATTAAGTGAAGACATATTTTATGTTTTCAACTCCACTATCAGAGGCTGAAGGGATCTGAAAGTAGTTACAAAAGTTAGCCCTTGTCCTCAGAAACATTAATCATCTGGGTTAATAAAAATGGGCCAATGTAATATCACCAAGGAACATTTAACTACTGGAACTGTGTCTCTAGAAGTGGTGCTCACAGATTTATCAACACCGAGGCCGGGAGTTTGGTTCATAATCTTTGTAGCTAACTAAGAAAAGCCATGTTTTCAAATACACGTTGGATTACATAACTCCCCATAACATAAAACCTTCTTCCTCTTTCATTTCAGACACATTTTGCATTCTTTGGGGTTCTATGTGTCTGTCTGTCTATGGATCACAGAGTCAGACTCCTTTAGGGCCACCATCTACCCTGTTCCCTAGTTCAGGTCACACTGGCTTTTTAAAAAGTTCTGAAAATATCAGATCCCTCCCCACACCCTATTTAAGAACCTTCTCAGTTGCTGTGTTCTGTACCTGTGACGTCCTCACCCTGTTTGCCTTGCCAACTTTCCATTAGATGTCACACGAAATGTCAGCTCCCACAATCCTCCCTTGACTGCCCCCTGCACTCATCCATTGCATGCCAATTTTCCTCTTATGGTTTTTCTTTATTAAACTTCTCAGAAATTGCACCTAAATATATGTTTGAGTAGTTAGGATTTTTTGCTCCCATTAGCCTATCTATATAATCCATGAAAAGGGGAACCACATTGTTTTTGTTTACTTCTATGTTCTCAGTCCCTAGCACAGTTCCTAACATATGGGAAATGTTTAATAAATATCTGTTGGATGAATAAAAGACTAAATCAATCAACAAAACACAAAATAACGTGAGATAATCAGACATAGACTGCATGGGCCCTTAAATTATGCTGTTAACAATAAACACCTTCATCAAGTGATTTCTCTCACTTGTTAATTTATTCATTAAATATTTATTGAGTGCCTGCTATGTGCTGGATATTGTGCCAGGTATTGAGAATTCATCAGTAGCGTTAACAGAGCTCTAGTGCTAAAATCCTGGCTTTAAATCCTGGCTCCACCAATTACCAGTCATGTGACTTTGGTTACTTAAACTCTGGAGACCTACGTTTTCTCATATGCAAAAGAGAATAATATAATAATATGTGCCTTTGGTAGTTGTTGTGAGATTTTAAAGAGTGGATATAAGTAAAGAAATTAGAACAGTGGCTAGCACATATAAATGCTCTCTATGTGTCAGTTACTCTTGGGGAACAAGGTGATTGTCTACCAGACTAGCTTAAGATGCTGGAAGGAACAGTAGGCCAAAGGGCAGCAGGCTGATGCTTTCGTTCTCATTTAGTCCTGTGGTAGGACCGGGTCTCAGTTCCCAAATTCGCAAACTGTAGAGCATAGTATCTGCCATCCACGAATGAGAGGGTCTCCAATGAGATAGTGTAAACTGCAAAATACAATGCTGTTATAAACTAGCATTTTTTCATGGGTAACACCTTTATTTCACTTGGCTTATCTTAAAAACTCAGGGTTTTCTAACACCATCCATTCTTTTTAAGTGCTCATTATACTTTATTTGATGGTTTTAAATGTCAAATATCATATTGGGGCACTGTCCATCTTTTTCCAGTGTTTCTTTTTTCATTTTCTATGAAAATCTAAATAAGAATTGATATCATATCTGTAATATTAGGCATTACAATATATTGAGTTTGAAACGGGAGCTCAGCTAGATTTTCAATAAAGTATGTGTGTTTTCTCAGCATCTTTTTATAAGTCCATTATTATTATTACTATCACTACTATAATAGCATTCTTCTTATCTAAAATTGTGAAAAGTGGGCATATATTCAAACTCTTGGACAGAATTTTTAAGGGAATTATTCACTGTTACCCATTGCTCAAGTAAATTAAAATGTAATAGTCTATATTATACCACATGGGTTATGGAGAAAATGCATAATTTCCCAGGAGTGTAAGGGAGGGTGGGAGTATTGGACTAAATAATCTTGTTTTCTAGATGTAATCTGATACTTTCTCACTGGAGTTTATACTGTGCACCCCACGCCACCAGTAATACTCTGTACTCTTTTTCAGGTTTTGGTTGGTCGTTTTTATTTGTTTATTTGTTTTTGTATTTTACTCATATCACTATAATACCAGAAATTAAAAATCTAACAGTTCTGACCCACATCACTTATCACAGAGAATAGTTCATAAGTAGACATTTGATAAATTCAGTTACATTTATAAAACTTTCTACTCTTTTGGTATACAGAAGTTTTAGGTAGTGAGAAACATCACACTCTTACTCATCATTTCCTACCTTGCCCTCTATGCAAAAAATACTGGGTGAGCTTTTAGGGAGTCTCACCTCTAAGTTAATTTTATGTGCCCAAAAAGTAAGAAATCTGTTGTTATATTATTATTGGCATCCTTGTCATTATTTATAGTAATTATCTTAGGAAAGAACTTGCCATTTCTGGATGGTCTATAATCCCAAAATAATAATCATAGCAACCGCCATAATAATGAGCAATATAATAACCATTCATTAAGACAGTGATTCATAATCTTAACCATTATCACATTATGTTTAATTATGATGACAGTGGTGAAAATTACTATTTCCAGCTATTGAGAATGCAAGGAATTTCAGAACTCAAGGGAGGAAAGTAAAAATAAAAACATTAATGAAGCCTTTTTTCTTAATAATCTCTAGAATAAATTATTGAAAAATTAAGCTTACAAATTCAAAATTTATCTTGATTTAACTCACATTCATCTGCCTGATTTCTGATAGAGAGACATGAAGTTTTCAGGTTGTTTAAAAACCTATTTGTGTGACTTTTTCCTCTCAAATTTCCACCAAAAACATTTTTCCATGTTCCAAACCAAAAATAATTAGGAGCAATCCTGACAGGAGAATGCGCCTGATTTTTCCAAGTCATTGCATGTGTTTATGACAAAGCTGGAGGACTGTGTTTGGCTTGGTCATTGCAGGAAACATCACATAAGAACAAGGGAAGACAGACATCTTGGCTTACCAGCGAGTTGTAAAACCTTAACGGCCTTGTCTGGGAAGAAAACAAAAGAGAATGTTTTGTACTGTTGGTAGCTAAGAGTCCTTTTAGGCATGACATAAAAACCGCAACTATGCAATCATGATTGCATTATTTAAAATCTACATGTGACTATCATATATATGTAATGTACATATCTATTGTTTATTTACAATTAGCACTGATTACTGATTTGGTAATAAAAATATGTTGGAAATTGTGGAATCTGAGTGATGCATATAGCTTTCCTGCTCCCCACCCAGCCTCCAGTACCAAATTCCTCATCTAGGGAGAAGTGGAAGAAGCAGGATTTTCCTGTGTGCCAGGCATTCTGACAGGCAGTGAGAATACAACAGTGAGCCAAGGAACTGCCTTAGTAAACTTACAGAGTGTGAAGAAAATAGATAATTAAACATGAAATCACAAGCCACTGGGAAAGGTGCCGCAGCCCCAGCCCTGAGGACACTGGAGGGTCTCATCAGGCTTGGGATGGCAAAGAAGCCATCAAGGTTGGGACCTGGAAGGAGGACAGGAGTTTTCAAGCAAAGGGAAATCAACTACGTAGCAGAGATTTCAAGGGAAGGAAGCAAAAGTATTTGGAGTATACACAGGAGCCTGATGACGGGCATTAGGAGAAAACAAAGGAGTTTTTTTTTTGCCCTCAGTGAGATAGTTAATCCAGGAAGGGACTGGGTGCAGTGGTTCATGCCTGTAGTCCTAGCATTTTGCAAGGCCAAGGAGGGAGGATCGCTTGAGTCCAGGAGTTCAAGACCAGCCTGTGCGACATGATGAGACCCTATGTGTACAAAAAAATGAAAACATTATTAACTTGAGAGGCTGAAGTGAAAGGATTGCTTGAACCCAGGAGGTTGAGGCTACAGTGAGCCGTGATCACACCACTGCACTCCAGCCTGGTGACAGAGGGAGACTGTCTGTGATAGAGGGAGATTGTCTTAAAAAAATTTTTTTTTAAAGGAAAGAAAAAGAAAATCCAGGAAGGGTTTATTTGGGGAGTGATATTATCAGATCTGTGTTTTAGAAAGACAAACAATTCTGGGCACAGAAAAGAATGGAGCAGACTTCTGTTTCTGACACCATGGCTGACTAGATATTTTCGAGGGTCAAAATAACTAGATGTTGCATTCAAAGTAAGTTTTCTCATGTGTTTGTTTTGTTTTAGTTGCTGTGCTTTCAGAAAGTATGGAAAAGGAAAAAGAAAACTTACCATATTTTAGATCAATGGTTCTCAAAATACGGTTCATGGGCTTCTAGTATTTCCCCTAAATTTTTGAGGGAATCTAAGAGTTTAAAACTATTTTCATAATAAGCAGTCATTGGTTCCCCCACTGTGTGAACATTAGCAGTGACTGTGCATAGGCAGCTGTGGATGACAGGGCATCAAGGCTATGGGGCAAACCAGGAGTCTGTTCATCTCCATACACTCACAATTTAAAAAAAAAAAAGCCAAATTCACGTAAGAATTAAAACCTTTTGCCTTGATGAGGCAAAAGATTAATTTTATTTATACCTACCCTGGAGAGTCAGTCTTTTCAGTATTCTCTGCGATGACACAGGAAGTTTGCAGAAAGCACTTCTATTGCTCACACCAGTAGGAACATTGTCTTCAGGAAAAATACGTGAGATTCCTTCAGTCATGAACTGAACTAACCACTTTTTTTCATAAAGCGTCATTTTTACTTGAAAGAACAACTGAAAAACTGTAATTACCCAGACCTGGGTATTTGTCAGACATTTTCTTGAAAGTGAATGAGGTGAGCTTGTCACTTCAAGAAAAACAACTGACAATATTTGTTGCCAATGATAACCTGAAGTTT
Organism: Homo sapiens; assembly: GCF_000001405.40. Lineage (NCBI taxonomy): Eukaryota > Metazoa > Chordata > Mammalia > Primates > Hominidae > Homo > Homo sapiens. The sequence continues at coordinate 42,427,691 of NC_000007.14, read as the reverse complement.
TCAAATAAAAATTATAATTTTGGGAAACTTGTACCCCCCCACAGTGAGCTTGGCAGCTTCTTGATAATTAAAGACTTTGATGATGCAAGCAGTGAGTTCTTAACAGATGTGCTTTTTTATACTGTATAATAAAATGTGCCAATATTTGAAAGGTCTGCATAGCTCAATGAAAACCAGTATTGTCCAAATTGACCAATACAGGAACTATAAAGTCACACACAGGTAAAAGATCCATCCAAATTGTAAGATAGACCAAATGTATTTTAATATAACAGAACAAAAAATTCATTGATAAAAGTACAGATTTTACATTACAACTAACCTTTAATAAACTACCACTTATGGAGTTCTGGTATTGTATCAAAGAATATCCACAATTACCTGGAAAGGCTATTGAACACTCCTCCCTTTTCCAACTACATCTCATCTGTGAGGCTGGATTTTTTTTCGGATACTTGAACTAAAACAACATTTACAAAGACTGACTACAGAAGCAACTGTGAGATGCCAGCTGTCTTTTATTTAGCCAGACATTTAAAAGATTTGCAAAAGAATAAGCCAATGCCACACTTCTTATAAGTTTTTTACTTTGTTCTGGAAAATGTAGTTTCTTTTCCATAAAACGTTATTTATATTGACATGGAATGAATTTACTAATATATTTAAATGAATTTATAAATGAATGCAAAAATTTCAAATTTTCATTTTTGGTGTTGTAAATATCAATAAATATAGCTCACATTAAGAAGCTCTTTGGGGTCATTAGTTTTAAAGATCATACTCTTAAAGTATAATCATGAGGACCAAAGTCCTCATAAAAGGATCCTCAAAAAAATATTTAAGGGTCTTAAAACCAAAATATTGAAAACTGTTGTACTGTATATCTGAATAAAATTATTAAAATTGTATGCTATATTGTATATATTGTATAGGCTGATCCTCAAAAAAGGATTTTAAAGGATCCTAAAACCAAAATCTTGAGAACTGCTCTATTGTTAATCTGAATGAAATTATTACATTCCAAGAATCATAGTCTGAAAACACAGCCCAAGATAAAGACTTGTGTGGAGATATTTTTTTGGCAATGAGATATCAGAAACACAGAGAAAGAAAACCAATCAAATTAGCACTCATAGGATCTCAGGGGACATTCTGTCCAGCTTTATGAAATACAGCTTTATGAAATACAGTTTGGTCAGTGATGGATTGCATATATGACAGTGGCCACGTAAGATTATAATGGAGTTGAAACATTCTTATCACCTAGTGACGTCATAGCCCGTCATAACATCATAGCACAACGCATTACTCATGTGTTTGTGGTGATGCTGATGTCAGCAAACCTATTGTGCCACCAGTCATATAAAAGAATAGCACATCCAGTTGCATACTGTACATAATACTTGATAAGGATGATAACTATGTTACTGCTTTGTGTATTTGTTATACTGTACTTTTTATTGCTATTTTAGAGTGTACTCTTTCTGCTCATGAGGCAAAAAAAAAAAAAAACAGTAAATCAGCCTCAGGCATTTCTTTCAGGAAGTATCCAGAAGAAGGCATTATTATCATAGCAGATGACAGTTCCATGTGAGTTAGTGCCCCGAAGATCTTCCAGTGGGAAAAGGGGTGGGAGTGGAAGACAGTCATACTGGGGATCCTGGCCCTGTGTGGACCTAGGCTAATGTGTGTGTTTGTATCTTAGGTTTTAACAAAAAAGTTTAAAAGATAAAAATAAAAAAATTTAAAAATAGAAAATAAATTATATAGAATAAGGCTATAAAGAAAGAAAATATTTTTGTTCAGCTATACAATGTGTGTTTTAAGCTAAGCATTATTACAAAAGAGACAAAAAGTTTAAAAAGTAAAAATATTATAGTAAGCTAATCTACTATTTAAGAAAAATCATTTTTAAAATTTATTTAATGTAACCTAAGAGCATCTTGTTTAAGAAGTGTACAGTAGCATATGGTAATGCTCTCAGCATTCATGTTCACTCACCACTCACTCACTGACTCACCCAGAGAAGCTTCCAGTCCTGTAAGCTCCATTCATGGCAAGTGCCCTATATAGGAATACAATTTTTTATCTTTTATAACCTATTTTATTATACCTTTTCTATGTTTAGATATGTTTAGATAAATAAATACTACTGTGTTACAATTGCCTATAGTATTCAGTACAGCAACATGCTGTGCAGGTTTAAAGTCTAGGAGCCATAGATTATACCATGTAGCCTAGGTGTGTGGTAAGTTCTACCACTTAGGTTTGTGTGAGTGCACTCTATGACGCACAATGACAAAATTGCCTAGTGACATGTTTCTCAGAACCTATCCCTGTTGTCAGGGGCACGTGGTAGTCAGAGCTTCAAGTTCAAAGGAACATCATACTTTGTCTCCTGGTGGAAGCATCCACCCCAACCCCAACCTGGGCATCCAGAATATCTAATCTAGCAATATAATATCCTGCAAGTTGGGGAGCCAATCCCACTTCCACCTCTAGGTTCCTGAGCTCCTGTGTTCTAATAGGATTATAGCACCTTAGATCAGCCATTGGTTTACTGCATGTACTACAACCTAGAGGACAGTGTCCAATCTGCAGGGTCCTCAAAGCAGACCCTTAGCTGAGTGTTTAAGAGGTTACTCCAACTTTCTGTAAATCTTGTTGATTCTGTGCAATGAGATAAAACAAGTGGATCCTTATGGTCACGTATCCATTTTTGCAACTACAGGATAATGAAATCAGTCTCTTGGTCCAGAGCATTATATAAGATTCCATGGTGAGATACTTGGTATTCTGTAAGCCACTGGATTGCAGTGATGGCAGAGTCAAGGGGGACTACTCATATATGGTATAGAAGTCACACCTGCATCCCAGATAGAGGGATTTAATAGAATCAACCTGCCACTAAGAGTCTAGCTGGTCTCCTCGAGGAACAGGACATCCTTTTGTGGAACCTTGGCCTCAGTTGAGGTCTGCAGGATAAACGTGCTCCCTTCCAGCAAGGGGAGGGAGGTTACATCTGCCAGCCAGAGGGGCCCAAGGGGAAGTTTGAGATTCAAGATTCTCAGGCTCATCCACTCAAGTCATTCCATCCTGGGTCTCCAGGTCCCACTCATTTCTTATCAGGACGCTGATTCTGATTTGGAGACCTGTGCAGGTTACACAATTTGTTTTCTTAATTGTGGCATTTAAACAAATTAGGTTTGCTGCTAGAATGCTTGTGCTTGAATTTTGTCTTTTTTTAAAACACATTTTAGTCTCTTTATAAGTAATATTAACTCTTTTATTATTTATAGAGACTTATATTTACTCTATTAGGTTTTATTTGTGATTTTTAGGTAGATATAGATTCTATTATTTGATGGTAGTAGTAATAATATTTTCAAAATTGAATTTGGAATAATATTTATCTGATTGGCCAAGTAAAAATCTAATGCATATTTTCATATCCCCTTAGTAAGATGGATAAATTTATTATGCCTTTACTCTTTATTCACTCACTTCTTGGTTTTTGTTGACATAATCTGAGATTTTTAGGAACAGAATTATTATTGTTTCTAGTATTGTTTTGATCATATGATATTCATTTATCAAAAATCAATTGGTATCTAGTTTTTAAGTCTATTTAAAATAAATATTTAAGCATTTATGTTTAACAGATTTCAGTGCTTATTATCTGACATATTATTCATATATGATTCATACACATACATTTTAAATTCTTAATTCTTAATATTAATTTGCATCTCAATTATACTGAGATTGCTCCTATGTCTTATCTTGTTTGTTTCTTTATTCATACATGTATTTTGCACTTCCCAAAACTGTTAATCTTGTTGCCTTCAAACATTACAAGGTTTGTATCGAATATACGATTTGGGGGCACAAACTCTCCTCAAATACGCTGTGGTCTTTTCCATATGTTCTGGCATCAGAGTTACAAATAAGTCTGAAAGCTGCCTAACTACTGTTCTCAAAAGAAAAACAAACAAAACAAAACAAAAAAACCTACTTTCCTTATTTTTCTTTATATTTGAAGCATTTTTGCCAAGACTTCTCTAAATGCAAGTCTCTTTTTATCAGCTTTGTCTTATAAAAAGTATTTGAAATCTACATATGTAGCTCTTTATTCAGCACAGGAAATTTTCTTCCATTATGCATATATTTATTTAATACATCTTTCTCTTTTTTCTAGTTTCTTAAAGAATTGTTTCTATTCATGTGCTGTGGATGACAAACAAACAAAAAATCCCTAAATCAATAATCCTCTCTCTTTTTTTCTATAACCCGAGGGAACTCCAGTTTATCCTCAACAGTTGTCGTTTCCTTTTCACAATGTCCATTCTCTTCTACATTGCTTCCAATGCTAATTTTAATTCCACTATGCCATTTTCGGTTTCCCAGAAGTTTTTAGTTCTCTTTTCATCTTAGATTTAAAGTTTAGCCTTTCCAAACTCAGTCTGTTCTTCTGAAATTATTTTTCCTTTTTTTCCCCACATTAAAAAATTTTGGGGGCTTGCCATTCATCTGAATCATCAGTATAATCATCCCTTCCCTTTTACTTCAATATTTTCACTCAGGATCCCCATTGCCTATGACAGCAATACACCCTGGGTAATATGAGAATGCAGAGAAAGAGACAGGCTAACAATCATGAAGGGGCCAGGGAAATTTCCTGAAAGAACAGAGGTTTCGCCCCAGCCTTAAACAATTAGATTGAGTGGCCCAGATGAAGACAGAGGTGTTTTAAGAAGGAGACTCACTTGTTCCCACCTATATTTTAGATGGATAACTCTGGCAGTTGTAGGGAGGAAGTGCTCAAATCAGGAGCACTCATGAGGAAGCTGCTGAAATTGGCAGGTGAGAGATGAAGTTTTCAACAAGGTCCATGAAAGCAATGCTAGAAGAGAGGGCAGCTTCAAAAAAATATGTAAATGGTTAAGTCACAGAACTTGATGTCTGATTATAGGTGCTCGTGGAGAAAGAAGGAATGCTCCAGAATGACTAGAAAAGGAGCAGGCTTGTGGGAGGACATGCACCATTTTTATACATTGCAATATATTGCATTTATTATTCACATGGAATTTCCAAGTGGAGATGTCTATATTAAGTCTGAAGACTAGAGGAATGTCTGGCCTGGAGAAATACAGGGTGAAGTACCTTGAACTACTCTGAGCTACTGGTCCCTCATCTGTAAAATGAGGCTAAATGCCTACCTCACAGGATTACTGTGAAGGATCTGTGAACCCTGACACTCACCCCAGCCTGGGCCTATGCTGCTTCAGGCACCATGGTGCCCACCCATTTGGCCCTTTAGACATAACGTTTTTAGTTCTTCTTCCTCCATCAGAACGTGCTCTTTTCCTTGATGGACTCTGCCTTGGCTTGTCCTCTTGGGTTTCTGAATCTACTCCTACATCGGGTAGCAATGCCTGCCATTGTAATAGCTCCTTCTATCCAAATTGCTGACTGTGGTTACTGAGACATTTGTCCAAGTCAGCCCTTCTTCCCCGAAAGGGGCATCTGGGCAGAACCTGGCATAGAGTGAGAGATCAGAAAAGAGCAGGATTTCCCTTGATGTGCTTTTCCAGTCCATTTTATTAGGTCACAGTGCTGGCCTGAACCAAACAACTCTCCTTCTGCCCCCAAACTTGTTCATCAGAGCTGGACAGTAGGATGAGGGTAGAAAGAAGTTATAGGCGGACCAGAAAGTCTGGAAGTTCTGGAAGATCAGGCTGCTCTCCGTGGGCAAAAGTGATTAAAAATGGAGTATCATACTACAGAAGCCCTCGGTGATTTGAACAGCCTTTGACTTTGCATCAGAGAAGGCTATGGGAGCAAAAGGACACCAAAGCTAACTTTGTGGTTTCTCGGGGTGCTCTATATGGTGTGCTTGATCTGGGCTCCAGAGGCTTCTGGAGGAGCTTCTCAGCAGCCTCCAGATCATCTCAGCCCCACATGGCCACTGGGATGCTGAAAGGAGGCAGGAGAGGAGGGCAGATACTGGGTGAGGATGCAATGGGCATTATGATCTCCGAAGGTCAGAATCCTACTGATAGCAATAGTGCCAGGAAAAGGGGTTCATTTTCCCCCAAAGTAAAAGTTTTCTTGTAAACCTTCTCCTGAGAGGTAGAATAAGAGGAGGAAAAGAAAATTAGGAAAAGTACATAAGTAAAACACTGAATTATGGACTTTTGTGTCATTTTAAGTTTTCCTAATTCTAATCCAGAATGACGCACTGTGCCCCAGTGAGGACTCAGATGAGATTCTGCCTTACTCGCACTAAAATATTTTGTAAGGTTTGGAGTTTTCTTAATGTTTCTTTGGATATTACCTATAACATAGTTTTATCTTTAATTAGCCTGGACTCAAGAAATTTAATGTTGCCTGCAGAGGGGAGGGAAACCTTCTTATGTCTTGATTAATTTAGTCATTCAGAATATAGAATATGATGGGTATTATGATATGCTGACCACATGTTTTATATATCTGGTCATATATGGTATTAGATAGGTCACTATAAATGTATATATTATATTTTACAGGTAATGTATTATATACATGGAGTTTAAAACAAAATTGGCATCTTGGCTTCAAAATTTTCTATTTGTAATGATTTTGGAAAATTATTTCACAACTTTAATTAAATCTTAGTTTTTAAAGTTTCATTTTTAAATAGCTAAATTAATAGTACCTGCCTTGTAAGTATGTTACAAGAAGACATGTATATATTTATTGAAAGATTATAAATGCTCAAAGTCAAGTATCATCACAGTAAATGACATGGAGATTATGTAGTCAGAGTGGTCAAACCTCTATCTCTTCTTCCTCTCTCCCTCCCTCTTTCTCCTCTTTCTCTTTCTTTCCAAAATACCTTAAAATTATAGAAAATGTAATTTTGGCCAGTTGCGAGGACTCACACCTGTAATTCCAGCACTTTGGGAGGCCAAGGTGGGTGGATCGCTTGAGCCCAGGAGTTTGAGACCAGCCTGGGCATCATGGTGAAACCCCTCCTCTACAAAAAAATACAAAAAAAAACGGGCTTGGTGGCAGGCACCTGTAATCCCAGCTACTTGGGAGGCTGAGGCAGGAGAATTACTTGAACCCGTGAGGTGCAGGTTGCAGTGAGCCGGGATCACACCACTGCACTCCAGCCTGGGTGACAGAGTGAGGCTCTGTCTCAATAAAAAAAAAAAAAAAAAAAAAAAGAGGCCAGGCGCCGTGGCTCACACCTGTAATCCCAGCACTTTGGTGGGAGGCCGAGGCAGGTGGATCACCTGAGGTTGGGAGTTCAAGACCAGCCTGACCAACATGGAGAAACCCCATCTCTACTAAAAATACAAAATTAGCTGGGTGTGGTGGTGCATGCCTGTAATCCCAGCTACTCAGGAGGCTGAGGCAGGAGAATCGCTTGAACCCAGGAGGCAGAGGTTGCGATGAGCCGAGATCGTGCCATTGCACTCCAGCCTGGGCAACAAGAGTGAAACTCCATCTCAAAAAACAAAACAAAACAAAAAACCTGTTGACATAAATTGACCCATTAATATATTTGTAAATGTATATGTTTATTTCAATTTGTAAAAATTGTAATTAATAAAAACACTAAGTTATTTTTTAAAATTAGCGAACTATGAATAAAATAAAATCTCTAACCTAATGTGGCAGTCCATGACCAAAGGCACTGCAGCCCTGGTGAAACAGTAGAAATAAAATGCTCAAGAATGAAACAGAGTACTTGAAAGGAAAAATTTCTTACCTGACAAGAGATAGAGCTTGGGCCTAATGTGACCCCTCTTTCATCCTTACTGTAAATAAGGCACCGAACTAATGATTCTGAGGTCCACTGACATGTGGACTTCTCACTTCGCATAGCTGAATTAACCACCAGCGTAGGCACAGATCTCTGAGTAGTAAAGGAGTCATTGGGAATCTGCATGGGCTTAATGGGGTTACTTATCTTCTTAGCGAGCTTGCTTTATGGTTTTATAGGAAACTAAAATTGAAAACAAATTTGAACTGAGTCTGGCCTAGTATTATTTATGATCTTGGTGAAACTACAGGCGCCTTCTCTCCAAATTAAGGAAAACGTACTATTCAACACAGTGCAAGAATTATTAGCCAATGTGATGGAAAAAAACAGACATTAGAGGTATGGGATTTGACAGGAAGACACAAAACTGTCATTATTTGCAGACAACATGATTGTCTCCATAGGAAGATTAAGAATGTATTAAAAAAAACCTATTAAAATTCAGCTGCTTTTTAAGGTTTCCAGTTTTAATAGCCAAATCGCATGTCTATAGCATTTTCATACATCAGAAATAACCAGTTAAAATGTGGAAGAGAAAAATGAACCCCATTCACAATAGAAACAAAACTTTGAGCATACCTAGGAAACTTTTTTAGAATTATATTCAAGACATTAGTGGAAAATATAAAATAATGAGGTTGAGTGTTGTGGCTCATGCCTGTAATCCCAGTGTTTTGAGAGGCTGAGTCAGGATGATCACTTGAGGCCAGGAGTTTGAGGCTAGACTGAACAACATAGCAAGACTTCTGTCTCTACAAAAATAAAAATAAATAATAAAAATAAATTAATGAAAGGAAAAAACATTCACGGATGGAGAAAATCAATGTTGCATGAATGTTAGTCTCTCCAAATTCATATATGAACTCAAAGCAATTCCAATCAAAATTCCAAAAATATAGTTTTGTGAGATTTGAATAACATTCTAAAATTTACACGGAAGAAGAAGGAGCTGGTCCCCCCTTTGTCATCTCCTCCTTTCCTCTCAGTCTTCCTGCAAACCCTGCCATTCCCAAGCAACCACTGATATGCTTCATGTCATTAAGTATTTGTTTGCATTTTCTAGAATTTTATATAAATTTAATCATACAGTATGTCTGTGGGTGATAGATCATACATACATATTGGGTGATGGGTATGTTCATTATGTTAATTTGATGGCTGGTGATTGTTTTATAGATATGTACATATGCCAATACTTACTAAATTTTACACTTTAAAATGCATGCAGTTTATTGTATGCGAATTATACCTCAATAAAGTTGAAAAATAAGCAAATAATATGAACAGTTGTTTATCAGTGGAAGAACACCAAATGGTCAGTAAACATATGTAACTTTACTTGCAACTAAGGACAAACACATTAAAACAACAGTGATATACTTCTTAACACACAAGTTTGACACAAATAAAAACTGTGAAAATATCAAATATTAGAGAAATGAGTTGTTATTCATTGCTTGAGTGTCATAACTACTGCTTAGAAGAGCGATCTAGTGATATGCATTCAGGTGAAAATGCATATTCCTTAACACCCAACATTGCATACTTCTAGCCATAGGCATTAGAGCAGGAGTCCTCAACCTTCAGGCCATGGACCAGTACCAGTCTATGGCCTGTTAAGAACCGGCCGCACAGCAGGAGGTAAGCATCAAACAAGGCCCTGAGCTCTGCCTCCTGTCAGATCAGCAGCGGCATTAGATTCTCACAGGAGCTTGAACCCTATCGAGAACTGTGCATACAAGCGATCTAGGTTGCACACGCCTTATGAGGATTTAATACCTGATGATCTGAAATGGAACAGTGTCATCCTGAAACCATCCCCCTAGAGTCCATGGAAAAACTATCTTCCACAAAACCAGTCCCTGTTGCCAAAAATGTTGGGGACCACTGTGTTAGAAGATTATTCCATATAATTATTCAATTATATTATTCCATATAATTATTCAAGGAGATAGGTACAAGGAGGTCTAGCATTTTTGTAATAGTAAAAATTACGAACAGCCTGAGGGAAATGGATAAATAATAATACCATATTCATATGCAAGAATCTACACAGAAGTTAAAATGAATGAACTGAAGCTATATATTTTTTTAATACATGCGTTAAATATAGACCTTTATATTTATTTAAACTCAAGACCTCAACCCACCATCTCCAAAACAAAGGTGTCATGCTTCTTCACTCCTAAGATATCTCAGAGCTTTCAGTTTCTCTACTTCTACATTAACCTCACTAAGCCTTCTTTTTTGCAAATGCTCGATGACTTTGACCATGTTCCTGACACTGATGAAGCAAGTTGATTTGTAAAATACTGTGGAAGTTTCAAAAAATAAGACAAAGTGGTTATTAAGACCACCAATATATAACTGAAGTTTAAAAAATAGAACCACATAGGAAGCATGTTCTAGGGAATATAGTGATACATAATTTCATAGAATTATACAAATATATCAATTGGCATATAATAAAATCTTCATAAGACATTTCAGATAATTTTCCAAACATGCCCCCCTTTTAAATAAAAATGATTTTTCAATTACAATATTTCTTTAAACAAAGCATCACCAAAATTGATTTTCTTCATTTATTGTTTTAATCCAAACCACATTATCTGTAAGTAACAATGATTATCAAAATGTATTGGGTAATTCAAATATGCATCACAGTACTTATAAAATTTGGTTGCCAAAAGCAAAATAACCTGAATGCAATTCCCTTCTACTGTCAAAACAAATCATTACTTTAAAAAGTTTCAATATTTTGGGCTGTCTTTGATTTGTATTATTGATTTTATTCAACAAATCAATGAATATATTGGTGATTTTTAAAAATGATAAATAAACTTAAAATATAAATGGCAGAAAAATTAGGAGCTGTTTGAACAACAAATAATGTTAGGACAAATGATTATCAAACTGAAAATAAAATCCCTAACCCACAATGACTTACAACAATAAATTCCAAATGGACTTAAAAACTAAACAGAAACATGTAATTTTGCATTTGCATATAAAATTTTAAACTATTTTATTATAGTTTATCATATTTTACCACTATTTCATTCGGGATGATTTTCCAGAGCAAAATACTCAGAATTAAAGCAATGTTAGATTTGACAACATGAAAACAAAACTTTATGGTATCTTTTGTTATTGTAAAATTAAAATACCAGTGTCCAAGAGATAGAAATATTTACAACATGGTACCAATTACCTATTACTAATTACATATTTAGTTTTACAGGATAAAAGAGCCACATACAACCTAGTAAAAAAAAATCAAAACACTGGAAAATATTTGAAAAAAAATTTAAGAAGATGAAATAAAAATGGCCAAAAAATGTATGGAAAAAATGTTCAAGTTCACCAACAAATGAAAGCAACTTATCACCTAAAACATTGTGGAAATGTTTTATAGGTTGATGCTATTCAGTGCTGGCGAAGACAAGGCTGAAGCTAATGTCCAGCTTTCTTGTGGAGATGGAGAAAGTTGGAGACGCAAATCATCAAGGACAATTTTGTAGTATCCTTCAAAAATTTAAATATGCATTCCTTTTGAGACATTAAAAATGTAATGATGATTTTTAGAACTTAATTATAAATAGGCTTTGAAGTCCCCATGTCATGCTAAATCCAGATTAATCCTACAGACTCTAATTAATGTAGATAAGTGTGAAAATGCATAAATATTGCAGATACTTTGCTTTCACTCTGGGCATAATATAGAATGCTTTAAGCTCTGCTGGACACTGAGGTATTATTTCCTGACTGTCTCCTCTCAAAAACCTCAAATGATATTTTCATTCTGTTAAAACAAAACAGGCTGGGTGTGGTGGCTCACATCTGTAACTCCAGCACTTTGTGACACCAAGGCAGTAGGATGGCTTAAGCCCAGGTGTTCGAAACCAGCCTGGGCAACAAAGTGAGACCCCTACTACGTTTACACAAAAAAGTAAAAAATAAAATTAGCTGGGTGTGGTGGTGCACACCTGTAGTTCCAGCTACTCAGGAGACTGAGGTAGGAGGATTGCTTGGGCCCAGGAGTTCAAGGCTGCAATGAGCTGTGATTGCACCACTGCACTTCAACTTAGGTGACAGAGCAAGACTATGTCTCTAAAAAAGGGGGAGGGGGGAAGCAGAAATTTTCTTCAATATTTATTATTTTTTCACCTGTTCTACATCCACTCAAAAATAAATTAAGATATCTAATTAAATCCTGGAAACATAGCAAGATAAGACAGAAGTAAGAGTGAAAACATAAAGCATAAACAAGGTAATATTACAAAGTGAAAACGAATTCAGTCAGTGTGAAAAAATACATACCATATCATTTTATATTCTTGCTAAAATCAGGAGATGTAACATGGCTCCAAGAATTATAAAACCCAACGAAAGAGAGGAGTATGATCAGTTACATCATTCAGAGTGTCTTTAGAACAGTGCAAAGCAGCCACTCAGGAGAGCCTCAGCTTGTCCTCATGCTAAGGCTGGGAACACATTTCCCCCAGAGTCATCAGAAAGAGGATAAACAGTAGTGTAACAAGGAATGCCCCTATAGCAGTGCTACAATGAACAATGTGATTCATCTTGGTGGGGCTGTTCTTGTACTTTCTCCTAATATGGGAATACACCACCATTCTATAAAAACTACTAAGTGGAGAGCCAGTTCATGCAGTCCAGGAACATGGCTCTCTAGCAAACTGCCTTTAACCAAGAGAAGATTTTGCAGAGTTTGCAAACAGACTCCCCTCGAGCTAGAATTTGGCCTGAAGTATATTTTGTTTGGCCACAATAGTGGGGAGTTTAAATTAAGCAAACATAAAAATTGGACAATTGCACATAAAAATCCAGATACTTCAGCATTCCTTAAACAATTGTAAGACCTGGCAACAGCGGATTCACATGGCTGCTATTAGTTGGCACCGAGTACCAGGCTGCCCCTTTGGGCCAGGGGATAGACAGTAAATTGTCCAGTCTTCACTAATCTGCGTAACTCATTTACATTACCTGCCTGGCCCCCACTTAGGCATTTTAATTTGTGATCAATATTTAGACTGTCTTGCAGTAATTCTCACAGCTGGCTCTTCAACAAAGACATCCATGGAGATGTTTAACAATGCTGATACCTGGGATAGCTCTAGACCTGCTGAATCAGATTCCCAGTAAAAATTCCATCGAAAAGCCCAGCAAAAGTCCAGATGTCTATATGTTTACAAATGCCCAGGTGATCTAATGCCCAGCCAAGGTTGAGAAATATGAATCTAGAGAAATGATTTATTAAGGCAGCCCTCTCTAAATGCTGTTTCTCTCAACTGAGCTGCTGATAGCCATTGAAAATCCATGAGTTTCATGTTAGCCCTCAAGAACAGTTATTTTATGCTGCCAGTTAAATAGAGCCATGAGCTGTAACAAACCGATTACATAGGCTGGGGATGATACGGGTCAACACACCTCTAAAGAGAATGCCTTGTCACATCTTCTTGAACCCAAGAAAGCACCTGTAAGAGTCAAATTTTCTAAGACATAATTTGGAGCTGCCTCAAAGCAGGGACATAGAGAAGTTACCTACCCATTCTCCCCCTACAAGGAACATGAACACATTCCAAAATCAAAACCTGCTGGGCTGGCAAGAATTCATCACCAGGGGCATTTCCTGCTCTGGAAGATACACTGACAGATGACTCAAAGAAGAACCATCCCTCCCAGTGTTCCTCAAAGTAGAGTGATTTTGTCTTCTCCCCATCCTTGCACCTCTCATTTCCATCCAGTCCCTATTAGCTATGGCACCTGGAGATATTAACATGGTATGGAGACCAGGGTGCTCCAAGCTACCCCTTTCCACTATTTTCCTCATTTCCTCTAAAAGTAGAACTACACCATCAAAAAGAAATAATATCCTCCTAGTAAAGTTTGATTTTATTCATTAAGTCAACCCATCTGTTGAACATCTACCATGTTAGATGCTGGGGAGACCACAGTGAACAAAGAAGGCAGAAATTCCTGCCTTACTGATGGGAATATTCTAGTGGAAAGTGGGAAGAAGGATGATAAGAAAAAGCCAGAAACAAAAACTGAAAATGAAAGAGGATAGTTAGAAAGCATTAGGAGGAGGAGTTGATTTTGAGTAGTGTGGCCAGGGAAGGCCTCATTAAGAAGGCATTTTAGTGAATATTTGAATTAGCTTAGGAATGAATGAAACATGCAGACATGGAGGTGAGGAGCGGTGAAGAACATCCAGGACAAATAAATGCAAAGGGAAAGACCACACGCAGGAGAGCATCTGCAATTCCAAGGAAGAGCAAGGAGGCACTCAAGACTTGCAAGAATTCGTGTTGGAAACATGATGTCTGGATACCAAAGCACTGATATGTAAACCAAAACTGTGCCACATGGGCATTGTGGGTCATTTGATCTCCATATTGGCTTTTTAAAACTACTTATACCTCCCATCATTGGGAAAAAGTTTCAAAATCGATTTTTGAAAAATCTTTTAAAAATCCCATAGTAGGCAATTCTGCAAGCCTAGGTGTTTGTCACTGATGACCTAGATAAAGCACCTACACTTCAAAGTCACAGCAATATGAACCACATGCAGAGGAACATCTCATAAAATATTACTCCACCTGGAATCTGCAAATGGGCTATCAAAAAACTTCAGTAAACCTTAAGCAGTCTTAGTTGCTGAGGCCCCCTCCACATCATAGTAAAAATGTGGATAGACACATGCATCCCATATGCATTTTCTGCCCCAAATTTGAACACATTTTTATGAGTTTGATTTTAGGATTATTTTTTGTATTGATTTGGTCCTTTCCTTTCATATTTTCATATTTGACATGATTCATTTTTTAGTTCTCAGCTGTTTTTGTTGCTTTGTTTTGTTTTTGTTTTTTGTTGTTGTTTTTTGGTTTTTGAGACGGAGTCTCACTCTCTTGCCCAGGCTGGAGTGCAGTGTTGCAATCTCCACTCACGGCAACCTCCACCTCCTGGGTTCAAGCCATTCTCCTGCCTCAGCCTCCCAAGTAGCTGGAACTACAGGTGTGCATCACCACGCCCAGCTAATGTTTTGTATTTTTAGTAGAGATGGGGTTTCACCATGTTGGCCAGGATGGTCTCGATCTCTTGACCTCGTGATCTGCCTGCCTTGGCCTCCCAAAGTGGTAGGATTACAGGCATGAGCCATTGCACCCGGCCCCCCATTTTTACAGATCCTTGAAAAGCAGCTTACCAAGTACAATGTGTCTTCAGGCTAAATGCACCTGGTCTACACCAGAGGGGCTGCTCCATCTCAGGGAGACTGCTGACTCCCTTCATAGGAGAATGCCCTGCCTGGGATCTAGTCCTTCTCCAAGAGAAATGAAATGAACCATTAAATATAATGGCTGTCCTCATAGCTAGACAGCAATGCTTTTATCAGTACCTTCAACTGATGTGAGACACTTTGTCCACCAATGGGTGATGTGGAATCTTACAATCCATAAGACCTGACTGCACACAGAGAATTTCCCTCCAGACCATGAGGCTGTCTGCAGTGTCTGACAGCTGCCACAGCAAAAGGTCATGGCAGCAGTTTTCAAACTTTTTAATCTCAAGAGCCCTTTATGCTCTTAAAAATTATTGAGGCCCGCAAAGACTTTTTATTTATGTGGGTTACACTATCAATATTTTTTGTGTTACAATTAAAACTAAAAAACATTAAATATTTATTTACTAATTGATTTACAAATAACAATAATAAATCTGTTTCAATTTAACATAAATAACATGAAAAATAACTATACAAATGAACTTTAGAGGGAAGATTGATGTTGTTTTACATTTGTGTTGTCTCTAGGTATGATTTGATAGAAGAAAACTGGATTCTCATATCTGCTTCTGCATCAATCCGCTGTGGTATATTGTTTTAGTTAAAGTATATGAAGAAAATGCTGCCCTGCACAGACATATCACTGGAAAAGCAAGGACCTCGCAGGCAGTCTGAGATGCTCAGCAATTCCCATGGGGGTCTCAGGCCACAATAAGCACTGTTGTTCTAGGTGACAGGGATGAATTGGAAGTGTTGTGTATGTCAACAGGGTAAGTTTTACAGTACATTTAGGTTATGTGAGAAAAAGAAATTGGAAAACAACATGCACAGCATAATGGTCTGCACAGCTTTCAAGAGAAGAAAAACAAAGATGGATTTGTAGCATTTGCCAATTTCTGTGGTGTAAATACTTACACTGTGGTTCCCACCCATAATGGCTGTATTTCACAACCAGCTCACAGAAATCCCTGAAAATTCAACAGCAATTCTGAGGAGCTGGTAGGAGCTGGTTCCAGCACACTGGAGGAGACCTAACATCAACAGAGTGTCACTGAAGAGGAACTCTTCTTACCTCTGATCATTTAATAATGTGAACTCAGTTGTGCATTATTTGTATAATTAAATAAAAAATGAAATGAACCATTAAATATAATATGCAGAAAATACTGCAGAGGCTTAATCTAAATTTATCACTTTTGAAGACATTCAGAAGAAGAAAATAGACTTCGCTTTAAGCAAGTGAATCAGTCTTTCTTATTGCAAGCAACAGAAATAGGCCCTGTTTACCTTATAAAGTCATACGGGGCTCATTGGAAGCATATTTGGTTTTTAGAATTGACAAAAGGCTGAAGAGCCAGGCTTGGAAAATAAACAGGTCCAGAGGCAGAAAGAGCAATCATCCTATAGGGAAAAAAAAAAATTGGGGCCAGAACACCATGCTACAAGGAATGGATTGCTTCCTTGAAAGGAATGATATGGGACATAGTCAGATGTGAAAAGTGAAAAGGGATTATCAGTTGACACTGGGGCAGATGACAGAAGGAAAGAGTGCAGAGAGGGCAGAGATATTTCTTAAGCCCCAATTGGCCAATGATTTAATTTGTACTTAGTGAGAATGATTCCTTATTTCCACTCACCGCACATGGTTCATTCCACAGAATAGATCCTCCGTATCTACGGGTTCTGCACCCACAGATTCAACCAACCAGGGATGGAAAATATTTGGAAAAAAATGCATGGCTGCTGTGCTGAACATGTACAGACTATTTTTCTTGTCATTATTCCCTAAACAACACAGTATAACCACGGTTTACACAGCATTTGCATTGTATTTGGTGCTGTAAGTAATCTAGAGATGATTAAAAGTATACTGGAGGATATGGGTAGGTTACATGCAAATATTATGCCATTTATATCAGAGACTTGAGCATGTGAGAATCTTGGAGATCCTGGAACCAATCTCCCACAGGTAGTGAGGGATGACTGTATTGTCCACCCCTCCCTTTCTGATTTTTATAGAAATCCAATTTAACATAGGTTTTTTGGGTATTGTTAAAGAAATGTAGCACTGCATATCAATACTGCGTGAATACAGCTCTTTCCTAACCAGTTGCATCACATTATAATTAAGAATTTTAAAGAGTAATAAATGTTTGGGTGGAGACAAAAGTCAAAGTTAAACTTGTGTGATATATTCTGAATGACTTTTTTCCATGCCTGTGATTTGAACTCTGTATTAGGTCTTAGGCCTTATCTACAATAGGAAAAAAAAGGAATGTTTTTCTAGGGAGGACCACTTACAGAGAAAGAATTAAACCATAGCTAATAATTAAGGGCCACACCTTAATTTCATTTTTAGGTTTTCTTGATAGAACAGTTCTTTTTTTTTTTTTTTTTTTAAGGTTAAGAATGGGCAATGCTGCTGCCCTCAAACAATAAGCAGATATTGTGTTAAATAGCTGAATCTCATAGGTTGACCAGCAAACAGAAGGGGAAAGAGAAGGGAAAAAGCGGGTGTTAAATTAAGTTTAGCTTAAATCTGCCTCTTCACATATTTTAAGTTCAGCCTAAAGGTTTCTCAGTACACAGTCAACTGCAACCTAACTGGATGTGTCAACAGACTGTAACCTACTTTTGTGCCTTGAGTTTTGGCCAATCAAAGATAACCAACTATTCAAACTGTGTTCAAATAAGGCAAAAACCAGCTGTTGCTATAACCCATTTCTGTTTTCTGTAGGTCACTTTCCTTGTTCTGTCCATAAATGTTTTCGGACCACACAGCTGTGCTGGAGTCTCTCTGAACTTATTCATGTTTGAGTGCTGCCCGATTAGCAAATCGTTCTTTGCTCAATTACATTCTGTTACATTTAACTAGTCTAAGGTTTTTCTTTTAACATAAGAGACAAATACAAAAGGAGATCGGGACCTGCGGAGATGGAGGGAGCTCAGTGAAGGAGAAGGCAGGAAGGAAAGGAAAAGGCCCAAGAGGGTGTGCTCCAGGCCTTGGAGGCAGGATGGAGAATGGGCCTGGGCCCACGCACGAACCCCCAGTAGAGCTCTGCTGTTACCCTCCCCTACACTGCAGAGGGTTCTTCCTCAGACCCGCCTCCAAGGGGCTTTGCACTCAGGCACGCCAGCCCTGGAGGCTCCAGACCGAAAAGTAAATGCACTGTGAAACAGGCATTCTTCCATGGAAGCTAAGGCTGCAGGGTTTTTCGTTCTTATTTTTTTTTTGGCTATTGGTCTTGCCTGGAGAAAATGGTATGTGTCCACCTGCCTTCCTTTCTTTCTCAAGGACTCCTTTGTGAGCAGAGGATTTGCAGTAATTGGTTAGGGTGAGCATTTCCGGACTTTCTTGGAACATAGTCCTACACCTGCCCTGAGCTCTGGAGCTCAGCATGGAAATTTCCCATAAAACCTTTCCATGGTGCAATCTATAAATCACCCTGTATGGCAATATTAAATTTTAGAAATCAGCTTCCTACCTACGAGTGCTTGCTGGACAAACTTTGTCCATATCTTGTCAATGTTTTCTCTTTAGCTGTGTATGAAGGTTACTTCCCTCTTAAAAATACTAAATTATAGTTAACTGATAATGGCTTGTCAGCTTCTTCTACTCTTAGCCCCTGAGTTGTCCATTTCACTGTTACCTTCAGACAAGCTTAAGACTTACTGTAAATATGTTCCTACAGCATCCTGCACCCCTTCATAGCTGCTGGGATTGTCACACTCAGCAACTAAAAATATAGAGTGGCATTTGAATTTCAGACAAACAGTATATACTCTGTTAGTATAAGTAAGTTTCATATATTTATCTGAAATTCAGATTTAACTGTCTGGTATCTTACCTGACATCCCTAATTATAGCACATGTTACGCTTGTAATTAATTATGCATTTGTATAATTATTTAATGTCTGTCTTCTCCCAGTAATCTGTGGCTAAGACTCCATTGGTCTTAGTCACAGTCATATTCTCAGCATTCACACCAAGGTGGCCACATGGTAGGAGTTCATGAGGAATTTGTGGAGCCAATGAACATCTACTCTGAAAGGCATGATTATTGCATATCACTGGGAGAATATTATCCCCTCAACTGTTCAGTCAGTGACAAACACAATATTACCTTAAGATTCAAGCCAAGTAGTTGATTTTGTCCAAAGCTTACTATTGCCCACTTCTGAAGTAGTTACGTTATAGCTACACAAAATATAAAGAGGAGAGACACTGTGTTTAAGTCCTTCCTCACAAGTGCGTATGTTATGCTACAATGGCAATGAAGGACCTGCAGTGCAATCCATGGCTCTCAGACTAAAAGGAGTGAGGAGAGATTACAGCCCTATCTAAAACCCTGGTGCCAGGTGACAATAAACAGTGAGTCCAAGGGCCTGGGTGCCCCAACCAGCTAAGAGAAGAAAGTCTGCCTTTGGTTTGTTACAAGCAAGCCCAAGTGGAATTCAGCTTCCTGATGCTTCCCCAGGAAGAGTCCTGGCCTGCCCTTAGGATAGTAATAAGAGAGAGGCCAGCTCACCACATCCCTGTGCAGGGAGGGGAAGCTTGCCATGTGGAGGAGGTAACCGGTCACGAGCTTCCTGACTCTTCTTTCCGGTCCGTGCACTTTTTCTGTGAGTAGATTCCTCTTTGAAGTCCCCAAAGTGCTGAGTTAGAAGAAGTATAAAATGGATCAAGGCCACAAAAGGTAGCCTATAAATCTCATATCTTACTAACTTTCAAAACTTCTCTTGATTTAACTAAGCAAAACCAGCTCCATGGTAATAATATCTTACCATCTCAGGGCCCTGAGGGGCTTTTATAATTGCTATCTGCATAAGTGCATTACAGTTTCCAAAGCTCTTTTTCATGCATCGTTTCAATTAATCCCCCACAGCAACCCTGGGAGAAGGGTACTCGTTTCTTTCACAGAAAAGGAAACTGAGGTTTATGGAAGTATTTGCTACTTAGCAGACACTACTACTGCAGGACTCAAACAGCATTTGGACTCCTGAATGCTTGGTTAGTCACTACGCAGCAACCCTCAGCGTCTTTCTGCTCCTTTCATGTGAACAGACCCAGTTCTCACGCTCAGTTCTAAGGAGCTTTTCCATGCCCTGAGGTGGCAATCCTCCGGGGCAATCTGCAGAATACTGGTAGGAAGACATGATAAATCGCAACCATTATCATTTGAGTATGGATTAGTTCATCCTTTTACCAAGGAAGAACAAAGGGTAGTTTTGCCGCTGTTTTCTCTGCGGCTCCTTTCCTCCTCCATCTCCCATTATGTATGGAAACAGAACACAGACTTGGAGAAACAGATGGTGAGAGCAGCAAGAGGTGATGCTTGAAGACAGGAACTCTGGGGAGGAACTTACCTCCGGGCAATTGGACTTTGCCAAGTACGCTCAGGGCCAGTGGAAGAAGAGGCTGAGCGACAACTTCCTGTGGAGGCAGAATTGGCAACCAGGTACAAAAGCCGTGGGAAAGAGTCTCCCAGTCCCTGAGATCCAGTGAGGAATAGAGGCGCTCATGCGGCCCTGGCTCTCCAGAGGTAGTACTCCCACCTCAGGGCACCCGGGGGGCCAAATAAATGGTAAACCCATAAGAAATGGGAATGCTCCCTCCCAGTCCTAACTCAGAGTCAGCCTTGTGGAGGGCGGTGCAACTTTCCCACTTCTCAGGAAGAGGTTCAGGATGGCTCCCCACCACAAAACAAAACAGTAATCAAAACAAACCAATAACAGCGTTGTAAGGAGGGAAAGCGGATGGGTACCTCGATCTAGGCAGGCTCATCCTCCACTGTGCTTCTTTAATTTAATTTGTTTAATTTTATTTATTTAATTTGTTTGATTTATTTAATTTTATTTATTGTGCTGCTCCGCCCGTGGTTCCTGTTTGAAGCCGGGAAGGAGAGAAAAGAGAGAGGGGGCGGAGGGCGGGATGGCACTGGAAGCCTGAGCCTACATGCACATGGGTCCTGGGGTACTGTGGGGTTAAGCAACCGATACTCGTGCCCCGGCGCCGCCTTCGGTACCTGCCACCAGGAACGCAGCACACACCTCTCAGGGCGCACAGAGACGCAAGCACACTCGGAAGCAGAAGCACCCAAGAGGGGAGGCGACACCTTTTTCCCTACTCTCCTCCCTGTCCCAATACCAGAAGATGGAGAAATGCAGAGGGAAAGGAAGGAGAAGAGAATGAGCAGACTGCTCCCTCTGTACTCTGAAGACTCAGAAGCCTGCACCCAGAAGGCAGGGCATGCGTGTTAACTCCAGTAAGATCCTGAAAGGGCTTCCGCCTCATCAGTGGTTTTCTGTTTTATTTAATAAATAAAATAAAAATAAGTATAATTTGCCTTTTTTTGGTGATATTTTAATGTTTTGTTTATTGTAATTTAGTATGCATATGTTAAGAATGTTAACTACAGAATACTTTTAAATTTTTGTGTTAAAGAAATTTTCGAGCATGTTTAAAAGTGGAGAATATGTAACAAACTCTCATGTTCTGTCCATCCATCCTCCAGCTCCCCATTGCCAAAGCACACCAGTCTTACTTCACTTTCACCCTCACCCAATGCCCTCCAGACACTCCTCCCCTAGCATGAATTATTAAAAAGGGTGGGAAGGAAATGTAGGAAAAATAGCCTGTGTGAAGAGGAAATAGGGAGTGAGAAGCTTCAATGGCTGAAAAGTGTCATCTAAATAGAAACAGTGGTTTGCATTCAGTGGCAAGGATGTTGAACAATGTTTATTTCCTTCTTTAATCTTCTGTTCTCTTTCTTATTTTAAAATCAGTATGCATTATTTATGTAATCAGAAAAAACAATACCTCTATTTTAATTTTAAAAATAATGAAGTCTTTATGGTAGGTGGATTTGTTATTGCTATATGAAGGGAACCCCAGGCCAGTGGTGGCAGCATGAACAGTGAGACTTCTAAAACAAAGCAGAACAACATGATGCTTTCTACATGCCACTGATTCTCTGTTTTAAACTTCAAGACGTTGGGGATTTTAAAGAATATTAAATTTGCATATTTCTAACTCAATTAGTATGAAATCTTGTAACTGTTCTTTTATTGAAGCGTCCTCTGATGTCTTTAAAATCTTTTGAATATTTTTCTTGAAATAAGTTTTACATTTCCACTGATGAAAATTAAATAAGTCCACACTATACCACAATATAAAGGGCACGTTCTTTCTCTTTGATTGTAAATTGCAGAGAACATTTTCTCTGTTGCTTTATATATGCAGTTGAGAAATGATCATGTACATCATCTCTGAGAAAGAACAGGGATTTAGAGTGAAATGACAGGCATTCACATTTCAGATTCATCATCTGCTGGCAGGTTACTTCTCCCTGAGCCTTGGTGTCCTCAAGTGTGAAGATTCTTATGTCAGAGTGTTGTAAGGATCAAGGAGCCCCATGTGTGAAAACCCTGGGGACAGAAGCAAATCTCTGCATTGGTGAGGACTGTCAGCTGCAAGTGCCAAAAACCAACCAAAACTGGCTGAAGCAAGCCGAGGAATTTGTTGACAAATCATGACGGAGAACAGAGCTGGAAGGACCCCATTAGGACCTCACCTCTATCTCTCCAGCTCTTGGCAGGCCTTCATCATGGTGGCCCACACATTTTCAAGCTGATATCCCATCAGCTTAGTGAGACCCCTTCTCTAAAAGTGCCAGGAACTTTTTGGGCCGGGCTCTTGCTGGTCTGCCTAGGGTCATGTGCGCATCCTGTGGTTTGAGGGTGTGGGGATGTGGTGCTCTCATTGGCTAGCCTGGTTATGTGCTCACCCAATGTGTCAGGGGTGGGTTTATATGATCCAGGAGTGGAGAGGCCCTAGAGGAAAATGAGCATGTCTCACTGGAGGGGAAAATAATACTATACAAATGAGAACATTAAATACATTTCAGTTTTATGTGATAATTGTATAGCAAGTATTACTTTTTAAACCATTATTAAGTAAGTTCCATGTAGCTGACTAAAATTAGATTACTATTCAGTACTCCTTGGGATGAGGTGTCCAAGAGTATGAAATACAGTATCCTTTCTCTGAGAACCTTAATAACCAAGAATGATGTACCATCTCCAGTCAGGAGCCCCAGAACCAGGCCCTGCACTGAAGGTTTACGTGGTGCAAGCTTATTAGGAAATACACTCAGAATCACCACCTGTGGGGTGCAAAGGAGGCAGGCCTGCTTTAAGGCAGCGGTCAGCAAACTTTTTTATTACCGACCTGATACTAAATGTTTAGGCTTTGTGGGTCATATGGTTGCTGTGGCAACTATTCAACGCTGCTGTTATAGCACAAAGGCAGCCACAGAAAATACATCGATGAATGAGCTTGGCTGGGTTCCAGTAAACTTTCACTTATGGACACTGAAATTGAATTTCCTATCATTTTTAGATGTCACAAAATATCATTCTCCTTCTGAATTTTTTCAGTCATTTAGAGATGTAAAAACCATTCTTAGCTCATAAGCCTTGCAAAAATAGGCAGCAACCCAGATTTGGCCAGTGAGCTGTAGATTGTTGATCCCTGGTTTAGAGGAAGAAGTTGAAAAGAGATACAGCAGCAGCAGGGCCTCTGCCTATCTCATGAGTAGCTCCTGAACTGGATGGCCCAGCTGAGAGCCTGAATCAGGGCTTAGTTGCCCCTAAACCGGGGCCTTAGATACAATATGTCCATGGGACAGGGGAATGACCTCCAATAAAGTGGCTCTCTTCAACAAAGGACAAGTCCCAGAAAGGGACTCAACTGAGAGCTGTCATCTACAATACTTTTAGCATCTGGGGTGATGAGTGCTCAGTCCTGAAGTGGCAGAGACCTGTGATATGCCAATGACTAGGCCCATTATAACTGGGTCCACAGGGTATTTGCATTTTAATTTCAACCAAATTTCATTATTATTTCCAGTGTGCAGTCCCTGGAAGTGACATACAAATGAGGCTCAATTTTCTACAGAAAACTAAGAAATTAAATACCTTCTTTGGGGCTGTCATCTCTTCAAGTCTCAACTCCAATCAGCAGGAAGTGCTACTAAGTACGTATGGTCCCCTTCCAGTGCCACCTCATTAACGTGGGTTGTTCACTCTGTACCAGGGTGGTGTTAGAGTTTTCCATGTTTTGAGGGAATAGACTAGATTTGAAATCTGGTCTCTGTAACAGGTATATTGAGGAATCAAACCTGCAACAGTTTTATTTCTTCTAAGTACTGTTCAATATCTCACCAATAAATCCCCAATTTAGGACCCTTTTAACAAGAGGTTGGCCCAACTCTGTGTTTTTTCCAGCCACCAGGAATCATTGGAACAATATGCAATTTGGGAATTCAATGCTATTTTCTTCTCCTTTCCTTAATGGAGGCTGTGTCTGTGGTCAGAGAGTAGACAGAACCAGGCTCTCCCTCAGCCTGTTATAGGAACAAACTTCTCTAATTGTGAGAAGCAAAAGAGGGAAAGAGGAATGGGCATATGTTGCTCTCTTGAAGACATATGAGAAGACCTGGGAGTGGCCCTAACAAACCCAGTTGATAAAGGTCTCACTCCTTTGCACTGGTCACCCCTGGTGATTGGACTGCATCTCCCACTGGAGGCATCACACCACACCTGGTACTGGTACCCTGAATCCCAAACATCTAGCATCTACTCCTCATTTCAGTAGGATCCCACTTCTATAACCCTGGCCTTTTCTGTACCTAAAAGTCTATCAAAATGACCTCTCTCCTCAATTTATGTATTTGTTTATCTCTCTCTCTCTCTTTCTTTCAGACAGGGCCTCGCTATCCTGCCGTAGCTGGTTTCAAACTCCTGAGCTCAAGCCAATAGCTGGGATTACAGGCTTTTTCTCAATTTCTTTTAAGTTCCAACAGCCGTAGTAGTCCTGGGAAAGTCAGGAGGTACACTGGCTAAACATTCCAGCCAGGGTGAATATCTTGTCTCCGTGTCTTGCAGGAACTTTATTTCTGAGCAATTCTTAACTCTATTTTTCCCATGCTTGCAAGAGAGGAACTAGCAGGAACTCAAGCCCCATTCCCAGTGCAAGGGTTGCCAGGAGAAATCATCGTGTTTTCACAAACTCAGGATTCTCCTAATTTGCCCTTTTCTCCAAAGCCTACCCTTAAAGTGATGGTGAGGGTGGAGGGTGGCAGTACTGCCCCCTCTCTCTTGCCAACTCTCTGGCAGCCTTCTGGTGAGATGGCTGGCCAAACTACTGACAGAGCTCTAACTTAGAATTTCAGAAACTTAGTACCACTTGTCCATAATTTGGAGCTTAACTGTAGTCTCTGCCAATAAGGAAGAACCTATTTCACATTCTCTGACATGTTCTTGTTTTGTGTTGTTTGGGTTAGATTGTGTTGGTTTCACTATTGTCCTTGTTGGTTGGTTTTGCTTTGTTCTAGCAAGTAACAATATACACTAGAGATTTAAAAACAAAAACAAAAAACCCTTCCCCCGGTAAAGCCCATCTTCGCTTTTCTAATCCCTTCTTGGCAAGTCCTCTCTATTGCATTTAATGGCTGTGTTTACAGTGCCCAAGTATAACTTGGGAAGAGCAACATCATATTTCAGAGCTGATAATCATCTTTCAAAGTTTCTTATATCACGACTGTTTTTGAACTTAAAATGAGGCATTTGGACGTAGGGAGATACAGCTTTCTTTTTCAGATCTGTCATAGAATTCTGCATTGTAGTCTACTTATGAAACTGGCCGTTGCAGAAAGGCTGGTACATACAATTAGGCAGCAGTCTCTATTATGGACTATACATAAATATTTATTAAACATGGGTCTGTGCACATAGATCTGCACATACATGATTCCCATGTACATTTACACTAACCTGCTTTTAGAAGGATCAGAATGGAAAAGAGCGAATTTCAGTAGGATATTAACACATGTGAGGCAGTAGCCAGGAGAATGGAAATGGAGCTCAATTACATTGTTGCTCTAGAGAGAGTTTTCCAATAAGGGATCTACATGTTCAGATACACAAGACTCAACTGCCCTTAGAATCCAGACAAGCTTTAAAAGACCTTTGATGCAAAGTAGACCCACCAAATAGGAAGACGAAGCTTTGCACTCTTGCCCTGCCTGCTTTGGGGAGGTGGCAAAAAACAAAGCAGAGAGCATCGGTTTTCATCAAGCCACTGAATAGGGGAGATATTTAGTCTTTTCACTCCCTCACCTCTTCGTACACAACAGCTTTGAAAACGAGAAATTATGTCCCTGTTTACTTTTTCTAGAAAAATTATTACATAGCCTTCTCTTTTGTAACACTGGAAAAAGCAATGCGCCATTCGATTCTGTCCAACCAACACAGAGAGCCGAAAGCATTATCGCTCAAGATCTGTCTGAGGGTAGGCCTTTGCCAACAGCTCCTGGAATCTCTCCAGAGGATTCTTCGCTTTCCTGTCTGATGCCTGCTTCAGGTAATTCTAATCTAGCCCAGAGATCTAAAAGGATGCTGACACTAGCCCAGCAAAACAAGCAGGGGGCACGTTAATAAGTCATACCCCCTGGCTTTCTCCTGGAATCAGTCCTTTTCTCTGGCCACCATATGGACTTGATTCACCCCCCGGAGAGGAGGCTGCTGCTCCTGTCCTGCAACTTCTGGGAATTGTATGCCTAATAAAGGCTTCATTAACACGCAAGCATGATTAAGCCTTATATGTAATATCTTCAAGGTCTATAGGTTTGGTATATTTTACATTAAAGTGTGTACATTCTTTTATCTGTGTTTTTTTTAAAAGAGAAAATAATAAAAATATGTTATTCTCAAATGATGAGTCTACTCGCATCTTTTTATAAATAAGACATATTGAGAGCATCTTGCGCCTAGATGTGAATGTATTTAATGAACAGAAATTTAAAAATTGTCAAACTCTGTTAGTATGGGCCTCATCTCCTTCTCCAAACAATCTTTGACATAGAAAGCAGATTCCAGAGAGATGGGTTGTTCCAAAGACACAATGTATACATTGCTGGCTGCACATTAACCAAGCTGCAGATGACCTTATGCAAGTTAAACAATGCAGAGATGATCTTGGTGATAATTTCATTCTGGGTCTCACCAAATACTTTCGATACTTCTGCCGATGCCTACATTTTGGTCTCCTTGAATGATCTGCTTCTCAGGCTCATGAACAAGATTCTTTCGCATTAGCTTTTCTCCCATCTCCTCATTAACCCTTCACTTTGAAAATAAAAGAAAAATTGGCAGTCTCAGAAAACATTCTGTTAGGGCTTTTGTGTGGTACTTACAGGATGCCTAAATTAGCCCTGAGACCTAGACTGGCAATCTTTATGACATCTATTGTTAATTCATCAGTAGACCAAAATTGCATAAACCAAGTTTTCTGCTCCTTAATTAGTCAATGGTTTCGTTTGGTGGTTTCTTCAATCAACTAATTGCAGCCTTCAAAAGAATGATATCACTGATTGGCTAAAAGAAAAGTTAAACAAAAGCCATTTTCAGAGATGACTGAAAAGGGAGAAAACAAATTTAAGGTATTAAAGAGATCATGCTGCCAGTTTCAGGGAGACAGTGAATCCACAGGCTTGGAGTTCTCAGATTAATCTTTAATACTGTGCTTCCTTGGCTACGTTGTGGAAACATGGAGTTAGGGACATCAACAACCTAGAAGGAATGTTAGCAACAATCCAGCCCAAACTCTTCAATATACAAATAAAAAAGTCAAGTCTGTAGATCAAAATCACTTGCCCAAAGACACAGAAAAGAATTACATTAAAACCTTGGTCCCTCTAAGTATCTTCTGAAGCAATGTATGGAGCTCTGTGTTTTAATCAAATCAAATCAAGCATAGGGAAAGACGAATCTTCTGCTTATTTGCATGTATTCACAGTCATTTTAAGCATAATAATTAGTCATTACTGTATAGTAGTTTGCAGAGGTGGCTCTGATTACTATAAATTTCACAAAGCCAAACCAGAATTTCTGTGTTTTCACGTACTTTATTGGTTCTGTGGCACGTGCTATCAGTGTAAATGCCCTGTTAGCTTGGACCATATAGAATTTACACAAAGGTACCCTCAGCACTGCTCACTAAGGTCTGACAATTTCAAGGTGGTGGCTGCTTTGGCAACATAAGCTTTTGAGTGTCTCCAATAAACGGAGCTCCCTGCCAAACCTTGAAGGGAATGTAGCATGATCAAAAAATATACCTTTGTGGTTTAAGCCATGAGTTTTGGGGGATTATTTGATACATGATTAAAATGTTCCACTCTTTTCCTTTTTTTTCTTTGTATATAATTTAATACATCATTTTCTCTTCTAATGCCATTCAGATATTACCTCATACTTTCTTTTAAGAGTTTTGTTGTTTTGCACAATCTGAAATTTAGTTTTGCTTATGGAATGAAGAAGGATCTAATTTTATCTTTATTGCCAGCAGAAAACTCAATATTTTATTGGTTGGTCAACTTGTTCCTCACTGATTTATAATGTCACCTCCCTCATATCCTTCTCAAAGGTGCATATCTGGGTTTTGCTGGGCTTTTTACTTTATTCCTTTGGTTTATTGTTCTAACCTAGAACTGATACTACACTGTTTTAATTACTCTTGCTTTAAAATAAGTCTTCATATCTAGTATAATGTGTCCCTCTTTATTTTTACTCTTGTTTTAAAACTGTCCTAGATATACTTGACCATGTGCTATTTGTATGAAAGTTAGTATCAACGTTTAAAGAAAAAAATCATGCCAGAATATTATTGGTGATTACACTGAATGTATGAATTTATTTTGGGAGAATATCTGTTGAATATTTCCTTCTCTGGAAAAAAAAAACCTGGTGTAGCTCTCCACTTATTTAGGTTTCTTTTTATTTTTTAAAAAAATATATTTTCTTCCTCATTACCCTACAGCTTCTGTTTCCATAGTAAATTATGTCTCTTTATTTGCATTTGCAATCATTTTTTATTGATATACAGCCATGCTATTGATTTTTACATGTGGCTATTTTACCTAGAAACCTTTCAGAGGTACCATATTATTTCAAATAATTTTTCTGTGAGAAATGGCAACTTTATTTCTTTCCTTTCTGTTGAAATTGGTTCTACTGCAGTGCCTGGACCTTCATATTAACACTGATACTGGCTATTCTTGTCCTTTCCCAGATATTAAATGAATTACTTCTATGGTTTTATATCTACAAGTATTTATTGCAGGTGTTTGTTTTTTTAAGTCCTTTATCAGGCTAAGGAGGTTCTTGTTTCATCACAGTTGTTAGAAAGAGAAGGAAAATCTTCTGTAAACTTGTCAATTTACCGCAACCCAGTTTGCCCCAAACCATTTTGAATCTCAGGGAGACTGAGTTGCTAAAGAGCATCACTGAAGAAGTTTTGTATTTGCCTGTTCTATGTGTCTCATGAGTAGCAAACACTCTGAACCAATTCTTACATTAATGCCTTGGTTGGTGATTTTTCACCCTTTGAAGGTTAGGATTCCAATTCAGGTGAGAATTAGTTTTATTTCTCACAAGAATTTGTGTTTTTGCATCAAATTCACGACATGAATGGGCTTTCTTGTCATCCCCCAAGCCTAGGAAGCCTGTAAAGAAAGTTCATTATTCCCCTTTCTCCAGGGTTGCAGGTCTTCTAAAGTATTGGCTTTATGCAAAGGTGTCCCATCCAACTCCCATTTATGCAGGAGCAAGGAACAGAAGCCCTGTGAGGGCATTAAAGTTCAAACCCAGAGCCCTAACTGGATCACTAGCCCCATGGGATGGCTGCTGCCTGGCTCACGGCTGCACTGCCCTGGCGGTCCCTTCTCAGTTTCAGAAACACTTTCAATCGGTGGTTCTCAAGCTTTTTAGTTTCAGGACCCCTTTACACTTGTAAAATTAATTGATGACACCAGGTGGCTTATATCCACTAAGAGTTACTGTATTTGAAATTTAAAAATAAATCAATACTTGTTTAATAATTCATTTTAAAATCCCAATAATAAATTCTTAAAATGTTGATAAGTTATACATTTTTATTAAAAATATGTTTTCCAGAAAAAAACACATTTGTGAAAAGAGTTGCACTGTTTTATATTATTATAAATCTCTTAAATGTCTGCCTTAATGGAAAATGGCTGGATTCTCTTATCTGCTTCTGCATTTCATCTGTTGTGATACGTTGTTTTGGTAAATACATAAAGAAAATCCAGCCTCACACAGATAGGTGGTGGGAAAAGACAGGAGTATTTCAGTAGCCTTTTCAGATAACAGTAGATATTCCTCTTTCATACCACACCAAAGTTCAACAAGAGGTAGTTTCTTAGAGGTTGGTTGCAATATGAAATCTGAAGCCATGATGATGACTTTTCCTTACTCTGTTACATTAAAACACATTTGGTCGGCCTTGTGACTGAAATAGATCTTGCATTCATGATTTTATTCGTTTAAAACATATTGGTTCGCTGACTTTTGCAAATCTTCCAAATGCCAATACATTTCATGTTACAATATCATTCTACAGTAATAAAACACTTTGATTAATATCACTAGCAATTTCATAAATATTATTATGAAAATGATCTAGCATAAACTCCTAAAAGGGTGTCTTTGGGGTCTCTAGACCACACTTTGAGAACCAGTGCCTGAAATAACATAGTTATATTTTAATCACTATCTCTGAGGTTTCAGCTCTTCCATTTCTGCCATTTTTCTTGAACTAGAAGCCAGAAACCTTTCCTGTCACCAAAGAAATTTTCCACAGTGGAGAATTGCAAAGAGCTGTCAATGATCTCAATAACTTCTTTAAGCACGAATAAATAGTAAATTACTGCCTGTCTACCATGAGGCAAGCACCATTCCAGGCAACCAACTATTAAGTAGGGGAGAATGAATGAATGAATAGTTTTACTGGCTTCCATTTGAGGTGCAGTTTTGTTTCTCTCAAAATAGTCCAGCTACTACCTACGTCAGTAAATATCATTTATCAAATAATTCACACTTATGTTTTACAAATACAAGCTGCGGAAAGTTGTACAGAAACTGCATTATCTTTGCAACTTTTCTGTGAGTCTAAAATTATCGAAAATGAAGTATAGGGTGCTTCCATTGTTTTCTTGAGTGAAATGTATTGGATTAGGAATTGGTTTAATTGCATGGTCTCCTGTATAAGTAGAGGCCAAGCACTGGGTACTCATAGACATAAAGATGGTAACAATAGACTGTGGAGACTGATAGAAGGTGAAGAGAAGGAGGGGAGCAAGGGTTGGAAAACTAACTGTTGGGTACTATTGTCAGTACCTGGGTGATGGGATCACTGGTATCTCAAACTTCAGCATCACGCAATATAGCCAGGCAACAAACACATGTACCCTTTGAATCTACAATAAAAGTGGAAAATAATTTTTTAAAAAAACACAAGAATTGGCTTAAGCTGGTAGTTTCTCTTGTATAGGTAACTTGATTTTATTTAGAAATTTCACTTCCAAACCAGAATAATAAATTTGATTGTAAGGAAGGAATGAGCTTGGAAGGAGTATAAAGATGAATTCAGAAACACCATAAATTAGTAAAAACAGATTATATTACATTAGTATGTGCACCATGCCTTACTCTCTTACTCTATATCAGGCTCTAAGCTAAATGTGCTTCTTTTTAGCAATAATCCTCTGCATTGGGCACTATGAATTTCCACCCTTTACAGAACAACTTCTTTTTCAGTGGCAAAGCCAGAGCTAGAAGCTTGGCCCCTTCAGGTGCCCCTGCTCTCAGCCTCTTGGCTCTACTTCTCTTACTGATGTGATTTCCAGAAATGGAAAAATTTCACAGTCATTGAAGCCACAGCAGTGAACAGAGAAATGCTTTCATTATTGTTGGAATGAGTCCCTAGTTTTCATGCTACTTTTACCCTTGAGCCAATTATAAAGATGTGACTGCAGATTGTCTGGTTGGGTGTTTGTAGTATGGTTTTAAACTAGGTGTCTTATATATATATATATAGGATGATAAATCAAGATATCCAAGAGCAGAGGCCCAGAAATCCAGA
This sequence comes from Homo sapiens, assembly GCF_000001405.40. NCBI lineage: Eukaryota > Metazoa > Chordata > Mammalia > Primates > Hominidae > Homo > Homo sapiens. The sequence goes on along the minus strand of NC_000007.14, from coordinate 42,395,569 downwards.
GCTGTTCTCAGAGAACAAAAAGGGAGGGATTTAAGATATTTTCCTTACCAGAAGGGAAATGAAACAAATAAATGTAGTCCAATTGATTTTTACTTTTGCTTACTTAATGCCTTTTAAATTTTATAAGCATTTTATTCTAGAGATTTTGAATTATACTCAAAAGCAGAGAGAATAGGCATATAAATCCTAATCAACCAGTTTAAATAATTATCAGCATTTTGACAATCTTGTTTTATCTTTCACCCACAGATGTTCTGGGGAGGATGACTAGAGTATTTTAAAGCAATCTCATATTTTGTATCATTTCCTCCATAAATACCTTGTATCATTCTCCAGTCCAATAAGTACAATTTTTAAAATAACCAGAGTACAACCATCTCATTTAGCAAAATGAACAATTCCTCAATGTCATCTAATGCTCAGTTTGGATTTACAGTCTCATGTTTGTCTTAAAAACATCATATGGTTAGTTTACTTAAATCAGGATCCAAATAAGTTCCATATGTTGCATTTGGTTGATAAGTCTCTAAGGTTTTCTTTTCATTTCTAAGAGTCTCCCTTCCCCTGTCTTCTTTTATGCCATTTGTTTGTTAAAATAACCAGATTATTTGTCCTGTTGCACCTCCTATGTTCTAGATTTGGTTGGTTACTTCCTTGTGATGTCATTTCACATATTCCTTAATTTCCCATATTTCTTCTAAACTGATAATCAAATGACAAGATTTGATTAGATGCTGGCTTAATTATTTTGCCCAGAATGCGTGATAGATATTCCATTCTGGGTAATGCTGTATGTTAGGATTAAGTCTGTAGATTCTAGTGTGGTCAGCGTGGTCCAGCCATTATTGAGCTCCCCATCAATCTTCACTTAATGATGTTAGCAGGCAATTTTTATAGCTGCCTAGATCCAGCCTCTCATTGGGGTTGTAAAATGATTATCTAATTCTATCATTTCTTCTGTACTTTTTAGCTGGAATTCTTCTACAAATATCACCTGAAAGTTAATGTGTACATATCATCCCCTCAAAAACTTAATTATATATGTCTTTACTACTTATTCAGAATGTGATGGTGCCCTAGAAACTTCCAAAGATGACCAATGTGGTTAACATCACTTGAAATCACATATTTTTACCTACTTAATATGTTTCAAAACATTACAGTCATTATTTTTGATGCTGAAATTGTCTTACATTTAGCTAGAGAAGTCTCTGCAAGTCCCCTGTATCCTCAAGATAATCCAGGCTTATCTTTTTTATTTCTAGATGCAGGAGTCAGATCTGGAATTGGTGATTTCTCCAAGAATGGCTGGTTCCCTTACATAGGAAAAAGTATTTGGAGAAAACAATCTGGGTATATCATAATTTTATGGCTTCAGATAATTAAATTGTTTGTTTGGCTAAACTGCCTTGGTAAGAAATTATGCTAACTTCACCTACAATTGCCAGTAAAAACACAAATAAATGTGTAGAGAGAAATGGCTTTGTGAGAACAGACTGTGAAACAATGTTGACGTTTTTGTGGCAGCACTTTTTACATAAGTAGGTAAAACAGTTGAACATTTGGCAAAAGAAAACAGAAATCACTAAATAGCTATATTACAGATTTGAAATGACTATCTTGTTATAAAAACGAGGAGAAGAAGAAACTAACATGGTTATCATGTTAACCATAAGGTGCTCATGCTGGAAGTATGTTTTGTCCCTGGGCACCACATTTGCAATATATACCAGTTAGCGCACAGCTACACTGCTGCATCTTGACTACGGGACCACATCTTATTTGTCATTCATTTATTTACCAAGCACACACCACGTGCTAAATACTTCATTACCAACTAAACTTAAAGATGCTAATAAAGTTTCATTTTTTGATTAGGGAGACATATGCTAATGGAAAATGTATACTTTGCTCCTTATGTCTTTAAGGCTATGTTTTTTTTCAGTTTTGGTATAGTTCAAACTTACCTACTTCAAGATACATTTTCATGTGAGATTTAGAGGGAAAAAAAAGAAAGCAAAGCATAAATCAGGTCATATTTACTTGCCAGATTAAATGCTAAAATCATTAAAAGATAAATTATTTGAAACAATGATTACTCCTCAGGAAATCCATAACAAATACAAAGAACGGTAGAGAAAGTACTTTTAATATATTATCTTTCTTTCTTTTTTTTTTTTTTAATTCTCCAAGCCTTTGTTCCTAAGGAAGCAAACCGCTGTTTCACTTCCCTGAAGCCACCGATAAAACCATGCAAGAACATCAGAGAAAAAATGAACCCGAGATAGGTGCCAAGCCCAAGGGAAAGCAGCGCTTCTTTGTTTTATATTTCCATTGGAAATCTGTAGATTTTGCATGCAAACATCTTATTTCATGGCACTGCTTCTCAAATTGAGAGATTAAATCTAGCTCCACATAAAGGTTTTTCAATAAAGTAGGTTGCGCAGTCTTCTGTTTATGGAAAATTGATGCGTCCTCTGATATGCTTTCAGTTGCTAACTTTTGTTTCACAAAAGCTGGAAGGAATTTCAACCAACCATTATCTAATCAAGAAAATATTTCCTACCTATCTTGTCTTCAACATAACTTGCTGCCAAATGTAGTTTCGACTATTGTAAATCACCATGCATTTTAACAAGAAAAACAGACTCTCTAGTTTTGTTAGAAAAGGTACAAATTGTAGAAACTATCCATCATTATCAGTGGAATGCCCCCAAATTTTTTGTGTGTCACAGGATGACTATTATATGACATAATTTAATGTTATGTTGTTTATACTATTTTATTTAAGTAGAATTTTTACAATCTTGACATGCAAACAGTTAGGTATTACAATTATTTCACCGGGTTTTCCCATGTTTACATTCAACTCTTACTACAGAGTGAAGCCTGAAATTTGGACATTTATTTAGCTGTAAAATTGACAATGTCAGCCAGGCATGGTGGCTCACACCTGTAATCCCAGCACCTTGGGAGCCCGAGGCAGGCAGGTCACCGGAGGTCAGGAGTTTTAGGCCAGCCTGGCCAACATGGTGAAACCCCACCTCTACTAAAAATACAAAAATTAGCCGGGTGTGGTGGTGAGCACTTGTATCCCAGCTACTTGGGAGGTTGAGGCAGGAGAATTGCTTGAACACAGCAGGTGGAGGTTGCAGTGAGCCGAGATCACACCATTGCACTCCAGCCTGGGTGACAAGAGCAAGACTCAGTCTCAAAAAGAAAAGAAAAGAAAAGAAAAGAAAAAAATTGACAATGTCTTATAACATCAAAATTCCTCCTGAGTTTAACATAAGATAAAGTGCAAGAGGAAGCAAACTAAATAGGAGTTGTGGGTTTTTTGTGGATTTCAAATAAAAAAAAAGTTATCCCGCTACCAATTCCTCATGGGCACCAAATGTGCTTGAGAAAATACACCTTAGCCTAAAGGTGGCTTCTGTCTCCAGGAATGTTTGTACCTGTCTCAATTCAAAGGGACAGCAATGTATGCTTATGACAGAGGACCCAAGCTGAGGAAGACTTTCAGGAACGTACCCTGGAGTCTTCTGAAATGCATGTTCAGAGAGGCAGGGAGGGGACTGCTGAACACTCAGGTCTGCCTAGGCACCCCTGGCCCTGTAACCTGAGGTGAGTCACTTTATATCTTTGTGCCTGTGCTTCTGGAGAATGGAAAATTTTTTCAGTCAGAGAAGGAGTAAAGTGCCTGAAACAGGGCCTGACACACGCAAAGTGCTCGACTGATGACAGGCATTGTTACTCATTGTAGGAGCTTCATCGCAGACCATGAACTGCCATCTATGTTGCCCATCCATTCATTCAACACTCATGTATTCATGTTTACAATGGAGATGTGTTATATGCACTTTCAACTTATAGGGTTGCAACTATTCAGATTCAGGACCATTTAAATTGCACAGTCCCAGCTGTTCACTGCACCTGTGATTGCCCAAGAGAGAACTGGAAACCCTGAAAGGGAAAGACACTTGCTATTCCCTCAAGTGGGCCTCAGTCCCCCTGGATCTCTCCTCATGTAAGCAGCAGACTGTGACTCTAGTGTTTGAAGAATAACCACAGCCTCTTGTGACCACTGTCTAAGCAAAAGCAGGGATCTGTTTATTCCTAAACTGAAAAAAATTCAGGCTGTGTTGAGAGGATGGACACACACACACACACAAATATGGGCCTTCCTAGGGATTTGCAAGCATCATGTTCCCATACCTGTGATCATGTCCTTATCCCCTTTCTCTGGGACCTAATCCTCTGTATGGTGATTCCTGTGTGGTGTGTGGCAGATGGTAAAGACAGTCTTGTCAAGAGCATGCAGTTGTCCTCAGAAGCTAATACCCTACTGTGGTTGTCCTCAAACTTAGTGTACATAAGAATTATCCGGGGTGCCTGTTATAGTGCAGATTCTTGTGTCCTGTCCCTAGAGTTTCTGATTCAGTGGTGCTGGGGTATGACTTAACTCTAACCCCATGCTGAATAAGCATCCCAGGTGTCACAGGTGCATGCACCCCCAGCCCACCACCTGGTCTGATGGTCAAGAAGACTTTGATTCTAAGGAGCACTTTGTGGAAAAAGAAACAGGAATGTGTCATGGAACCTACAAGCCCGAGTAGAGCAAGATCTAATGAGGGAGTTGAACCAGAAGAGAACAGAGCTGTAGCACAGCTGCTATGAGTGACAGCAGAGGTGGAGCACGGGACAGCATCCCATCCAGCTGCAGCCTTGGCATCTGTGGACCCCTCCACTTGAGAGCCCCGAAGCCGCTAAAGGAGATTCATTCAGGCCCAGGTTCCTTATCATAGTGGGGCGCTCTTGTTCATCTGCTGCAGGAATCAAGCCCAGAGGAACCTCCAGACAAAGGGGACTTGCCTCCTCCCTGTTAGCACTGGTTAAGGACCCGGTCATGCAACGGCCCAACAGAGCTGACCAACAGAGCAGCATGGGCCGGAAGAGAGAGGGTCTGACTCAGGATCCCTCAGCCCTCATCCATGCATGGCAGGCTCACTACTTTGAGGACCTGTGAGCTGGCCACGGGGCCTGTGCTGGCAGGACAAAGTGATGGCACTGCAAAGGCAGGGCCAGACTCCCATAGGGTGTGTAGGACCTGTGAGAGCTGAAAGGAAACCAAGTCCATAGGCAGGGCCACCAGATGCTCAGTGTGCCAAGTAGGACAGGCCCAAGTTCAACATATGTAGACATGAGCCCCAGACACCAGCAAAGTAGTTTGGAATGAGTGCAGAGCAGTCACTGAGCCCAAGATCTTGAGGGAGGGGGGAGCCCTCCCCTGTCCCATATGATCGTCTATCGCAGAGAAGAATCTGAGAATGAACAATTTTCCTTCCAGTGGGTGAATTCACTCTCAAAGGTATATTTACATTATTGACTAAAATGACCTTTTTAAATATCGAGACCAGTGGTTCTCAAAATGTGGTCCCTGACCCAGAAGCATGGCATCACCCAGGAATTTGTTAGGAAAACAAATTCCTGGGTCCCACCCCAGACTCCTGAATCAGAAGCTCTGGGAGTGGGGCCCAGCAGCCAGTGCTTTAAGCCCTTTGGGGGATTCTGATGATGCTAAGCTTTAGGAACCACCAGTCTAGACTTGAGTTTCCCAAACTTGTCCACACATTAGAGTCACCTGGGTAGCTTCCAAGTCTCCCAATGCCTGTGTCCCAGCCCCAGGGACTATGATTTAATCAGCTCAGGTGTGGCCTGGACTCAAATTTTTTTTAAGATCACAGGTAATCTAATGCACAGACAGGTTTGGGAACTCCTATGCAAGACTGATTTCGTATTTCTACTGTACTAGAGGAAAGATGGTAGTAGAGGATTACAGAGAGGAAGGCAGCTCCATTTCCTCTCCACAGCTGACAGAGTGCAGGTAATCCTATAGCCTTTTCATGGCTTTTGTTTCTTGCTCTCTCTAAGGGTGTTTCTCTTCTCCTCCTAAAGGGCTATTCTATCCTGGCTATAACCTCCTCTGCATCCATGTTGCCTGTGGGCCTTTCTTGAGCAGGGGCTGTGCTTCCTACACTGTATTCTGGTGAGGCTGTCCTGGAAAAGGCTGCAAAGAGTGGGGGTCTTCCCATGACTCAGTGGGTTTTCCCCCGGCTGCCAGTCATCTGGGGGAGGGAGGGTCTTCAGAAAGGACCCTGTGGCTTTGAGGGAGGGCCTCTGTCCAGCAGAAAGGTAAGTTAGTCATGGCTCATTCTCTAGGCTTCTTCCTCTTGGGCCTGAACACAGGTTTAAGCCAGCATAAGCCACTGTGTGATGGGGCAGTGATCCACCCCCTAAGACCAGGTGGTGGGGGTAGCAGCAATTTGTGCAGTGACATCCCAAGGTGACAGTGAAGCTGAAGTCCAGGATCTGGACATTGACGTTCAGCCACATCCTCACTGCATAGCTCGTTCCTCAGATGAACTAGATTTAGTTCTGTTAAGAGAATTTGGGGCTTTCTTACGGAGACCGAGAGCTCCTGGGCTCTCTTGAGGACCATATGGCTCCCTGCCCAAACCTGAGAGCTGATTTCCTCAAGACACCACATTCTCCAAACTCACCTCTCCTCTCTCCTTTTTCTCCATTCTTCGAATCCCATCCCCTCAGGAAGATGTGAAAGGCCTGATGATCCTCACAGAATCGTATTTGGGTATTCTCCAAATCCATTGCCATGTGTGGAACATGCATCCCTGAGGACACGCTGATGCTTCAGGATCATCAGGTGATGCTCAGTGGTCCCTGACAGCTCCCCGGGAGCAGAGTGGAAAGGGCGTGTGAGGTAGGTGGTGGTCAGAGATCTGATGCCCAGACACTTTTTGTGCCATTTAAACACTACAAATGGATGATGGCCGCATAACTTGGCAACCACTAAATCCTGGGAACACAGGCATCTATAAGAAGTGGCTCTGGTCCTCAAGGAGACTTTAGGTCTGGTGCATAAGACAGCACAGGTCCTCATCAGGAATAAGGATGGTAATAGGGGAAGCTGTTCGGTGACATAAACTAAAATATATTTCTGCATATAAAAATAGCCCTCAGGAGCTATTTCTTGCATAGGCAAGACTTAGACTTGGGACATTAAGCAGGTGTTTGTGGAACTCCAGAGCTGAGACCCTGAGGGCAGAGGGAGGACATGCCTTTCACTTTGTGCCAGAGGGGACCAGGGAAAGAACTGGCCATGAATGGTGTCCTTGGCTGCATTTGGTGTTATTGACAATTGAAGAGCTGTAATGATAGAGCTTGATTATCTGCCCAGAGGTTTAGGACAAAACTGTACCTACAGAAGGGGATGGGTGTCTCCTGAGAGGGACTTTCCCTCCATGGGAAAGAAAGGCGCACAGGTCTGAGGAATAGTAACTAGGGTGGGACATGCTGCTCCCCAAAGAGCTGATGTCTCCTCCCACGGAGAAGCCATTAGTGTGGCGGCCTTGGCTGTGCTCAGCCACCACCTCTCTGCTTTTACAGCAGTGACACCGACTGACGCCAGCACAGCTGAGGGAGTGATTCCAGTTCTGGACTCAGGATGGGAAACTCACTTGGTTCCAGATATAAGCTACATTCTTCAAGTTACACTATCAGTAAAAAGAGATGATATTTTGACTTCCATCAGCTAATATTTTTGTCTAATTTCTCAAATAATTCATGACTTAGGCAGCAAACAGCACCATACTGCATTGGACCCTCTCAAACCTACATGTACAAAATGGGTACTGAAAAGGGAATCACATGAACAGAAAGTGAATCCCCCTCATGTGTCTATACTGGGCTGAATAGTGTACCCCAAAGTTCATGCCCAACCAGAACCTCAGAATGCGTACCTATTTGGAATAAGGGTCTTTGCAGGTGTAATTAGTTAAGGTAAGATGAGGTCATACTAGATTAGGGTGGGCCCTAAATCCAATGACTGGCATCCTTAGAAGAAGGCTTTGTGAGGCCGGGCACAGTGGCTTACACCTGTATCCCAGCACTTTGGGAGGCTGAGGCAGGCAGATCATGAGGTCAAAAGATTGAGACCTTCCTGGCCAACATGGTGAAAGCCTGTCTCTACTAAAAATACAAAAATTAGCTGGGCATGGTGACATGCAGTTGTAGTGCCAGCTACTTGGGAGGCTGAGGCAAGAGAATCACTTGAACCCAGGAGGTGGAGGTTGCAGTGAGCCGAGATCACACCACTGCACCCCAGCCTGGCGACAGAGAGAGATTCCATCTCAAAAAAAAAAGAAGGCCATGTGAAGACTCAGAGAGAGACACACAGAGAGAAGGCCATGTGGCAACAGAGCCAGAGACTGGAGGGAGCCACAGTCTCTGGCAGCCCCAGGCCAAGGCAGGCCAAGGATCGCTAGTGGCCGCTGGAAACTGGGAAGGGGCAAGGAAGGGTCCCTCCCTAAAACCTGCAAAGGAAGCATCATCCTGCCAACACCTTGATTTCAGACTTTTGACCTGCAGAACTGTGAGAAAATACATTTCTGTTGCTTTCTTTTTTAAGTGAGTTATGGAGAAAATGTTCTGTAATTAGACAGCAGTAATGGTTGTACAACTCGGTAAATCTACTCAACGCTGAATTGTGTGCCTTTAGATGGTGAATTTTATGTCATGTAAATTATATCTTAATAAAACAAAATACATTTTGAAAAAGCTTTAAATGTGAATCATAGATTGGGATAAGGGGAGCGGGGAGTCTTTCCCTACGAGCTTCCAAAGGTTAGGCCCAGAATCTCAGGTGAGGAGGCACCAAAACTCTCCCAGGGCTCAAGGCAAGTGTGGTCACTGCAGAGTGAAGGTTGGCCAGGGTGTGGGCTGCGGGGATGCTTTTTTTTTTTTTTTTTTTTTTTTTTAGATGGAGCCTTGCTCTGTCCCCTAGGCTGGAGTGCAGTGGCACAATTTCAGCTCACTACAACCTCCACCTCCCGGGTTCGAGTGATTCTCCTGCCTCAGCCTCCTGTGTAGCTGGGATTTCAGGCCTGCCACCATGCCCGGCTAATGCTTGTATTTTTAGTAGAGACGGAGTTTCAACATGTTAGTCAGGCTGGTCTTGAACTCCTAACCTCGTGAGCCTCCTGCCTCAGCCTCCCAAAGTGCTGGGATTACAGGTGTGAGCCACCTCGCTAGGCCAGGATACTCCTTAGGTCCCCCAGGCCACGCCTTTGTATGTAGGCTCTTTGCATGTCCATATCTGGCAGTTGTTCTTAGTTAATCCTTGTGATGTTACCTTTATTCAATTATGAAATTTAATTGATGTCTCATAGAAAATTACAGTCTGAGTTTTTCTATCAATATAGGCAATGAAGAAAAGGATCCATGCTCACGATGGAAACATAGTAGTGAGCAGGGAGCAGTGTGCATGAGGCAATGGTCTTGAGACTGCAAGAGGAGACCTGTGGGAGAGGAAGCTGTGTCCCAGGAATGACAAGAACAGTGTGTGAACCCTGACCATTAGCTGAGGTGCTGGCAACAACCACCAGGAGTCCCCAAAAACACCCAGCAAGAATCCCCTCAGAAAAGGCTGAAATGTCTATAACCTAAGTAGTCATGGGAATTTGAGCCATTGCTATGCTGTTATTTAGGCATGAAAAGGAAGTGTTCCCTTAATTTTCAGTCACATGCACGTGAAGCCAGGTCACTTGCAGGATGTATTTATAATTTCGATGTAAATTTAATTTATACGATATTGACCTTTTTCTGAAATTTACATTTTTTCATAATAGCAAATAATATGGTAAATAATTTCCTACATTAGTAAATATTAATAATTATACTAAATCAATAAGAAGAATATTAAATATTCTCTAACATAATTTAGATGGTTATATAATTTGCCATTATGTGGGACTACTATAATTTAGACAATGAATCATGTATCATGTGACATATATTATTTTTATAAACAAAATTTTTTAACTGCATCTTTGCACAATTTACGTTTGTTTCCTTAGCATATAAGAAAAGTCCGCTTTTACCCTATATCCCTCATCTTAGAGGCTGTTCCCATGTCCCCTTCTCAGAGAGTTTGCTCCCATGGACACTAAGGTAAAGCAAAGGATGTAACAAGAGCTGCCATGTTCCTGAGGCCTCCCAGATCACAGTTCCATCTCACGCATAATCTCACACATTTCTCTCTAAGGTTCTGAGTTGGTATCACAAGTTTCCCCTTTGTTGGGTCAAATAAGTTTCTGGGTTGTTGTTTTGCAGTGTTTTTTATTGGTGCTTTTTTGTTTTGACAATAAAGTGATCATGATTGGACACTTATGATATAGCCTGTAGGAGGAATTGTTGGATTCAAGTGAATAAAAGCATTCACAGAGAGTATATTCATGTACACAGGTACACATACGCAACCCACACTGGTATTTTTGGTCAAATACCAGTCCAGTTGCTGCTGTGAAGATACTTTTTGGATTTGGTTAACATTTAAATTAGTAGACTTTGAGTAAAGCAGATGACCTTTCACAATGTGAGTGGGGCTTGTCCAATCATTTGAAGGTCTTGACCTTAACATCTACAGGACATATGCACACATATTGAATACTGCCCTCCAAAATGGTTTCACCAGTCTCCATTCCTGTACACATTTTCTAAATCTATTAGCAAGGGCATCATTTTCCCAAACTTTTAGGTGAAAAAAAAAAATAGTATTTTAATGCTCTTTTATTTGCAAATTTTTACAATTAATGAGGTCGAATTTTTTCCAGCACAGATATGGTCATTTGTTTCTTCTTTCATAAATTGCCTCTTTTTATCCTTTATTTTCCTATTTGGATAATTATGCCTTTCTTATTGATTTCTAGATAATTTCCTCACCTATAGTTTGCAAATATATCCCATTTTTGAGTGTTAATGTGCTCAAGTATATCAACAGGTTTACAACTCCTGCCTAAGTGTGATATTTTAAAAAATCTTCTTTGTCCCAAGATTATGTTTATATTCATGTGTATTTTCTTTCATATTTTGTATACTCTTTTTTTATATTTACATTTTTAATTTGTCTGGAATCTATGTGGTTTATGGTCTAAGTCAGAAAATTAAATTCATATTTTTCAAAATGCTTTGTCAGTTGCCTCAACACCTTGTATTCATTAAATACATTCTGTCTTCACTTATTTGAAATTCTGCATTTATCATATATTAAATTCTTAAGTATATTTGCTCTCTTTTAGAAATCTGGTTTATTTCTTTAATTTGATATTCTAGTATTATGCTGTTTCTAAATCCTGTGTCTTCGTAAATATGTGTGAAGGTCTTGATAAAGCAAATTTTCCCCTCTTCATTAATTTCCTAATATTTACTTTTGATATTTTTATTTCTTTATTTTTCCAGGCCAACTTTGAGATTATATGGGCATTGGGTCCTTCCACACCCATAAAAATCATCAACTTCTCTTCCTTTGTCTCCTAATCATCATTGTAATTTTCATCCTGGTGAGCATTTCACTGAATTTATCTTAAATGTTTAGAATTAGAATAAGGAGAAGAGAATAGAAATACTTGTATCAGTCAGGGACCTCCAGAGAAACAGAACAAATTAGAATATGCATGTCTATGGAGAGAGGTTTATTTTACGGAATTGGCTCTTAAGATTGCAGAGCTGACAGGTCCTAAATCTGCAGGACAGGCCAGCAGGCTGGAGACTCAGGGAAGATCTGATGTTGCCCAGTCAAGTCTGAAGGCAGTCAGGAGGAGAATTCCTTCTTCTGCTGGGGATGTCAAGCTTTCCTCTTAAGACCTTCAACTGATTGGACAAGCCCCAATCACATTATGAAACGTCATCTGCTTTACTAAAGTCTACTAATTTAAATGTTAGTCAAAACTAAAAAGTATCTTCACAGCAGCATCTGGACTGGTATCTGACCAAAAACTAGGTACCATGGTCTAGCCACATTTACATAAAATTAACCATCACAATAGTCATAAGATTTGGTTTTCTCTTACTGAAATGCGGTATAATTGGGATTTATTCAAATCTTCTTTTATATCCATCCATAAAGTTTTGTAATTTTTCCTTATTGGCCTAACAATTCCTGTAAAGATTATTTGTAAGTAGTTAATAATTTTTGTAATCATGATGAGTTTAACACTTTTATTTTATTACATGTGCTCATATGTTGTTGCTGACACTAAGAAACCTATAGGTCAAAAGATGCAAACTAGGGCCACATGAGCACGGCAGCACCCAGCCAGGACTCTGCTGCAGCTGCCGTTTGTAGATGGAGCTCTCTGTCTCCAAAGAAGCACAGGCCTGTTGTTCTTCTGGTTGTGCTACAGTAAAATGAACCTGGGTTTTCTGAACATGTGGTTGAATGTCAGTTGCTACCTATCGTTTCACTTGTGATATTGATTTTATTAATCTTAAAGTTATGTGAATGTTAACTATTTCTCATATCTATATCTTATTCAAAATCTGGGAAAATAAAAGACTAAGGAAAATAAATCTTTTTTTCTCTAAAGAGAGAATGGTTATTTTTCAAAGGGAAGAATATCATTTCCAGTGTAATATGAAAATTTAATTAAGATGTCATTGTACAACCAACCAGAGTTTGAATATATATATGTATATGTACGTGTGTGTGTGTGTGTGTGTGTGTGTGTGTGTGTGTGTGTGTGTATTAGTCCATTTTCATGCTGCTGATAAAGACATACCCAGGACTGGGCAATTTACAAAAGAAAGAGGTTAATGTACTTACAGTTCCACATGGCTGGGGAGGCCTCACAGTCATGGCAGAAGTCAAGGAAGAGCAAGTCACATCTTACACAGATGGCAGCAAGCAAAGAGAGAGAGTTTGTGTAGGGGAACTCCCGTTTTTGAAACCATCAGATCTCATGAGACTTATTCACTATCATGAGAACAGCACAGGAAAGACCCACCCCCATGATTCAATTCTTTCCCCCAGGTCCCTCCCACAACATGTGGGAACTATGGGAGCTACAAGATGAGATTTGGGTGGGGATGCAGAGTCAAACTATATCAGTGTGTGTGTGTGAGTGTGTGTATATATGTTTGTGTGTGTGTATATTTATAGATTTGCAAAAGATAAGTTAATTAAATCTTAATAAACTGAAATGAAAACCAAAAATTTGATTCAGAATTTGAATAAAATGGTTGGGCTGCAGTAAAATGAAGTCATATGTTAAATAGAAAAAATTCCCTGGGCATTGAAACATTTTCCAGATAATGAGTTTATATAGGAGTACCTATTCAGTGCAGCAAAAATTGCATGTCTCTAACAAATATGCATTTACAAATTAAGTCTGCTGGGAAATACTATGTTGGACAAGACTCCATTCCCCGGCCTCCTTTGTGGCAATGCTGGCCACGTGATTAAGCTGACACCAATACAAAGTGCAAATGTATGAAATGTGAACAAAGGAGATGGATCTTAATGAGGTATCACTTGCTAAGGAAAATGCCTGCCTTATACTTCAGCAATTTCTCTTTCTAAAGATGGATTCCCAGAACATCACTTCAAATATGTGGACAAGTTAAACACCCCAAGAAAAGCCAGAACAAGATGGAGCTTGGGTTTCTAAATGACTGCAGCAGGCAGTGCAGCTCAGCCAGCCTAGTCCCCACACACCTTGAAACTATTACATGACAGTAAAACCAACTTCCTTTTTTTCCTTTTTCTTTCCTGCCACTGTAGTTCTGGATCTCTTTGTTACAGAAGCTTGAATTTTTGCCCAAATATCCTCAGTTTGTTGAAAATATGGCTAAGAACTTTGAGAAGAAGTTTCATAGAATTGTAAAATTACTTCTGGTATTTTCTGTCATAGCTGATAACACACACACACACACACACACACACAAAATACCACTTTATTAGCTGTTTTAAGGTGTCCTTGAGAAATTTTATGAACCAGAAGAAATTTTGGAGGAAGTATCCATGGCAACACAAAACAGAGAATAACTTATTTTTGGTGTCTGAAGAATTTTAATACAACTTGCCCAAATTGGTAAGTCTACCTGCAGATGATGCTCCTTCCATGCCAGGTGTTAGCACCCTATTGCCAGGAAATCTACACCTTGCCAGGAAAATGAGAGGTGGAGACTTTTCATTTTACATGTTGCTGCATTTACTAGGACACACTTTGAGCTTGAAAAAGTAAAAACAGAATATAGCATGCATCTCGGGTTATTAACACCATAATCTGGATATACTCAAGTGGCCTGACCCTTGGACAAATGTTCACTGCTGTCCTTGATGCCTTCAATACACATTACAGTAATCTGCTGTTCTGTGCAGAGGGAAGTAATTTAGCAGAATATTAGAAACAAACTGACTTGTTGGCTCATCCAAGGGATATTCTCCACATCAGTTCACAAAGACTCAACCAAAGACATGGCCTTTGCTTTGACAAATAGTCCTACATACTTTGAAAATACCCTATAAGAGACTCCATAGACAGATACCCAGTTATTGTTTGACACGCTTAGACGTGATGAAATTGGGTCTGGTGGATTTTTCTACATTGCAATCAAATTCCAAAGACAAAAATATGCTAGCATGAACTATATTCCCTAAATAGTGAGGTTTAAGACTGAATTTAAAAACAGGTTCTTTTAATAATTAACACAATGGGCTTACAATGCACTGGGCATCATCCCAAAATTTTACATATTTAATTTAATCCTTCCTCTAATGTAGGTGCTGTTATTGTCATCACCTTACAGACCACTTTACTGAGGCCCCGAGAGGTTGAGAAATTGGTCCGAGGTCACAATTCCTAAGTGTTGGAGCCAGGGTAGAATCCAGGCAGTGTGGCTACAGAGTTAATGCTCTTAACCTTGAAACCATATTGTTCATACAGTCCACTATATCCTAACTTCCGCTTTTGAGAAAACAACTAAGTGATCCCTTCACCTTTATCAGAATAAGACTGAAGGAAGAGCTACAGATGAAAGTTTCTGAGCTCAGTACAGTACTGTGGTACATATTTACAACATTACATCAGAATTCCACAATTCTACAAATATCTGGGTGTGATTTCACAGAATAGAAAAATCATTGTGTAAGTATTCTGTTAGGTTAGGAATTTCCTAAATTTGTGAGCAGCTGTTTTCAATTATGAAATATGAAACTATATAAAACAAAATATTGCTCCCAGTTAAAGAACTCAAGGTTGAATTCTGTTCTACACATTAAGATGGAAACAAAAAACTTGGTATTTATATCTTAATACACAATGTGTCATATTTTTCAGATTTAAATCAGCATTCCCCAAGTGAGAAAAAAATTATAAAACAAAATTGTTCCAATTTATCAATTTGTATTTTTCTATTTCAAATTTAAAATATAATCTTCAGTATCACAGATGTTTATATTGCTTGTTTAAACCAAAATTCAATAAAAGAAAAAATTTGTATTACCTTCCTAACAGTTTATTTTATTTCATTCATTTTCATTATGGGAAAATGCTGCAAGCATTTGAACTGTGACCCTGGTTATAGATCAGCGTGGGCTTATTGATTAACTGGCAACCTTACTAAACTCTCCGTAGTTCTAATATTTTCTTCAATGAGTTTTGGGGATTCCAGAGGAAAAATGATAAGAACAAATAAAATAACATTACATCTTTCTTTCTAATATTTATAAATCCAATTTAGTTTTACAGCTTAATAGTTGGCCTTTCCAGATTAAATTTCAGTGACAGTAAAATAAAGATGATAGTGGTGGATTTTTTGTCATTCAGAGGTATAATTTTTATACAGTGCAATTAACAGATCTCAAGTGTACAGTTCAGTGAGTTTGGCAAACCCATACTCGACATAAACCACGTGTCAGTCAAGATATAGAACATCAAGAAGAGGGTATGTTCTGCTGTTGCTTGTTCCATTCAGCTGGAAGACAGCTGTTGCAGGTTCTGTTGCCATAGGACATCCCCCAATCAGAGGAATATCAGAGTTTCATAAAAGGCCTGCAGAGCCAATGGAACCAGATGTGACAACCAGCCCTGGCCTTTGGCATCCACCATACTTCTTCCCCCTCCTGAACTCCTGACCTGATGGGGTGCTTGTTCTTTGGGTGGGTTTATAGATGACTTCTTGGACAAAGGGTTGACTGGCACAGAGGCGGCAAAGAGGTAGTGATCAATGGAGTTCTGTGGGTTCACTCCTTATTCTCCCTCTTCCAAACTCTGTAGTATGATGAGAACTAGCGTGTGTGTTTTGACCCTGCCTGTGCATACATTACAGCATAGGGCAGCTGATATTCCCAGGGAGATTTAAAGTCATAGGTCTAAAGAATAGATAAGAGAACAACACAACCACTTAAAAAATCACAAATGCAAAAAACAGATTGCAGAAAGGAGAGTTATTAGATCATTGAGCAAAGAATTTTAAATAAGCATAATAATACCTCTAAGGCATAAGGAAGCATATTAATATGAAGCAGGAAGAAGTCATAAAAAGAACCAAATGAAATATAAAATATGAAAATTATAGGAGTCGAAATAAAAAACATAATTCAATGCAATCTGAATCAAAATTCTGACTGGAAGTTTTGTAAAGGACTTGATAGATTTATTTTAAGTGTCTATTGAAGAATAAAGGTCTATGAATAGCTAAGTTAACTTTTAAATAGGAGGCAACTTTGAGAGGAAGAACTTGCTCTCCCTAATATTAAGACATACCACAGTAATAGCAACAGTATAGGACTGGCATGGAAACAAATAAAACATAACTGGGAACTTGGAGATAGATCTACCTATAAATGGAAACTAATGCATTATAAAGAAGAAAACTAAGTCAAGGAGCTAAAAAGAAGGTGATCACTACGCAAAGAAAAATAAAACTGGATCCTAACCTAAAATCGTATACAAATGTTATAGGTAGATAAAACACCTAAAGGTGAAAGATAGAACTAAAATGTTAATAGAAGTTATTATAAGAACATATCTTCATGCCTCAAGGATAGAAAAATTATTCATTTTTGGTTTGTTTGTTTTTAATCTCACAAATTAGTACTTTATGCAAAGCTTACACATATATACAACTGTGTAACTATTACAAAGATCAAACTATATATAGATATTTGCCACCCCAGGAAGTTCCTTTGTGCTTTTTCTCAGGAAGAAAAGAATTCCAGCCATCATTCAGGCAACTATTAGACTAATTTTGACTATTCTTGAACATTATAGAAATGTAATTAGGCAATATCTCCTCTTTTGAGTCTGACTTCTTTTGCTTAACAAATGTTTTTGAGATTCATCTACGTTGTTGTGTGTGTCTGAGTTCTTTTTATTGTTGTGCAATATTCCATTGCATGAATGTAGCACAATTGTTTATCCTTTCTCCAACTGACACTGGAGTTCTTTTCCTGCTTAGGGACCATTATGAAAAAAGTTGCTATGGCCATTTCGCACATCTCTTTTTGTAGTCATATGCATTTATTTTTCTTGGGTCTATACCTGGGAATGGAATCGCATGCCTATAGGGTAGGCGTATATTTAGTATTATTAAACTGCCAAACAGTTTTTCCAACATGTTTGAACAAAGTTACATTTCCACCAACCACCCATGACCAGTTGCAATTTGTTCTACATCCTCACCAAAACTTGATATTTTCTATCTCTTTTTAATTTTAGACATTCTGATGGATGTGTAGAAGTATCACACTGTGGTTTTAATTTGCATTTCCCTAGTGATTAATAAAGTTGGGCACCTTTTAATATGCGTATTAACCACTTAAATTCCCTCCTTTGTGAGGAGATTATTCAAACTTTGCTCCATTTTTAATAAATATCTATTGATATGGTTTGGCTGTATTCTTACCCAAATCTCATCCTAAATTGTAGCCTTTATAATTCCCACATGTCGTGGGAGGGACCCAGTGGGAGATAATTGAATCATGGGGGCAGGTCTTTCCCATGCTGTTCTTGTGATTGTGAATAAGTCTCATGAGATCTGATGATTTTATAAAGTGGAGTTCCCCCATACCTGCTCTCTCTTGCCTGATACCATGTAAGACGTGACTGTGCTCCTCTTTTGCCTTCTGCCATGATTGTGAGGCCTCCCCAGCCATGTGGAACTGTGAGTTAATTAAACCTCTTTCCTTTATGAATTACCCAGTCTCGAGTATATCTTTATTAGCAGCATGAAAAGGAACTAATACATCTGTCTTTTCTTTTTTGATTGTAGAAATTCATTATATAATCTGAGTACATGTTATTTGACAATAAATTTATCGTGATTATCTTCTCTTAGTCTGTGACTTGCCTATTCACATTCTTAATGACATTGTTTGATAAACATAATTCCATAACTAAACCAGAGTTAAAATTACACTATGTTTAGTGCTTATAGGATGCTGCTAGTGCTGGCTTTGCTACCCCAAGGTTGTTAAGATATTGTTGTATATTTTCTTTGAGAAGATCTAAGTATTATTTGGGTATAATCCACCATAAATTAATTTTTGAGTATTGTGTAACATCAACAGTCAAGGTTCATTTTCTTCTTTATACAGATATAAAATTGCTCCAGCATTATTTTTTTAGAATATCATCCTTTTCCTACTGAATTACAGTAGTGTCTTTGTTGTAAATCGAGTGACAGAATATGTGTGAGTCTATTTCTGGACTAATTTATACCAATGGAATATTTGTCTATTGATCAAGTGCTAATTGTATTTATTTATTTTTTTTTTTTGAGATGGAGTCTCACTCTATCGCCCAGGCCTACTCTCGGCTCACTACAACCTCTGCCTCTCAGGTTCAAGTGATTCTCCCACTTCAGACTTCCGAGTAACTGGGATTACAGGTGTGCACCACCACGCTCAGCTAATTTTTGTATTTTTAGTAGAGACAGGGTTTCACCATGTAGGTCAGGCTAGTCTCAAGCTCCTGACCTCAAGTGATCTGCCCACCTTGGCCTCCCAAAGTGCTAGGATTACAGGTGTGAGCCACCACGCCCAGCCTGCTAATTGTATTTCAATTACTGTAGCTTTATAGCAAATTTTGAAATCTGGTAGTGAAAATTTCCTGTTTTCTTCAAGATTACCTTGCCTCTTTTAGGTCCTTTGCATTTCCCTATAATTTTAGAATTTAGAAATCTGCCAACCTCCAAAAATTTTGCAGAAGTTTTGATTGTGATGTTCTGAATACATAGATCAATTTTAAAATAATTGCCAGATAAACAAATAAGTCTTTTAGTCTATGCACCTGATATATGATCATGGCTTCCATGATCCTTACCTCCTGGGGTACATTCTTTTCTATCATCCCCTTCTTTTGTGTGTAGGTGGGACCTGGAACTTGTTTCAAACCAATAGAACATGACACAGATGATGGGCTGTCACTGCTTTGACTACATTACATTATTATAAGGCTCTATCTTACTATTAGTTTTACTTTTGAAGCAAACTGCCATCATGTAAACTGCCTAAGGAAAGGGCCACATGGCAGGGAACTGCAAGCAGCCTGGAGAAGCTGAGCATCACTTCCAGCAGACAGCTAGCAAAGAGGCACACAGTTCTACAACTACAAGGAAATGAATTCTGCTAACTACCTAAGTAAGTGTGGGAGTGTGTTCTTTTCCAGTCAAGTCTCCAGTTGAGAGCCCTGCTACCATCAGCTAGTTTGCAAACTGGTAAGAACCTGAGGCAGATAACCCAATTTAGCTGTGCCCAAGTTTCCGACCCACACAAACTGTGAAATAATAAATATGTGTTAAGTTACTAAGTTTGTGGTAATTTTATACACAGCAACAGATAAATAGTACACCATTTATTTAGGTCTTCTTTAATATCAGCAATGTTTCATGATTTTCAATGTAGAGGTCCTGCATATCTCTCAGTGTATTATAAATGACATTTTATCTGATTTTCTAATTGTTTATTGCTAGCATTCAGAAATAATATTGTTTTTATGCTGACCTTGAATTCAGAAATCCTGTTACATTCACTTATTGACTATAATAGTTCATTTCTAGATTCCTTTGAATTTTCTATCCAATGTTATCTGAGAATAAAGACTGTTGTACTGTTTTCCAGTCTTTACATATTTTGCTTCTTTTCTCACTTCACTGAGCTGATTAGAACATCTACTACAATACTGAATGTAAGTGGGAATATGGGGCATCTTTGTTGCATTCCTAAAATCAGGGAGAAAGTGTTTAATATTTCTCCATTAAGTATATCACTATCAGTAATATTTATAGATATTCTTTTTAAAATTAGAAAGTTCTCTCTTCCTAGTTTGCTGAGGGTTTCAAAATGAATCAGTGTTACGTTTTATCAACTGCTTTTTCTTCATCAAATCAGATTTCATAATTTTTCTCATTTGATTTTTAAATGTGGTGATTATTGAGTTCAGAATGTTAAAATAAATTTTCATCCCCAGAATGAGCTCTACTTGAACATGATTTATTATCTCTTTTTTATGTTGCCAAATGTTGGCTGCTAATAATTTGTTCTTGAGAGACATCAGCTTTTATTTTCCTTTGTTCTTATGTCCTTATGTGGTTGTAGTATCAAGATTATATTCACTTTGTAAAACAATGAAAAGATGTTTTCCTTTTTATTCTCAGAAAGAATTTATGTAAGATTAATAAATTTTGTATTAAATGTACAGGAGAGGTCACTGAATTTATGTAAGATTAATAAATTTTGTATTAAATGTACAGGAGAGGTCACCAGTAAAGCCATCTGGTCCAGAAGTTTTATTTGTGGGATGATATTTGATTCATTTTATGAAGATATTAAATACTTAAATTTTTGTGCTGCTTCTTGTGTTCGTTTTGATAAGTTTTTTTCCCCAAGGAATTTGTTCATTTCATTTAGATTTTCAATTTTAATAGCATAAAGTTCTTTAGAATATCCTTGCATCATTCTTTAGATGTTGTCAAATCTGTAGTAATTGTTCTCTTTTAAACATACGATGGTAATTTGTGTTTTCCTTCTCTCTTGTTTTTTTTCTTGTAGCATCTTACCAGTGATGTATCAATGTTTTTTAAAAGAACCAACTTTTGACCTGGTTGATTTTCTCTATTATATGTCTGTTTTCTTTTTCATTTACTCTTATTTTAATTATTCCCTTTCAGCTCAGAGTAATTACTAAATTCTATTATAATTGCTTCTTTGATCTATGAGTCATTTACAAGTGTGTTTTTAAAAAAAATTCTGAGAGATTTTCAATTTATCTTCCTGTTTTTGAATTATAATGTAATTCCTCAGTCTCTCTCTCCTCTTTCTGGGGGGACCCCACTTACACTTCTGTTAAACCTTCTATGTCCTACATGGCTTTTACCCTCTATCTCTAGGATTATGGTGTTTTGTTTTTCATTTTTTTTCTCTCTATGCTTCCATTTAGCTATACCAATCTCTTTTTGAACTCATTATTTCTGATTTCTACTCTGTCTCTCCAGCCCGAGGTTAATTCATTCACTGTTTCATTTATTTCCAATATTTCAATTATTAGATATCCATTTGATTATTTTAATTCTGTATTAAAATACTTTTTGGTTCACCCATCTTATCCATCTTTTCCTGAGTTTGCTTTAGCATATTACCGAGAGTTACATGAAGTCCTCCTCTACAGGACCAACACTAAGATGCAGCACATGAGGCACCCAGAGCACATCATCAAACGAGGTCTTCATTCTGAGTCATGCAAGTTTGCACCCCAGGCACTTTCCCCCCCAGGCCTAATTTTTCAGAAACTTGTTTTATTTCTGGAGCCTATCCTTCCTCCTAGGGTATGGCCTTCCTGGGTTCTCAGAAGTGTTTACCAAAGTCCTTCCACTCCGACTAGCCAAAATTTTAACATATTCCACTCTGACCTCTAAAATATCTATTCAGCTTTTGGCCTCTCAGTGCTGTTGAGTTCTGCCTTCTACAGTCCCATCTTGGGCATGCACAGCTTTGGAGTTGGCTGAGGAAACAAGCAATATTTTCAAACTGATTTTTTTGAGCTTCCTTTCTGCAGCTTCCTCTCATCCAGTGCCCAACCACACAAATCCCAGCCACCCTAGCAATCCAAACTCCCATCTTTGTTTATTTTATTGTATGAAATTACTGCTGTATGCGGGGACTCTATTTTTCTGTGCCATGGTTTGGAAAATGCCCTTAGGGAGTAAGTCTGAGTAAATATGGAGCTCACCTCCCATGCTTCTCATTTCTCCAAAAATATAGCACTGTGTTGGTTGCTGTCCAACACTGGTGAGCAGTTTCTGACTTTTTACAGTTTATACAGCTGTGGATAGCAGGTCCAGATAACAGGTATCTGCAAAGGCCTTCTCAGACACAATGCCAAAAGCATTAACAACTGGAAAATTTTGATGTGTTTCTTTATCTAAAATTTTATAATTTCCATTCAAAACAAGAGGATTACTGGGGAGTAGGAATGTGAATAAGGAATGGAAGGGGATGGATAAATAAGTAAACAGTCAAGACAGAGGGCTTTCCTGGACAACAATGTGAGTGTGCCACAAATTCATCCCTCCACATCTATTGCACATAAAAGATGTCTCTGCTGGAACATGGAAAGATGGCCATAAGAATTGGGATGGCAGTAATAGATTGGAGGTGTGCTGAAATAGCAGTCTACTTGCTATACAAAGTAGCACCTGAAGATTAGCAAGGAATGGCTGCCTTATTACTGAGAGTTACATGAAGTCCTTCTCTACACAGGGCCAACACTAGGCCCTGCTGTTTGGTTGAATCTTTTTCTAGGTCTTTGAATGAGTAGATAAACAAAGATGAGAGAGAAAGAAGCAACGGGGCAGATAGCATGCTTGTCAACCCCGCAATCAGCATCTTAGAGGCAGAAGAATGAATGCACCATTTCCCTTTTTAGCACAAGCCCTAAATCCTTGCTTCCTGGTATGCATGGTGGAGGAGATGCAAAGCACCCTCCACTCTTTGCTCAGACAGTTTCCGCTTCATTAAACAAAGCCAAGATTTTCCATGAGATAAGCCCTGCTTGCCTTTTTCTCAGTCCTGTGTCATCTGACATGTAATTAGTGTCAATTCCTCTCAGAATCTAACATTAGGTCAGCTGACTGTCTTAGCTTTCCTGTGTCTTCATAGATATTTTAGGGACCCATCAAGGGAGAATACACTGCAGGCTGCTAGCCAGTTGCCTATTCAAACAGATGTCTCATTGGAGTCATTTATTATTTTAGAGGACTTCATTTTTCAAATCTTCCCAAACCTTTCTCAGTTATAGTTTTTTCCACAGCCTCATAGCACAGAATCATTGATAACTTTTTATTTAAAATTTTTCTGAAATTTAAAATACGTTTATATACTTTTAAAAGTGAGGGGGTTTGATTCAAAGATAGAAAATAACTAAAATATGTAAGAGTAGCTAATAAAAAATATAAAGACAAGTAAATAAAAATAACTAAGTCCTGAATACAGACTTTTCTAAATACATTAGCCTTGTTCCTAACAGCTAAAATGCTGCCAGTCCCTAAATTACAGTATAAATGAGTAATGCCTTTCTAATCAAAATCTTAGTGAAATTTTAAAATGTTATTTCAAAATTTACCTGAATTAACACAATTAAATATCTCACATGTTTTTTAAAAGATGAGTTGGGAGAGGAGAGGAAGAATTTATCTTACCAAATTTGAAATATGATTTGTTATAAAAATAGCTGACTCACTGAGTCATAATGGCCCATGAACAGACCCTAAAACACATATGACTTTTTTTCTTGCTCTGTCACCCAGATTGGAGTGCAGTGGCATGATCTTGGCTCACTGCAATGTCCACTTCCTGGGTTCAAGCTATTCTTGTACCTCAGCCTCCTGAGTAGCTGGGAATCACAGGCCTGTGACACCACACCGGGCTAATTTTTGTATTTTTAGTAGAGAAAGCTAATATGGTTTGGCTCTGTGTCCTTACCTAAATCTCATCTTGTAGCTCCCATAATTCCCATGTGTTGAGGGAGGGACCCATTGGAGATGTTTGAGTCATGGGGGTGGGTCTTTCCTGTGCTATTCTCACGCCAGTGAATGAGTCCCATGAGATCTCATGGTTTAAAAAATGGAAGTTTTGGAGTCGCTTCCAAGATGGCCAAATAGGAACAGCTCTGGTCTGCGGCTCTCAGCGAGATCGACGCAAAAGACTGGCGATTTCTGCATTTCCAACTGATGTACCTGCTTGATCTCACTGGGACTGGTTGGACAGTGGGTGCAGTCCATGGAGGGTGAGCCAAAGCAGGGCAGGGCAACGCCTCACCTGGGAAGCACAAGGGGTCAGGGGATTTCCCTTTCCTACCCAAGGGAAGCCATGACAGACTGTACCTGGAGCAATGGTACACTTCCGTCCAAATACTGCACTTTTCCCATGGTCTTAGCAACTGGTAGGCCAGGAGATTCCCTCCCTCGCCGGGCTCGGTGGGTCCCATGCCCATGGATCCTTGCTCACTGCTAGTGAAGCAGTCTGAGATTGACCTGCAAGGCTACAGCCTGGCTGGGGGAGGGGCATCTGCCATTGCTAGGCTTGAGTAGGTAAACAAGGTGGCCAGAAAACTCAAACTGGTGGAGCCCACCACAGCTCAGCAAGGCCTACCGCCTCTCTAGACTCCACCTCTGTGGGCAGGGCATAGCTGAACAAAAGGCAGCAGACAACTTCTGCAGACATAAACGTCCCTATCTGACAGATCTGAAGAGAGCAGTGGTTCTCCCAGCACAGCATTCAAGCTCTGAGAATGGACAGACTGCCTCCTCAAGTGGGTCCCTGACCCACATGTAGCCTGACTGGGAGACACGTCCCAGTAGGGGTTGACAGACATCTCATGCAGGCGGGTGCCCCTCTGGGATGGAGCTTCCAGAGGAAAGATCAGGCAGCAATATTAGCTGTTCTGCAATATTTGCTATTCTGCAGCCTCTGCTGATGATACCCAGGCAAACAGGGTCTGGAGTGGACCTCCAGCAAACTCCAACAGACCTGCAGCTGAGGGACATGTTAGAAGGAAAATGAACAAACAGAAAGGAATAGCATCAACATCAACAAAAAGGACATCCACACCAAAACCCCATCTGTAGGTCACCAACATCAAAGACAAAAGGTAGATAAAACCACAAAGATGCAGAGAAACCAGAGAAGAAAAGCTGAAAATTCCGAAAACCAGAGCACCTCTTCTCCTCCAAGGGTTTGCAGCTCCTTACCAGCAATGGAACAAAATAAACAGAGAATGACTTTGACAAGTTGACAGAAGTAGGCTTTAGAAGGTTGGTAATAACAAACTTCTCCAAGCTAAAGGAGCATGTTCTAACCCATCAAAAGGAAGCTAAAAACCTTGGGAAAAGGTTAGATGAATGGCTAACTAGAATAAACAGTGTAGAGAAGATCTTAAATGACCAGATGGAGCTGAAAACCATGGCATAAGAACTTCGTGATGCATGCATAAGCTTCAATAGCTGATTTGATCAAGTGGAAGAAAGGATATCAGTGATTGAAAATCAAATTAATGAAATAAAGTGAGAAGACAAGATTAGAGAGAAAAGAGTAAAAAGAAACGAACAAGACCTCCAAGAAATGTGGGATTATATGAAAAAACCAAATCTACATTTGATTGGTGCACCTGAAAGTGATGGGGAGAATGAAACCAAGTTAGAAAACACTCTTCAGGATATTATCCAGGAGAGCTTCCCCAACATAGAAAGGCAGGCCAACATTCAAATTCAGGAAATATAGAGAACACCACAAAGATACTCCTTGAGAAGAGCAACCCCAAGACACATAATTATCAGATTCACCAAGGTTGAAATGAAGGAAAAAATGTTAAGGGCAGCCAGAGAAAAAGGTTGAGTTACCCTCAAAGGGAAGCCCATCAGACTAACAGCAGATCTCTCAGCAGAGAGATCTAAAAACCAGAAGAGAGTGGGGGCCAATATTCAGCATTCTTAAAGAAAAGAATTTTCAACCCAGAATTTCATATCCTGCCAAACTAAGCTTCATAAGTGAAGGAAAAATAAAATACTTTACAGACAAGCAAATGCTGAGAGATTTTGTCACCACCAGGCCTGCCTTACAAGAGCTCCTGAAGGAAGTACTAAACATGGAAAGAAACAACTGGTACCAGCCACTGCAAAAACTTGCCAAATTGTAAAGACCATCAACACTATGAAGAAACTGTATCAATTAATGGGCAAAATAACCAGCTAACATCATAATGACAGGATCAAATTCACTAATAAAAATATTAACCTTAAATGTAAATGGGCTAAATGCCCCAATTAAAAGACACAGACTGGCAAATTGGATAAAGAGTCAAGACCCATCAGTGTGCTGTATTTGGAAGACCCATCTCATGTTCGGAGACACACAGAGGCTCAAAATAAAGGGATGGAGGAAGATCTAACAAGCAGGGGTTGCAATCCTAGTCTCTGATAAAACAGACTTTAAACCAACAAAGATTAAAAGAGACAAAGAAGGCCATTACATAATAGTAAAGGGATCAATTCAACAACAAGAGCTAGCTATCCTAAATATATATGCACCCAATACAGGAGCACCCAGATTCATAAAGCAAGTCCTTAGAGAATTACAAAGAGACTTAGACTCCCATACAATAATAATGGGAGACTTTAACACCCTCATGTCAATATTAGACAGATCAATGAGACAGAAGGTTAATAAGGATACCCAGGACTTGAACTCAGCTCTGCACCAAGTGGACCTGATAGACTTCTACAGAACTCTCCACCCCAAATCAATAGAATAAACATTCTTCTCAGCATCATATCACACTTATTCTAAAATTGACCACATAATTGGAAGTAAAACACTCCCCAGCAAATGTAAAAGAACAGAAATCTAACAAATTATCTCTCAGACCACAATGCAGTCAAATTAGAACTCAGGATTAAGAAACTCACTTAAAACCGCACAACTACATGGAAACTAAACAACCTGTTCCTGAATGACTACTGGGTAAATAACGAAATGAAGGCAGAAATAAAGGTGTTCTTTGAAATCAATGAGAACAGAGACTCTCCGTACCAGAATCTCTGGGACACATTTACAGCAGTGTGTAGAGGGAAATTTATAGCACTAAGTTCCCACAAGAGAAAGCAAGAAAGATCTAAAATTGACATCCTAACATCACAATGAAAAGAACTAGAGAAGCAAGAGCAAACACATTCAAAAGCTAGCAGAAGGCAAGAAATAACTAGGATTGGAGCAGAACTGAAGGAGATAGAGACACAAAAAAACCTTCAAAAAATCAATGAACCCAGGAGATGGTTTTTTGAAAAGATCAACAAATTAGATAGACCACTAGCAAGACTAATAAAGAAGAAAAGAAAAGAGAGGAGAATCAAATTGACATAATAAAAAATGATAAAGGAGATATCACCACAGATCCCACAGGAATACAAACTACCATCAGAGAATACTATAAACACCTCTATGCAAATAAACTAGAAAATCTGCAAGAAATCAATAAACTCCTGGACACATACACCCTCCCAAGGCTAAATCAGGGAGAAGTTGAGTCTCTGAATAAACCAATAACAGATTCTGAAATTGAGGCAATAATTAATAGCCTACCAACCAAAAAACAGTCCAAGACCAGACGGATTCACAGCTGAATTCTACCAGAGGTAAAAAAAGTAGCTGGTACCATTCCTTCTGAAACTATTCCAAACAAAGGAAAAAGAGGGAATCCTCTCTAACTCATTTTATGAGGCCAGCATCATCCTGATACCAAAGCCAGGCAGAGACATAATAAAAAAAAGAGAATTTTAGACCAATATCCCTGATGAACATTGATGTGAAAATCCTCAATAAAACACTGGCAAACTGAATCCAGCAGCACATCAAAAAGCTTATCCACCACGATCAAGTTGGCTTCATCCCTGGAATGCAAGGCTGGTTCAACATATGCAAATCAATAAACATCACTTATCACATAAACAGAACCAATGACAAAAACCACATGATTATCTCAATAGTTGTAGAAAAGGCCTTCAACAAAATTCATCAACGCTTCATGCTAAAAACTCTCAATAAACTAGGTACTGATGGAATATATCTCAAAATAATAAGAGCTATTTATGACAAACCCACAGCCAATATCATACTGAATGGGCAAAAACTGGAAGCATTCCCTTTGAAAACTGGCACAAGACAAGGATGCCCTCTCTCACCACTCCTATTCAACATAGTGTTGGAAGTTCTGGCCAGGGCAATCAGGCAAGAGAAAGAAATAAAGGGTATTCAACTAGGAAAAGAGAAAGTCAAATTGTCCCTGTTGCAGATGACATGATTGTATATTTAGAAAACCCATCATCTCAGCCCAAAATCTCCTTAAGCTGATAAGCAACTTCAGCAAAGTCTCAGGATACAAAATCACTGTGCAAAAATCACAAGCATTCCTATACTCCAATAACAGACAAACAGAGAGCCAAATCATGAGTGAATTCCCATTCACAATTGCTACAAAGAGAACAAAATACCTAGGAATCCAATATACAAGGTATGTGAAGGGCCTCTTCAAGGAGAACTAGAAACCACTGCCCAAGGAAATAAAAGAGGACAGAAACAAATGAAAGAACATTCCATGCTCATGGATAGGAAGAATCAATATCATGAAAATGGCCATACTGCCCAAGTTAATTTATAGATTCAATGCCATCCCCATCAAGCTACCAATGACTTTCTTCACAGAATTGGAATAAACTACTTTAAAGTTTATATGGAACCAAAAAAGAGCCCACATAGCCAAAACAATCCTAAGCAAAAAGAACAAAGTTGGAGGCATCGTGCTACCTGACTTCAAACTATACTACAAGTCTACAGTAACGAAAACAGCATGGTACTGGTACCAAAACAGATATATAGACCAATGGAACAGAACAGAGCCCTCAGAAATAACACCACACATCTACAACCATCTGATCTTTGACAAACCTGAGAAAAACAAGCAATGGGGAAAGGATTCCCTATTTAATAAATGGTGCTGGGAAAACTGGCTAGCTATATGTAGAAAGCTGAAACTGGTTCCCTTCCTGACACCTTATGCAAAAATTAATTCAAGCTGGATTAAAGGCTTAAATGTAAGATCTAAAACCATAAAAACCCTAGAAGAAAACCTAGGCAATACCATTCACACATAGGCATTGGCAAAGACTTCATGACTACAACATCAAAAGCAATGGCAACAATAGCCAAAATAAACAAATGAGATCTAATTAAACTAAAGAGCTTCTGCACAGCAAAAGAGACTATCATCTGAGTGAACAGGCAACCTACAGAATGGGAGAAAATTTTTGCAATCTACCCATCTGACAAAGGGCTAATATCCAGAATCTACAAAGAACTTATACAAATTTACAAGAAAGAAAAACCCATCAAAAAGTGGGTGAAGAATATGAAGAGACACTTCTCAAAAGAAGACATTTATGCAGCCAACAGACACATGAAAAAATGCTCATCATCACTGGTCATCAGAGAAATGCAAATCAAAACCACAGTGAGATATCATCTCATGCCAGTTAGAAAGGTGATCATTTAAAAGTCAGGAAACAACAGGTGCTGGAGAGGATGTGGAGAAATAGGAATACTTTTACACTGTTGGTGGGAGTGTAAATTAGTTCAAACATTGTGGAAGACAGTGTGGTGATTCCTCAAATATTTAGAACTAGAAATACCATTTGACCCAGCAATCCCATTACTGGGTATATACCCAAAGCATTATAAATCATTCTCCTATAGACACATGCACACGTATGTTTACTGCAGCACTATTCACAATAGCAAAGACTTGGAACCAACCCAAATGTCCATCAATGATAGACTGGATTAAGAAAATGTGGCACATATACACTATGGAATACTACGTAGCCACAAAAAAGGATGAGTTCATGTCCTTTGCAGGGATGTGGATGAAGCTGGAAACCATCATCCTCAGCAAACTATCACAAGGACAGAAAACCAAACACCACATGTTCTCACTCATAGGTGGAGGTTGAACAATGAGAACACATGAACACAGTGTGGGGAACATCACACACTGGGGCCTGTCAGGGGGTGGGGAGCGGGGGGAGGGATGGCATTAGCAGAAATACCTAATGTAAATGTTGAGTTGATGGGTGCAGCAAACCAATATGGCACATGTATACCTGTGTAACAAACCTGCATGTTGTGTACATGTACCCTGGAACTTAAAGTATAATAAAAGATAAAATAAAAATAAATGGAAGTTTCTCTGCACACACTCTCTTCTCTTGTCTGCTGCCATGTGAGACATGCCTTCCACCTTCTACCATGATTGTGAGGCCTCCCCAGCCACGTGGCACTGTAAGTCCAATAAACTTCTTTCTTTTGTAAATTACCCAGTCTCGGGTATGTCTTTATTAGCAGAATGAAAAGGGACTAATACAGTAAATTGTTACCAGTAGAGTGGAGTGCTGCTGAAAAGATACCTGAAAATGTGGAAGCGACTTTGGAACTGGGTAACAGGCAAAAGTTGGAACAGTTTGGAGGGCTCAGAAGAAGACAAGAAAATGTGGGAAAGTTTGGAACTCCCTAGAGACTTGTTGAATGGCTTTGCCCAAAATGGTGATAGCAATATGGACAACAAGGTCCAGGCTGAGGTGGTCTCAGATGGAGATGAGGAACTTGTTGGGAACTGGAGCAAAGGTGACTTTTGTTATGTTTTAGCAAAGAGAGTGGTGGCATTTTGCCCCTTTCCTAGAGATTTCTGGAACTTTGAACTTGAGAGATGATTTAGGGTATCTGGGAGAAGAAATTTCTAAGCAGCAAAGCATTCAAGAGGTGACTTGGGTGCTGTTAAAGGCATTCAGTTTTATAAGGGAAGCAGAGCATAAAAGTTTGGAAAATTTGCATCCTAACAATGTAACAGAAAAGAAAATCCCATTTTCTGAGGAGAAATTCAAGCTGGCTCCAGAAATTTGCATAAGTAATGAGGAGCTGAATATTAATCCCCAAGACAAGGGGAAAAATGTCTCCAGGGCATGTTAGAGACCTTTGTGGCAGCCCCTCCCATCACAGGCCTGGAGACCTAGAAGGAAAATATGGTTTCGTGGGTCAGACACAGGATCTCCATGCTGTGTGCAGCGTAGGGTCTTGGTGCCCTGCATGCTGTGGCTTAAAGGGGCCAATGTAGAGATTGGGCCATGGCTTCAGAGGGTGCAAGCCCCAAGGCTTGGCAGCTTCCACATGGTGTTGAGCCTGCAAGTGCACAGAAGTCAAGTACTGGGGTTTGGGAACCTCCACCTTCATTTCAGAAGATGTAGGGAAACGCCTGGATGCCCAGGCAGAAGTTTGCTGCAGGGGAAGGGCCCTCATGGAGAACCTCTGCTAGGGCAGTGCAGAAGGAAAATGTGGGGTTGGAGCCTCCACACAGAGTCCCTACTGAGGCACCACCTAGTGGAGCTGAGAGAAGAGAGCCATCATCCTCCAGACCCCAGAATGGTAGATCCACCAGCAGCTTGCACTGTGCATCTGGAAAAGCTGCAGACTCAATGACAGCCCATAAAAGCAGCCAGGAGGGAAGCTGCACCCTGCAAAGCCACAGGGCCGGAGCTGCCCAAGACCATGGGAACCCACCTCTTGCATCAGTGTGACCTGGATGTGAGACATGGAGTCAAAGGAGATCATTTTGGAGATTTAAGATTTGACTGCCCTGCTGGATTTCGGGCTTGCATTGGGCATGTAGCCCCTTTGTTGTGGCCAATTTCTCCCATTTGGAATGGCTGTATTTACCCAATACCTGTACCCCCATTGTACCTACGAAGTAACTAACTTGCTTTTGATTTTACAGGCTGATAGGTGGAAGGGACTTGCCTTTTCTCAGATGAGACTTTGTACTGTGGACTTTTGAGTTAATGCTGAAATGAGTTAAGACATTGGAAAACTGTTGAGAAGGCATAATTGGTTTTGAAATGTGAAGACATGAGATTTGGGAGAGGCCAAGGGCAGAATGATATGGTTTGGCTCTGTGTCTACACCCAAATCTCATCTTGTAGCTCCCATAATTCCCACATATTGTGGGAGGTATCTGGTGAGAGAGGTTGAATCACGGGGGCAGGTCTTTCCCGCGCTATTCTTGTGATAGTGAAGGAGTCTCACGAGATCTGATGGTTTTAAAAATGGGAGTTTCCCTGCACAAACTCTCTTCTCTTGTCTGCTGCCATGTGGGATGTGCCTTTCACCTTCTGCCATGATTGTGAGGCCTCCCCAGCCACGTGGAACTGTAAGTCCAATAAACCTCTTTCTTTTGTAAATTGCCCAGTCTCAGATACATCTTTATCAGCAGTGTGAAAATGGACTAATACAATGGTGTTTCACCAGGTTGGTCAGGCTGGTGTCGAACTCCTGACCTCCAGTGATCTGCCCGCCTCGGCCTCCCAAAGTGCTAGGATTACAGGCATGAGCCACCACCCCCAGCCACATACAATTTTTGAATATAATGAAAGTGCTATTATAAATTAGTAGGAACAAAAAGATGATTCAGTTAGTGTTGTAAGAAATTAATATTTTCAAAAAAAGTAACTCTCTACCTTACTACTCATACAAAAAATGAATAGCAATTGACTAAAAAAGGAATGTTAAAATATGCATATATACTATCAAAGAGAGAAGAACATATTTTAATAAAAAACAAATGTTTGATAGAAAGGATACATTGTCTATATATTAATATTAAATATTGGTAATATTTGTGATGTGGATGGCAGGTTAAATCTTCATATTAGAAAGGAATATTGATAATGAATAGACAAAACTCTCATTTAAAATGGACAAAGAATATGAATAGATACTTCATAGAACAGTAAATTCAAATAAAGTAAATAATTGAAAGAATAAATCCAATAAAAAGGTGGAAATATTCTCCACCTCCCTCACAGTGAAAGAAATTACAAATTAAGCTAACAACCAGATATCACTTACAACCATCAAATTGGTAAAAATCAGTAAGAAATAATACCTACTACTGGCACGGATGTAGGAGAAAAGAGAATTTTTATTAATTGCAGTTGGAAATATAAATTGTTTCAGCCCATTTCGGAAAGCAATTTGACAACATCCATGAAAATTAAAAGTAGACAGAGCCTTTGACCCAGCATTGGCTCCTGGAGATCCAGCCCATAGATATGTAAGCATAAATATGGAAAAAAATATGGGATAAATATACTGATTACAGATCTGTTATGAAAAAAAATTGGAAGCAGCATGAAATGTTGCAGGGAAGGTTTGAACAAATTTTGGAATATCAGCATAATAGAATCTTATACAACCAATAAAAGGAGTAGGTTCAACCTCTGTCAGCATACTTGGAGGAACTTACAGAACATACTGTTAAGTGACTTGGGTGGGAGTGAGAGCGGGCAGGAAATTCTCTCAAAGCTGGAAGGCACAGGGAAGTTGCAAATGGCAAAAATACAGTGAACAGAGAAGATAGGTTTATTCTATACATGAATTATGTATGTATTTATCATGCCTTGAGACTGGGGTGAGAATTTAGAGCCAGGGATAAGGCCAAGGGGAAAAGACGATTTCAATTTCAAATACATTTATTAATCTTAATTCAAAACAGGTTGGATGGGAAACTCCAGCTGGAAGTGATGGAGCAAAAGGAGAAGCTCACTGAAGGTGGGAAGCACGTTCATTCCTGTAGGATCAAAGCTGGACCAGGGTGGGAATCACTGCTCAGGAGGGGCACCATGGGTGAGAAGTGCAGGGGAGTCAAGATGCTCATGTTTGTAGTTTCATATCTTATTTATCTTGACTTGAGCTTACGCATGGTCTTCACAACTTCACAAGCCTGCAGAGCATTGGAAATCTTTATAAAGAGAGATGCTTTTGTTTTGGGGTCTCAGGAAAGAAAATTCTTACATGCTCCTACTCCCACTCCTACCTCACTAGGATTATGGTGTGACCCATTGGCATAAAGAGGGTCATTTGATCTGTTCAGCTCCCGTCCTCCCTGCTGCCTGCCATCAGCCACAACGCTTGTGGCTGAGATGGGACTGTGAGTGATAGTCCACTCCTCAAGAGATGTGACCAGGAATCAAAATCTTTCTTCCAGTCAGGGTCCCATTGCCATGGTTGTTGTTGTTGTTGTTGTTATCTTAACTTGTATTTATGTATTTATTTAAGCTGTAGTAGCAATATAAAATAAGGGACACTGGACTTCAAGCCAATGGATGTG